>NC_000015.10:39943540-40246570 GCF_000001405.40 Homo sapiens | reverse complement strand
TGACCACCCTCTCCTCGACAGGAGCCCTGAATGCCTGCTCACTGGCGGCCTTGCATTCTTCCCCCGGGGCTGGCTCCATCCCTCCCCAGGAGCTGAGACCTCTACTTCTCCCCACCTTTCTGGATCCCAGACACATCATCAGCAAGATCCACTCTAGTGGAATAGAAAAAGTCTTCTTGTCTAGCTTGGGCCTGGTGACCGGTGGCAAGTGACAGGCCTCCTGCTTCTGGGAACTGACCTCTGATGGTGGCTATTGGACATGTAAATGTCTGCCTGGGGTCAAAAGTCTACACTAATGAGAAGATCACCTGAAGAACAGGGCCTCCCAGGTGCCTCCCCTACCCTTTGCCCCAGAATCTCCGTTTCATCTCTGGCACTCATCATGACTCCCTTCTTTGGCCTAAGACATGAAGTTACCTGGGACAAAAAGAACTTCAATCAATCAATTTATAAATTAGTTAGATCTCTTCAACAGAGAGTGGCCTGGTCCCCAAGAGTGGCCTGGGTGCTGTGTGCAAAGTTTATCCTCGGGAAGCACTTGACTGACAAGCGTGGGCTGGGCTGTGGTTTCAGGTCTAGCAGAATGCAGGGGGATGGCAGGAGGCACCCAAATAGCACAATAGGAGCAAAGCGGGGACCTGCCCAGCCTCCCAATGTGTCAGGCCAGGCCGCCTCTCCCAAGCCATCAAGTTACCCAGTGGCTGCTGCCTGCTCCTGCATGGGCCCCTTGGTAGCACGGGGGTGGGGGTTCAGCCTGGGTAGCAAGAGTGCTGGGCAGGCAGCTGGGGATCCCTGGGCTGGAAACTGACTCTGCCATTAGTTAGCTGTGTGGCCTCAGGACCCACTTTCCTTCTCTGGACCTCTGTTTCCCGCTCTAAAATTATGGGGGCTGGACGAAACATCCTCCGGGGACTCCCTTTGGCTTGAATGTGCTACAGCAATCTGAGATGGCCAGCTCTTTCCTGGGGCAGCCTTTTCCTCCTCAGAGCTCCTCTTTGCTGATCTGAGACTGTGCTCTGGTGGTGCAGGAGGCTGTGGCATAACTGGTCCCCTCGCTCCCTCCACCCTCTGTGCTTTCTTGCACAATTCCATAAGCTGAAAGAAAGAAAATGGAGGCTAGAGCCTCTCCAGGCCAGGAAGCTGAGCCACAGAACCAGTCCTCCCGGTTTTAAAGTTTTAACTCTGCTGCTGCTGCTGCAGCCTTTAGGAGTCCTGGTCACCAGGCAGGCAGGCAGGCAGCAGGAGGTCTTGGGCAAGGTGACTGGTTTGTTGCTATCTGCACTGAGTTGAGTAGGCTGGTCCCCGCTGCACTGGGATCAGAGATCAAAATACAGCACCAGCTGAACTGAGCTTTCTGAACCTGCTTCCCTGGACACCCAGAGGATCCCTCACCAGGTCCTTGACAGCCTGAAGGACACAGCTCTGCTTCCAGCCCCTTAGCAAGAGGCCCAAAGAGCTGAGTGCATGGAGGCTGTGGGCAGACCAGAGCACAAGAGATTGTTGCCTAGGCAGAGAGACACTGGGATTGGCTGACCGAGGCAGCACTTTTGGGGAATAGGTTGCCACGGAGAATCCACAGGTGTCAAAAAAAGTCATCACTGGCCCTATGTGAATACTTGGGTCTCTGCCCTGCCTGATGTGTCGTGATGAGGTTTTGTAGGAAATGCTGGCCAGCAGAGGTGTCCCTTTGCTGGGGCTGAGGCAGTTGCGGCCTCTCATGTAGTTATGAGGGAACCTGTTTTTTCACATGTGAGTTCCCCCAGCCCAAGAAAGCCTGTCATGCTCTGGGGTTGCCTTGTTTTTCTTAGGTGAATAAGCTTTAGGATTACCTTTCCTAAATTCATAGAACAGATAATCCTTTGTAGAAAAAGCAGGCTGGGTGTGGTGGCTCACATCTGTAATCCCAGCACTTTGGGAGGCTGAGGTCGGCGGATCACCTGAGGTCAGGAGTTCGAGACTAGCCTGGCCAACATAGTGAAACCCCATCTCTACTAAAAATACAAAAATCAGCCGGGCATGGTGGTGGGTGCTTGTAATCCCACCTACTTGGGAGGCTGAGGCAGGAGAATCGCTTGAACCAGGGAGGCGGAGGTTGCAGAGAGCCAAGATCGTGCCACTGCACTCCAGCCTGGGCAACAAGAGCGAAACTCTGTCTCAAAAAAAAAAATAAAAAGAAAAAAAGAGAAAACAAAAGTCTCTGAGATGGAACCTCACGATTACTGGCCTTTTTTTTTTTTTTTTGAGACAGAGTCTTGCTCTGTGGCCAGGCTGGAGTGCAGTGGCACGATCCCAGCTCACTACAACCTCCGCCTCCTGGGTTCAAGCGATTCCCCTGCCTCAGCCTCCCGGGTAGCTGGGACTACAGGCACGCGCCACCACGTCCAGCTAATTTTTTGTATTTTTTAGTAGAGACGGGGTTCACCATGTTGGCCAGGATGGTCTGGATCTCTTGATCTTGTGATCTGCCTACCTCAGCCTCCCAAAGTGCTGGGATTACAGGCGTGAGCCACTGCACCTTGCCCACGATTACTAGGCATTTCTAAGCTACTTGCCAGAGTGATCCAGGAGCCTGCCGTGGCCTTGTCTGGCCCCTCTGCCTGCCACATCACCAAGTGTATGCTTTAGATGGGGCTCAGCAGAACACAGTTCCTCATGCAGTTAGGACCAGCATGTGAAAAAAGCTTCCAGTCCCCAAAAGGAGTAGGGCCAGGGCCACAGCCCGGCTCTCGATCCCTTCACTAGGGGCAGCCCACTTCAAGTCCTCAAGACCTCCAAGTCTAGACCCCAGAAAGAGGAGTCTCAAGTTATTCCTTAGAAAGCCTCAGTGGACAAACAATATGCTATTTGGGAAAAAAATAGACCTGGCATTATTGTTTCTTCCCAGCTTTCCTGGGCATTCTGAGAGCTTTTGTTTCTCCTCAGAGGAGGGTTCTTTCAAAGTCACCTCCTCCGTGAAGCCTTTCCTGATTCCCCCGAACAAGGTATGGTCTCTCCTGGCACTTTGTTCCTCTGACACCAGTTATCATCACGGTGATAATAGTTATCTCTTGCTGAACATGTACGTATGTGCCAGTCATGCCATTCAGAGCATTCACTTATTATCTTATTTAATCCTCTCAACAACCCTAACTCATAGGTACTATAATTATCTCTGTTGGACAGGAGAGGAAATTGAGACCCAGAGACATGAAGTAACTTGCCCGAGTCACCAGGAAGAGGCAGCACCGGGCCTGAGGCTCATGCTGCTGACTTCATGTTAACCAACCACCATCCTGCCTCTTCCCGCCCTGGTCTATCTCCCCGAGCCTTCACCTCCTCCTGCAACTGCAGATAGAAGCTGCTTCTTCCTTTGTTTGTCATTCTCAACTTATCTTTTTTGTCCATCTTTATAAAGTTCTATGTTAAGAACCGTTGCCCAGTATTGGTGTAAATTTATAAATTATCTGGGCTGGATGGGTCATGGCTGCCAACTTCAGCGATGAGTTGGACCCAGAGTTGGCAAAAGGACGAAGCCACCTGGGGGCTGATGGTGGCTTTGTGGCTCCGCTTGTTTCTGGCGCGGTTGGCCCCACGCTCAGCTCAGCTTTCCTTTCCACTGCTCTGCTGCAGGGCTATGAGCATCCCCAGGGCAAGAGCTCTGTCCTGCTTTGTCCACCCCCTCTTCCTGCCACCAGTGCTTGCACCTAGTAGTCAGGCCATGGCTGTCATCTGCTTGGCAGCCTGTGCGCCAGAACAAGGTGCTGCCTGGACCCCACACCCTCCCAGGAAGAGACACGGTCCCCTTTATCTCACATCTCACTCTTCTCGCTTTAGCCCTTCCTGGCCCCTAGGGCTGAGCTCTGGTGGGGTGGAGGGCACCTCCTCAGAAGGGGACAACTTCCCAGGCCCAGGCAGACTGCTCGCCCTGGGCAGGAGGGCCAGCCTTGGCTTCAGCAAGTTCAGAACTCATTCTGCCCTCAGAAGCTTCCATTTGCAATGCTCCTCCCCAACCTGCTGGCTAGTCCACCTCTTTCTACCAAGGAGGCTCCCAGAAATAAGCTCTCTCCTTGAGGCCCGGTAGGTGCAGGCGGCCAGATGCCTCCTGATGAGCTTTACTGGTGTCCTTCCTGCTGCTCAGGTCTCAGGCACTGCTTCCGCAGCCTGGGCCTTCCTGCTCAGGGCGACGAGCGCATCTTACGGGAAGGACTTTCTGCTTCAGTCCACAGGACAGCCTCCCATGAGTCCTTCCTGCCTTCTGCACCCAGGACACTGTGTGCGGTGGGCATCTCTGGGCCATTTGGGTGAGGAATTCAATCTTTCAGTGTCTTAGCCTCTTCCCTGCCCAGTCACCTACGCAGAGGGCCTCTCCCACAGAAGCGGGCTGGCATAAGAAGGCCAGCTGTCTGGAGTCCTCCCTGAGCCCTCAGGACCCCAGGCAGCCTTTTCCTTTCCTGCTCAGCCTGCCCTGGCCCCTACTCTCTGCTCCCTCCTGGCCCAACCTGCTGCCCGCTGCTGGCCTGCTGTCTACCTAGTGCTCGACAGCCTCCGCCCCTCTGACCCCAACTGGGCAGCAGCCCCTGCTCAGCTCTGCATGCATGGAAGACTCCTAGGCACAGAGTCACCTTTTGTGAGGCAGCATGAGATACCCCCACAGCTGGGTCATTCTCCTCATCCAGGAGCCAGGTGTGGGAATTCACTGGCATGAGAGACACTTATGGGTTCCTCCTGACTCTGAGCACATGTGCTCCTCCAGGGCAGGGGACTTTTTGGTCATCCTTAGGAGTTGTGCACAGAGCGGGCTTTCCTTGGCTGGAGACCCCACCCACTGCACCCTCCCTGTGTCTGGCAAGTCCGGGAGGGCCCAGAGCACTCACAAAGCATCAGTTTGTCCTCGGGGCACTGGAGAGGCCGTGCAGTCCCCACACTCCCCCTCTCAGGTGCACAGAGCTTCCATCCAAATCAGCTGCTCCCAGAAGGGCTTGCCTCTGGTGCCGACCCTTCCCTGACCAGGCGCTCTGTCACTAGGGCTCCCAGGTGCCACCTCCAAGCCTGGGCCAGGACAACCGCCAGGGAAGCCTGCCTGCAGAGGGGACTCCTTGCTTGCCCCAAAGGCCTCAACCCCAGCTAGATGAGCTCCCGTGGGGCTGAGTCCCAGGCCCACCAGGCCTGGGGGCCACACGGCTCCTAAGCTCATCCTCTCCTCCTGCAGCCCAGTTCCCACCAGAACCAGCCTCAGGAAGACCCCAGGCAGAACGGCACAAACCTCTTGGTGTACAATGCCAGGGAAAGGATAACTGGAGACCACAAGACGTTAGCCTTGCTTCCCGGTGGGGCCCAGTGCTTTATAAACCCGAGCTCACTGGGCCCGATGTCCCCAAAGCTGACCAGGTCATCCACCCTGCAGCAGGGGTGGGGAGACCAAGGCCTGTGAGGAGTGACCGTGCTTGGCCAGGCAGCTCCCTGAACCTGCCCTGATGCTGAGTTTCAGAGTCAGAATCTGTGCCAGGTCAAACCCAGCCAAAGGGTGTGACTTGGAGCCTGGGACCCAGCAGTGCTCCCTAAATATTTGTGGAATGAATACACAAGGGAAATGTCCCAGAGGTGGTAAAGTGAGAGGGGCCTTGGATAGGGGTGTCCCGGTGGCACTGGCTTGGCCCAGCTGGGGCAGGAAGAGTAGAAACAAGCACCTCTCCCTCTAGCTAGGGAGCCAGAGACCAGCTGGGATTGGACTGTTTCACAATCAATCTGGAAAGAAGGTGGCAGGCCGGGTGGGGAGTGGAGCCCCTTGACCCAGGAACCCACAGCTGTGGAGTTAGCCTCCCTGTCCCAGGTGGGAGGCAGCCTGGACACCTTGGCACCCCCGTCCCTAGCCCAGGAATCCGGAGCACGCAGCGGCAGTGGGGACCTTACCGTGGCTGCTCCTTCTGGGCAGCGGGGTCCTGCGTTCTCCACTGCAGGCTGGTGCTTGTCTCTAGCCCAGGAAGCGGCACTCCCTTCAGGCAAAATAGAAAAAAAAAAAAAAAAAAAAAGGAAAAGAAAACCTCAGTGCTTTTCTCACCCAGCCTCTTCTCTTGAAGGCTCCTGGTTGGTATTGTCCTGCCACTGTGGGCACACAGCCTCCCTCCCTCTGGCAGCTTACTCACTGGTGCCCGCAAAGCTGCCAGCTGTGTGGGGGAGAAGGGACCTCCCCCCTCCTCCTGACACACACTGGGGCATGCCCTGTGGGGACCAGGGGCTTGAGGGTGGCACCCGCTGGGTCCTGATCATGGGGAAGCCGTACCCTGGCCAGCACCCTTCTCACTGAATGTGTCCCTGTGAGCTCAGCAGAGACGCACATGGGTGCTGACTGGCCCTGCATAAGAGAGTGACATGGTTCTTGGTAGGAAGCTGTTTCCTTGGTACCCAGGCCTGCCAGAATGAAGGGGCAGCTGATGGGCTGTCCAGCCCCCCAGTGATGGGCTCTCACCCTGGCCAGCCCCTCCGGACGGCTTCCTACCTGGGCATCTTGCTGTGTCTCTGTCCTGTGCACCCAGACAGGGCCTGGGCCTGCCGGGGCTGGCAGCTGCTCCTCACCCTGCTCAGGCCGTGTGTCTGGCGTCCCCTCTCCCTGACGCCCATCTCAGGGCCTGCGCCCACCCAGCATCAGTTAGGATAAACTCCTGTCAAGCCCCCAGCCAGCTCTCTGCTGGACCCAGCTGCTGTCCCCAGCAGGGGGACGGCACACACACTGGCTTACACACTCTCGCACTCACACACACGTGGGTCCACACCCAACACAGAGCCACCTACCTGCCCAGGCCAGCCTAAGCCAATCCAGCCTCGCTCTCCAAATGCCACTCCGACCCCAGAAGCCACTCCTTTACCGAAACATCCCCGTGGGAGATGAGTTCAGAGCCAGCCCGGGAGGACTCCAGTCAGCTCGGACAAGACTGCCCTTCTGTCCCAACACCTCCAGAGGACACACACAGGCAGCCTGACCACCATATCTGCTATTGCACTCTGCCTGCTGCCACAGCCCCCCGGGCACTTCTGGCCCCCACAGCGTCTTCCATATCTTTAGGGGGTGGCAGCAGACTCACAGCAAGTCCCATCTTCCTGGAGCCCAAGGTAGGGAGGGGAGAGCTAGAAGGGGCGGGACTCAGGTGCAGCTCCAAGTTTCCAGCTCCCAAAATAATCAGATGCAAAGGAGAAGCAAGAACAGCTCGAGGCGGGCGGTGACTCAGTGCTAGTGGGCCGGCTTAGTCACCTGGATGGCTGCTGGCGGCTCCTGGCACATCAGGACGGGAGCAGCGCCCTCCCCCACCTGCCTGGACCGTGGCTGTCTCCAGAGTGTGGCCGCCGAGCCCCGCGCCCAGGGCTGCCTGGCAGGCGAGGCCGCTCCACCCCGCTCCCGCCCATCAGGGCCCAGCGGCCCCGGCTGCGGCGCGCCCCTCCTCCACCGCGCGCCCCGGCTCACTTTGGGATTTCTCCATTAAATCCTCAGGCATCGACCTGCTCGTTTGGGGCGCCGAGCTGCTCCAACGTTGCTTGGCAATTTTGATATCGTCGGGGGTTGCCATGGGGAGGAAGGTGATGTCATTGACACAAAAAACCCACTGAATTTACAAATCAGCTGGGGCTGGAGCTATTTATAAAAACACGTTTTTATCTGCCTTTCTTTGCTGAAGGGGAGGAGGAGGAAGGGCTGCCTGCCGGGCTCAGGGTGAGCCTCCCTGCTGTCCTTCCTACCCTTGCCCTAGAGAAGCCAGACCTCCTTGGCTCACCCCCACCCCCACCCCCCAGAACTTGGAGCTGCGCATTCAGATCTGGCAGGTGCTGGTCTCAGCTGGTTTTGCTTCGAAGGCTGAGAGTGGCACATGGGATGTAAGGCAGGGTGGGTGCTGGCTTCCTGGGCTGGCAGGGACCAGAAACCAGTTACTCAACCGGGTCCCTTTATTTCATTGCCCCTGGTCAGAAACAGAGGCATTTGCTGGTGAGGCAGCTTGAGCTCCTTGATGTGCCCCCCTGCCAGCTCCCCGGAGCGCCAGGTGGAGCCCAGCCTTCCACAGTGCCCTCCCCATCCCTAGCCTCAGTGTCTCCTCCACTGGCTTCTTTTCTTCTCCTAGTGTCCAATCGTGGGCTGCCCAAGCTCCAGGCTTGGTCCCCTGCTCATCTCTCCCCACACTCAGCCACCACTCCATCAAAACACCTTTTTTCTGTGGCTTTGACCATCACCTGGGCAAATGCTTGCCCGAAAACCCATTTTGTGCCTGCCCCACTTCAGGCGCCACCTCTGATGGCCCAGCTCCCACTGCCAGGACCCACTAGCTATTGACAGCCAGAGGGAAGCCTGGGAGTTCTTGCCTCTTCCCGTCCCCCAGTCCCTTATATCCAAGGTGGCACTTGGCTCTACATTTTATTTTTGAAAACTTTCTAACTTTCTTCTGTAGCGAAGCCATGTGGTGTTTGGTTAAAAGTCCAGGCTGTGAGTCTTCAGTCTTCCGCATCTCAGCTCCACTGTTCATCAGTTGAGTGACCTTTGGCATGTTATTGAACCAATTGAACTTCAATTTCCTCATCCATAAAATGGGGATGATTTCACCTGCCTCACAGGGCTGTGGAAATTAAAGGAATAAAGTTTCTGGCACAGAGACTGCTCATCTTGATCCCAATAAACATTAGTTTTTATCCACCCCTCCACTGATGGCAGATTAATCTTCCCAAATCATGACCCTAGGCACCTTCTGTGCAAAGGTCTCAAGCTGCATGCGTAGACATTTTGATTGAACGCAGTGTTAGATGTCATGGCATTAAACATAAGAATTTCAATTTGTGGCCAGGCACAGTGGCTCACGCCTGTAATCCCAGCACTTTGAGAGGCTGAGGCGGGTGGACCATGAGGTCAAGAGATTGAGACCAGCCTGGCCAACATGGTGAAACCTCATTCCACTAAAAATACAAAAATTAGCTGGGCGTGGTGGCACATGCCTGTAATCCCAGCTACTTGGGAGGCTGAGGCAGGAGAATTGCTTGAACCCGGGAGGCGGAGGTTGCAGTGAGCCAAGATTGTGCCACTGCACTTCAGCCTGCGCGACAGAGCGAGACTCTGTCTCAAAAGAAAAAAAAAGTTCAATTTGTGGTCAATATGAAACATTTTCCCTTTAACTAGGTTATCAGTTCCTTTTGGAGAGGAACTCTGTATTTTTCTTCTTTTTGTATCTCAATGTAATTTTGTGTGTAAACTTATAAATAATCCACTTCTGCTCTGTCTCACTAAGGAATGATCCAGGAAATGCAAACTAAAACAAAAGGGATATACCACTCCCTGTCATTATACAGTGAAAAAAAAATGGCAGGTGGGAGAGTGAATTGGTACAGTCTTCTTGGAGGGCAATTTTACAGTCTTGACCAAAATTTCAAAATGTGTATGTACTTGATCCAGCAAATGCACTTCTAGGAATCCAAGTTAAGAAATAGTTGCACATCGGCCTGAAGATATTTGTATAAGAATATTCATGGTAGCACTGTTTGTAACTGCAAAGAATTTGAAGCCACCAAAATGTGCATCAATTGGGCAGATTAATTGGGTGACAGATCTATACAGGATGGTACATCCCCATGCAATGAAGTATCTGCAGCCTTAAAATGAATGAGTTTTGTCAGTCGGTATGTATGTACCAGCTATGTGTGTACCGGTATGCATGTACATACGTATGTATGAGGAAGGATGACCACGATAGTTGAGCAAAAAGACCAGGTTTATCAATGTTAACTTGAAAATGAGATGGCATAATCTCATATAAGTTTTTTTATTTAAAGATATTTCTATATCTGTATGTTTAAACCGCAAACTGTCAATGTGGTTATCCTTGGAAATAGGAGTGGTGGTGAGAGGGGTCTTTCACTTTGGACTTTTTACACTCTTGCATTGTTTCAGTGAACATGTACTGTTGTATTTAAACAATACAAAAGTAAAAATAAAGGAATGTATGTTTTTAAAACTAATAATAGGCCAGACGCAGTGGCACACGCCTGTAATCCCAGCACTTTGGGAGGCCGAGGTGGGTGGATCACCTGACGTCAGGAGTTCGAGACCAGCCTGGCCAACATGGCGAAACCCCGTCTCTACTAAGAATACAAAAATTAGCTGGGTGTGGTGGTGGGCACCTGTAATCTCAGCTACTCAGGAGGCTGAGGCGGAGAATTGCTCGAACCCGGGAGGTGGAGATTGCAGTGAGCAGACTGTGCCATTGCATTCCAGCCTGGGCAACAGAGCGAGACTCAGTCTCAAAACAAACAAACAAACAAACAAACAAACCCTAATAATAGAAAACCAAGAGCTATGAAGAGTACCTAAAACTTGTATATTTGAACATTTTCCTCTGCAAAGTCCACTTTAAGGCAATGTGGGGATATGGAAAACACTTTTTCTTCCTTCATGTCTTTCAAATTTTCAGAAATGTTGTTAGAGGGAGGGGCAACATGAAGATGTGAAGGCACTAAGGCAGGAGATAGAGTTTATTACGTTAAATTCAAAACACTATCATCTTATTCAGATAATAATTACAATGACTCTCTTTAAGAAATGTAACATTTCTAAGTTTCTGCCAGTTTATGAGAAGCAGGCGGAAATTCCTGAAGAAACATCAACAATTTCATAAATCAAGAAAAATCATGTTTTCCAGATTTCTGCTATAGTAGCTAGCAGAGATAATAGCCATTTCATGAAAGGAACTGAGAACTAAACAAACCAGCTCTCCTGAATCTGCATCAGTCAGGTTCTCTGTTAGCCTGGAGAATCAAGTCCAGGACAGAAGCTATGGCAGTCCTGGGGTCTCTAAGCAACAGGACTGACTGCAGTCCCACAGATCACCCCTGCCTGGATGAGAGATGCTCCCACCATGCTGTCCACCTAGTGCATCCTTGCAGGGAAGGAGTCTGATTGGCTGGCTCAGGTCATATGCCTGTCTCTCAGGGAGGGTATCCTGGAGAGAGTGCTTCTGTTATCACACGATATAGGGAGGAAAGTTAGGGTGCTGTTACTAAACCAAAGGGGAATGGGTGCTGGAGACCAAAGGGGACCAGCCAATGATTGCCACAGCATCTTTGCCTCTTTTTCTAATTATTTTCAATTCCTGAGTGTGATAATCAGCCACTGTTGATATTCGATTCCTGTCTTGTGAAACTGATGGCCTGTGCAAACTGAGACCAGTTCCTCTATTCTATCATGTTTCTTGACTTCCTGATTTGATGAGAGGATCTGCAAATTTAGAACCATTTTTTCCACAGGCTGTAGAAAGGGGGGCTCCACCGGCCTGCAAAGGTATGGCTGCTGCTGCAGTGGGCAGGCCAGCAGATGCCTGTGTTTTTGGGCCAGTGGTCGGCCCTGGTGCTTAGCACATGGCAGGTGCTCATGTAAACTTTGTTGAAGGAATGAATGAACATCTTTAGAGGTTCTGTGCTCTAGCCACCCTCCTTAGAATGCGTGAATCCCAGAGCTGAAAGGCACTCTAGGGATATCAGCCCTGTCCCTCCTTCTACAGGTGAGAAAACCACAGCCCCAAGAGATTAGGTGACTCAGCAAAGCCTCAGAGAAAATTAAAGGCAGTCAGGAACTCAGCTGTTCCTCCTCACAGATCCATGAAGTTCCCTTTGCTGCCGACGGCAGCCCCATGCTAGCAGCAAGCTCTGAGTGTGACAGATCTGTAATTTGGACAAAGGCAGTGGTGGTGCTGTCACCACAGACATTTCTGCCTTTGAATCTTGGCTCCCAGGGATTTGCAGCCGCATGAATCAGTCAAGCCAGTGTCCTTACAATTTCTTAAAGTCTTTTACTGTGTTTTTGTTAATGGACATATACAGTACTTGCAGTCTCAAAAGTAATTTGCCTCACCTGCACCGTTTTGGTGAGTTGGATTCAGCTGGAACAACTGTTTATATCAACCTTGTCCCACTGCATGGTTTTAAAGAAACCATCTGGGGATGTGTTTGGAAAGGCCATGTAGCAATGAAGTTCTAAAAATTTTCATAAACTAGTGCTTCCCAAGTTTTCCTAAAGAATAATAAAAACTTTTAGAAACAAAGCCTAGGGCTCCAGTGTGTGGGTAAAATTCCTTTGCTGCCAAATTTTTCTAGATCTTTAGATGCTTCCCCACACTCCACACCCGCTTGTGCTGCATGTACAGAGGGTGCCTCACTCAGGCCTTCTGATGGGCCTGTCTCCACCCACCTACACTAGTCAGCGCCTCTCACCGCAGGGCCAGGAAGGGAGGAACAGATTCTGTTCTCCTTCCTTCCCACCATCCCAAGCCAGGGCAGGTTCCGGAAAGGAAGGGCTTGATTAATGAGCAGGTGTTGCCACTGAAGGCCTGTATATCCCACACTCCAGAGCTGGTCTTACCTTGGCGGCACTCGTCAGCCCTGCGCCTCCGGGAGAGCTAGGCCAGAAGCAGGGGCTCTACCTTCAAGAGATTTTTCTCAAGCTCCTTCCTTGGCAGGGAGGGTACAGAGGAACAGACGCTTCCTGGACATCTGCCTGCTCCCAAAGTATTGGCAGCAAAGTGGGGGATGACTAGGTCAAGTCCTGGGGTCCTCAGTGGGAAGGAAGTTTCAGGGCCTTGTCAGATAGGTCCCTTGCATGCCCTCCCCTGTGGCCCTGCTCCAGCTGTCCTCCTGTGGGCAAGGTGTGTGGAGGATGCTGGCAGGGGCCAAGGGTGGGCACAGTCAGTGACAAGAGACTCAAGTGGCCAACGTCAGCAGACAGCCGGAGAGGGTAGCAGGTGGGCAACATTTGGCAAGGTCTTCCCTTTTTACCCAATCTCTAGTCACAATGCTACACAAGATATGAGGGAGGGGAGCACAGGCCAGAATCTCATCAATATTAGAAGTGGCCCTGGCAAGCGACTCTGCTGTTGACTTCCAGAACAGTTTTCCCTCAGGAAAACGGGTTTTCAGGCTGGGCGTGGTGGCTCGTGCCTTAATCCTGGCACTTTGGGAGGCCAAGGCGGGAGGATTGCTGGAGTCCAGGAATTCGAGACCAGCCTAGGCAACAGTGAGACCTCGTCTCACAAAAAATAAAATTAGCCAGGCATGGTGGTGCACATCTGTAGTCCCATCTACTTGGGAGGTTGAGGCTGCAGTGAGCTGAGATTTGGCCATTGCACTCCAGCCTGGGCAACAGACCTCGTCTCACAAAAAATAAAATTAGCCAGGCATGGTGGTGCACATCTGTAGTCCCATCTACGTGGGAGGTTGAGGCTGCAGTGAGCTGAGATTTGGCCATTGCACTCCAGCCTGGGCAACACAGTGAGACCCTCTCTCTCGAAAAAAAAGAAGAGGGGTTTTCAAGTAAGTGAACAGGGAATGAAATTCTTTTTGCCAGGAACAGGTGTATGGAATTGTGAAAATACTTAAAAGATGGGGGTGGCAGCAGCTGAAAACCCTTTTATGTGAAGTCTCCAACGAGTCAGGCATAGTACATCTAGGCTCTTTCCATCTGTGATTCCATGGAATTCTTAAAACACCATGAAGTAGTTATCATTACCCCAAGTTCTACAGATAAGGAGTCTGAGGCTCAATGCATTTACACATCTTGTCCCAAATCAGGAAGTGGCAACGCCCTGGCTTTCCTTGTGACACCAAATGGCTGAGGCAGGAACTCACTGGGAGCTTTGACTTGACTTGTTTCTGGGTGACTGAACAGATGGCTGAGAGGGAGCCACTCAATCAGGGTCTGGCCACAGCCTGCCGTGACAGGGGCTGTGGGTACTGCTGCAAGGGATGTGCCTCCCTTTGTGCTGGCTGGACGGAGGCCTACACCTCAGTCGGGAGTCAGCTCTCAATCGCCAAAGGCTCAGTGGCTGGCAGCAGGCCCGGCAGAGGCCTAGCCTGTGGATGAGCCTTTCCCGGGAGCAGCCCCTATGGGAGGGGCTGGCCCATCTCTGTCAGAGCAGGAAAAGTGGGTGACTACCAAAGACTGGCTGGGACTACACTAGGGATAGGACCAAAATTAAAATCCTTTTGTCAGTGAAAGCGTCACCCCTGCAGACCCTGACCAGATGACCTTAGGAGTGGGGCTGGTCCAAGGGGCATCTGGGGCTTGACTCTGAGGAGTTAATGGCAAAGTGAGGAGCTGCCCAGAAGCCAGTCTGAGCAGAGCTGCAAACTGTAGAGTCCCAAGTCCTGGACTCACAAGTGTGTCCTCTTTCTGGCATATGATGGGATGGGCCTCTGCCATCTCAGCCCCAGCCCACCAGGAGCAGAGTCTTCTTGATACACCTGTTTCTAGGACTGCTGCTAAGCCTGGTGGCATAGGTAGTGCAAAGGAGCCAGAAGACACCCCAGGGGTCCCCAGCCCCTGGGCTGTGGACTGGTACTGGTCTGTGGCCTGATAGGAACCGGGCTGCATAGTAGGAGGTGAGCAGCAGGCAAGCATGCATTACTGCCTGAGCTCTGCCTCCTGCAAGGGGCATTAGATTTTCATAGGCATGCGAACACTATTGTGAACTACGCATGCAAGGGATCTAGGTTGAGAATTTAGTTTCACCCCGAAACCATCCCCCACCATCCCCCATCTGTGGAAAAACTGTCTTTCATGCGACTGGTCCCTGGTGCCAGAAAGATTGGGGACCACTCAAAGAGGGTTCCAAAGGTCTCTACAAAGCCTGCAGTGAAACACTATTTTTTTGAGCACATACTTTAGATTATGTGCTGTGCTGAACCCTTGCCATACACTAACTCATTTAATCCTCACAATACAATTAACCCATTCAACAAATATCTACCGAGTACCTGCTAGGTACAATGCTTTCTGCTAGGTGCTGGGGAGAACTCAGTGAGCAAGATGAGACCCTGTCCCCATGAAATTTATAATCTGGGTAGGAACCATTATAATCCCATTTCAGAGATGATGCAACTAAGGCATTGTGGTGTTAACTTACTTACTCAGGTCATTAAATGACAAGACATGGGTTTGAACCCAGGCGATCCGTTTCAGAGTTTAGGATGCTATTGTGTTACCAAATCCTTCCTTTCTCCTTCCCAACAACATTACCTATATAGCAGACACTTGCTTGCTTTTTAAGAAAAAATAAAATAAAAAATGAGGTCTTTCTCTGTCACACAGGCTGGAGTGTATTGGTGCCATCATAGCTCACAGTAACCTCAAACTCCTGGGATCAACTGATCCTCCCACCTCAGCCTCGTGAGTAGCTGGGATTACAGGTGTGAACCACCATGCCCAGCTTGGTTGCCTTTCTAAATCCATCTCACCACCCTTGCTGGAAGAAACCCAATTTATTAGAATGTACACTCCTCTCCTAACTGTGTACCCAGCGAAAGGCCCCTCCCCAGCCCCAGCCCTTAGGGGTGAATCTTAAGTTTAAACCAATCTTGGTAACGCCCTTCCCTTTGCCAGGGATTGGTGTAGGCTCACATATGTGACAATCTGGCCAAGAGACACGCGAGGAAGCCAGCTGGGAGGGTTTTGGGAGAAAGTTTTCTTATGCTGCTCCAAGTTGTTCAGGAACTTGGAACTGTGGTAGCCAACTGAGACCCACAAGGGAACCAGCTCGAGGACAAAAGCCAGCATGCTGAGGACGGAGGAATAGGCAGGTGGAAACAACTTGGGCCCCGCATGAACTTCTGAGCTCCAGGTTTGCTGTTATGTGAAATAACAGATATTCTTACCACTTAAGATATTTTGGTTGTTCTTCTGGGTTTTTCTGCAGCTGAAAACTACCTAATATAAGCCAGCTCCAGCCCCTATCATGCCACACTAGCCCTTAGTTCAGTCTAACATATACACCGCTCCACTCCATCAGCTACTGCTCATGGCTTCCCTCGAGATGTCCGTTTTTGACTGACTTATTTCTCTCATATATTATCTTGGCTTTTAAGTGTTGTGGCCTGGGCCGGGCGCGGTGGCTCACGCCTGTAATCCCAGCACTTTGGGAGGCCGAGGCGGGCGGATCACGAGGTCAGGAGATCGAGACCATCCCGGCTAAAACGGTGAAACCCCGTCTCTACTAAAAATACAAAAAATTAGCCGGGCGTGGTGGCGGGCGCCTGTAGTCCCAGCTACTTGGGAGGCTGAGGCAGGAGAATGGCGTGAACCCGGGAGGCAGAGCTTGCAGTGAGCCGAGATCGCGCCACTGCACTCCAGCCTGGGCGACAGAGCGAGACTCCGTCTCAAAAAAAAAAAAAAAAAAAAAAAAAAAGTGTTGTGGCCTGTTTCTCCAAATTATAAGCTCTCTGAAGGGAGTGAGCATGCCTTACATTTTGTTATATTCTTCGTGGTATCCATCATCACTGTGGAGGCCACAGTAAAACTTAATATATAGGGGCTTATCTTTTTTGCCACATTCCAAGATATTATTTGCTGCCCTGGAGGGCAAAAATGAACACATTTCTGTGTTCAACAAAGAGTAAAACAGGAGTCAACAGGTTGCAGCTGCAGGCCTGAGTGAATAAGAATGTCAGGCATCTCTCTCAACAGTGGCTTAGATTCACCAGTGGTTTGCACCAGCTCCTACTGCCTCCCATGTGCCTTGCCCTGGGCTGGATGCTGGGGAAGCAGACACTGCTTGTTCTAAGCCAAGGAACTTCCATGCTCACCTCCTGTCTTGTGTTCATTCTCATAAGAACCCTTTGGGGTAGGAGCCATCAGTAATAGTTTAGATGGGCAAGCAAAGGCAGTGACCTAATCTAAGCAGCTGTTGAGCCCAGGTTTTCCAGTTCCTGAATTGAGTTCACAGGGCTTCCTATTATTTTCCCCTTTCCTTTTTCCTATTAAGCAAGTGATCGCCTTTTATTCATTGGCTCAGGTGAGGGATGTAGGAGAGCATAAAATAGAAATACAGTCGTGCATTGCTTAATGACAGATACTAGCTTAATGAGAGAGATACATTCTGAGAAATGCGTTGTTAGGTAGTTTCATTGTGCAAACATCAGAGTGTAGTTACACAAACTTAGATGGTCTAAACCTACTACACACCTAGACTATATGGTGTAGCCTCTTGCCCCTAGGCTACAACCTGCACAGCACGTTACTGTACTGAATACAGTAGGCAGTTGTGACACAAAGGTATGCATTTGTGTATCTAAACATATTTAGGCTGCAGGCAGTTGCTCATACCTGTAATACCAGCACTTTGGGAGGCCGAGGTGGGAGGATCCCTTGAGTTCAGGAGTTTGAGACCCGCCTAGGCAACATTGTGAAACACCGTCTCTAATTTTAAAAAAAGAAAGTTAGCCAGGTGTGGTAGCACACACCTGTAGTCCCAGCTACTTGGGAGGCTTAGGTGGGAGAATCGCTTAAGCCTAGAAGATGGAGCTGAAGTGAGCTCTGATCATGTCACCACACTCCAGCCTGCAACAGAGTGAGACCTTGTCTCAAAAAATAATAAAAGTAAAAAGTAAACATATTTAAACATAGAAAAGGTACAGTAAATTTTTGGTATTATATCTTATGAGACCACAGTCAGATATGAGGTTCACTGTTGACCGCAACATTGTTGTGTGGCTAGATGCTCTAGCAACAAGAGTCTCAGGAAGGGACTAGATGCCTTAAATGGGATCAGTAGGCCATGCCCCTAAGCTAGAAAGCCATTTCTCCTGGTTGGAGAGGGGAAGACTGAGATGCACCTGTAAGTGGCTGGTGGGCAGCAAGACCCTGCCTGGTACCTTGGAGCAAACAGGACCCAAGTCAGCCTTTTAAAGATCTCTGCACTCTGAACATGGCACAGAAGCAGCCCAGCTGCAAGCCAGAGGTCCTCTGGGCTGAAACGGCCTTGTGGAATGAGAATGGGGACTGGATGGACTTTCCTGATACCTTGGTATTTGGCTGATCTTAAGGACTATCTCTTTAAGTACAAATATTTGGTTCCCTGAAACTTATCCTGATAGAAACAACTAATTTTCCCTTATCTCTAAATTACAGAATACTACATGTTTCACTTACCTTTATTATATCACAGGTTTAGCTACACTGTGCACATTAAGTCAAAAGATAGTAAGGCTCCGATCAACCAGCTGAGATCTCAAATTACTTGAGAGGTTTCCAGAGAACCTTAGGCCATTAAACATTAGAACTAAATCAATACAAACATCTACAAGTATGCGTACTTAAAGCTTCAGTTCTCAATACTCCGTAAAGTAGGCACTTCAGTTATCCTCATTTTATAGATGACACTGGCTCAGAGAGGTTAACTTGTCCACTGCTACACAGCTAGGATTCAAGTCCAGATATTCTGGCTAAAGGCAGAATTTCTAGCCACCATGCTAGTGTTTGCTTTGGTACCATAGGCAGAGAGCCATCTCAATGCTGAGAAGGTTCTAAGCAGACCTTGGGCCTGTAAAGTCAACCCCTTATAATGTGAGCACTATACTGAAGTCCTAACCAGGGCATAAAAAGAGAACTTGCTGGCCGGGTGCAGTGGCTCACGCCTGTAATCCCAGCACTTTGGGAGGCTGACGGGGGTGGATCACTTGAGGTCGGGAGTTCAAGACCAGCCTGACCAATGTGGAGAACCCTGCCTCTACTAAAAATACAAAATTAGTTGGGCATGTTGGTGGATGCCTATAATCCCAGCTGCTCAGGAGGCTGAGGCAGGAGAATCACTTGAACCTAGAAGGCGGAGGTTGCAGTGAACCGAGATTGCGCCATTGCACTCCAGCCTGGGCAACAAGAGTGAAACTCCATCTCAAAAAAAAAAAAAAAAAAAACTTGCCCCCAACAAACTCATATGAGTTGGAGAGGTAAGGCCATACATAGAGACAAGTCCAACGCAATACATAATAAAATGGAGCAGAGGAATGGTACAGGGAGGAGCTATGCAGCTGCCCCCAATGGCCTATACCATGGAACCTCAACCACTGGTCCATATGCTAGGATATTGAACATGCCGGTCTGAGTGAGTCCTAAGCAATGGCTTTTATATCTGTTCAGTGATGGGGTACAGTTGGTCTGAAAAGGTCTCTCCTGGCCACGCTAGTTAGCTTTTGTCTACTCTGCCTCACTCATATTTCTGCCAGCCTGACCCCCTGGACTCGCTGGGACTCTGGACTCACTGCACACTCATTCACCCTTAGCTATCATTTCCTTGAATGAGACAATATCACTGAAGCTTCATGCTTGTCATCTTTTTAAATTGTGTTATCACTTTGTTCTAGGGTTATCAGATTTTTCAATTTTGTTTAAAATGCAAAAGGAAACAAATAAGGGCCAGGCACGGTGGCTCATGCCTGTAGTCCCAGCATTTCGGGAGGCCAAGGTGGGCAAACTGCTTGAGCTCAGGAGTTCGAGACCAGCCTGGGCAACATGGTGAAACCCCATCTCTTGGTGGGGGGATGCGGGGGGGTGGGAAGACAGCTAGGCTTTAAAATGCCAAAAAAAAAAAAAAAGTTTTAAAAAAGAAAACAAATAAAATGCATATCTTTTTGTCCACAGATTTTAACTGGTATTTTTTTATGAAATGCCATCCTCACTTTAATTTCAAGACTGATGCAATTTAATAGGAAATACAGTACACATTTCAGTGGAATATACTTGTGAAAATAACATTTAATTGAAAAAGGTGTAAACAGGACAGTGAAGTGTATTGCAATGTAAGGTCAGCAGTCAATTATTACATGTTAAAGAAACATGTATAAAGTGGCATACTAAAAATGAAAGTGAGATTACACCTTCAGCTACATCTAGAGACTCACTCAGATATCTTTCCCTCTCACCAAGGTGCCAATGTAACTACTTTCTGAACTTGTGGCTGCTCTTTTCCAATATTTTAATTCACTACTTATTTTTAAGACCCATGAGCTCATTTCTGGGAGTATATAAAATTAATAGACACATAGTCCCCTGCTCACAAGGGGCTTAAAAACTAGCAGTTTGACAGGACAACCACAATTTCCTATGGAAAGGCTAACATGAATTTACAGGATGATACTATTCATAAGTCAAAGGTTTGCCGCACAAGCCTCTAAGGAGCAAGATTATTGGAAGTAATATGTTTTGATGGAAAAAAAGCACATGTCTATAGAAGTTTAGCCTAAGTTCATCACTGTTTGTTCTTTTCTTAAACATACATCACTTTGTGAAAACTCAAGTTTTTATATGAAAGCCATAAAAAATGTATTTTGTGTTGAAAAGAGTTGGACTTTACATAATTTGATACATAATTTGTTCACAGACATAGGAAGTTGTAATAGTAGGAAGATGGTAATGTTACAAAGCATATCTCTAATAGAACAGTATAAAACATTTAAACATGAATTTTCATATACTAAAAATAAAAGCTCAGATATATTATCTTCAATGATTTAAAATTATTTTTACTTTCATTTGAATTCCATATCAACCTTGCTTTCATGTTTAGATAATAAAGCTTTCCAAAGTCCCAGTTTTTTAAAAAACGAACACTTAACAAGGCTTAGTTTTTACAACATAGAGGAGGGAAAAGATGGCAAAAACATGGCCTATAATTTCTTAGCCTAGATTAACCCAGTACATTTTTTAAAAAAGCAATTCATGTACATGGTCAGAAAATTCAAAATGCTTATAAATGTACAAATTGAAAAGTAAGAGCCTTCATTCTTTCCTCTCTCCACTCCCATACACTCTCCCCACCAAAGGCAATCACTTTTTCCCCACGGCTTTTTTCCCTACATAGGCTGAAAATGTCTGCCTATCTCTCAGGTTCTGCCATCTACAAGGGCTCATGGCAAATTGGAAGGGCGTTCCCTGCCAATGGTGAGGCACCCTGAAGCCTACAGAGATGGCTTGCCAGCGCCTCTGCACTAGTGCAAGCACTACCTTCCTGGGGTCTGTCACGTGGATTATCCCTCTGGGGACTGTCGAGTCTTGGAAGCAGACAGGACAAGTGTTAGAAACAGTGCTTTCTCTGAGCTCCTGTGTCAATGCTTTTGTGAGATAAATTCTTAGGAAAATTTCTCAGCTAAAGGGAATATTTAAGTGACTTTTGCCAAATCAACTTCTAATAATGTACCAATCTGCATCCCAATTAATAATATATGAATGCCTGTTTCTTATCATCCTTACAAATACAATTTTCAACCATTTAGAGTGTATGACAATTTCTCATTTATTTTGCATTTTATTTAATTAGGAATGAACATCTCATGTATATGAGCCATTAAAATGTTTTAGTGGATTGTTCATGTCCTTTGTTTCTTTTATCAATTTTTTATTTTTAAGAGTTTTTTGTACTTTAGGTAAAACAGTTTTATTCATTCAGGCACTGTTCTAGACAGTGCAGTCAAACAGGAAACAAAGAAAATCCCCACCCTTAAGGAGTTTAAATTCTAGTAGAGAGATAAAGAAAAAAAAGTGTATGTATACACGCACACACACAACACAGACACACGCACGAGGCGGTGACAGGTGCAATAGAAAAATAAAGGAGGGTAAAAAGGGATAGAAAGTGATAGCAGTGTGTGTGGGATGGGATGCTATTCTGTGCAGTGTACAGAATGGTCAGGGACAGCCTCTCTGATAGAGTGGAGATTGGAGAAGACACCTACCTGAAAGGAAGAAAGGGAGTAATTTACATGAAGATCAAGGAAAACAAGGCCAAAAAACAACTGGCCTTAAAAGCCAAAAGGCTTTAAAGAGAGGGAGAGGGAAATTAGTTGGCACATTTGAGAAGCAACAAGGAGGCCGCCTACAGCAGTGTGGGTGAGGAAGAGGGGAGTCCGGGAGGAGGTCAGAGAGAGTGGGGTCAGATAGGGTGGGGTCTTATAGGCCATGGTAAAGTCTTTGGAGGGTTCTGATTTGGCTGGAGGTGGGTAGGAACAACAGAGTCATGAGACCAGATGAAAGTGGATGCAAGCCTGGACAACACAGCAAGACTTTGTCTCTACTAAAGATTAAAAAAATTAGCCAGGTGTGGTGGCGTGCACCGAGACTCCCAGCTACTTGGGAGGCCTGAAACCAGGAGTTGATCTTCTTACCACTGCATTGCAGCCTGGGCGACAAAGCAAGATCCCTGAGTCGAGGCAAAAAAAGATGTAAATATTTGTTGCCAGTAAATGTTCCTAGTTTGAATTTATGGTTTTAATTTTTTTGGAGGGGAGGATAGGTATCCATCCTATATTTAATTTTTTATCTACTATAGTAATAGCAATCTTCTGGTTTATATCTTGCTTTTATGTCACACAGGCAAAAGATTGCAAAACCATCTATTACATTGTATTTTGATTAAAATTTCTGATTTCTCCAAAATTATTTTGGGGATAAGCAGTGAAACAGGCAAGATCAATGCATAAGACTGCACAATGTATTTGCTGCACAAGGGTACCAGGCTGAGGGGGTAAGTGGGGACTGAAATTCAGTCAAGGTATGGTGCATTGGGAGGTACTGAATCCACTAAAGGAAGGGGCCTTTTCTAATTTGCACGAAGGTGCTATATGAACTAGTAGTGTCAATGGAGATAGAGTTCAAGCTTTAATCCATTGTGGGTTGTTTTTTCTTTTTTTTTTTTTTTTTGAGACAGAGTTTCACTCTTGTTGCCCAGGTTGGAGTACAATGGCATGATCTTGGCTAACTGCAACCTCCACCTCCTGGGTTCAAGCGATTCTCCTGCCTCAGCCTCCCAAGTAGCTGGGATTATAGGCATGCACCACCACGCATGGCTAATTTTGTATTTTTAGAAGAGACGGGGTTTCACTATGTTGGCCAGGCTGGTCACGAACTCCTGACTCAGGTAATCCACCCGCCTCAGCCTCCCAAAGTGTTGGGATTACAGGTGCGAGCCACCACACCCAGCCTAATCCATTGTTTTAACACCAGTTATTAAATAATCTTTTCACATACTGACTTAAAATGCCATCTTTGTCCTATTAAATATTCATAGCTTCTTATGTCTCTGGTAGAACCAAGGACCCCGTTAAGGTAGAAGTTTGCCATATTACAAAAAAAATTTTTTTAAATGCATTCTCCTCACTAGGGAAACCTTTATTTTAGGAGCCAAATTAGAAGCTAATTTTGGCACATTAGAAAGAACTGGTGCAGTTGGAAGAATTCCTCATTTTCAGATGCAATTTCTTTGCTGTCTTTGCTTAAAGGCTTCAGCTTAAAGACACCAATGAGTTATTTCAAAGAACCTTGTGCTCACCTTCTGAAAGGCTTTCTTATCTACCTTGAGATAATAGCTCAACCAACAGTCTGAAGTCTTACTGCTCCAGGAAAATCTTTATTTCCAGGTTTAGGTTTGGCATCAGTTAGAGCACTCTGACTTGGTGGAAGGTTTCTTATACTACTGCCATAGGAGGACGAAGGCTCTAACAGTGGAGTAGTATCGGTGGATGTACACTTTGTGAATGGTGAGATGCTATATGTGATGTGGTCTCTTTTCAAACAAAAGTAAAACTCCTGCCTTTTCAGCTGTCCCCCACTACCCAACCAGGTCCATCACTATGCTATTACTGCCTTAGTGAGACAAGAAATAAGAACCATTTGAAACTTCTGCCAAAAAGGAAAGGCTTCCTTCTCCCAAGACAAATAAGCATAAAATATAAGGGAAATGTAAAGGATCTCACTTTGTGGTTTTATGCTTAGGCAAACTGAAAACCTAAGACAATTGTAAGTCCTAAATGGTCAGGTAAACTTTTCTCCTCTCTACAAAGGGCTGGGGTTGGAAGAGATTGGAATGGAAGGGAGGGGTGGCAAAACAGATGCAAGTTCTCTAACAAAGTAGTTTCCTCAGATTCCCCTCCCTTTCCTCACAGCCTACTCCAGAAACAAAGCTTTACTTCACAGCAGCCTGCTGTCAAGGTTGCTATTCACTACATAGTAGCTAAGCCTATATTAAGAATAAATCTAAATTTTCTGTCCAGTCTCAGAGTAATAACTTCATGTGTCAACACAGTGAACTGAGAAATGAGGAGAGCAGAGAGGAGAGGGGCTTGATTATGTAAAAGATACAGATATATCATTTTACATCATCAGTATAAGAAGCAAATGTGAGAATGTTTGGAGAGCTGTATTTTGGTTAAGAGCAAATATTTCTAAGTTGATTATCTTTCAGATCCAAGTCATGTTGCAGTGCTTCAACTATATATGCTTAAATATTTTTAGTTGAGACATACGTAGGATTTTTTGCTTTCCAGCAATCTTAGAGCAGTAACAGTGACAACTAGAGTAAAAAAAAAATAAGGCACTAGCAAGGAGGAACATTAGATAATTTTGGTATTTAGATATGAAATAGATAATTAGATAATTTTCTTTCCTTTTTTTGTTAGAGGCAGAGTCTTGTTCTGTCGCCCGGAGCAAGAGTGCAATGGCGCAATCATGCTCACTAAACCTTGAACTCCCAGGCTCAAGCAATCCTTTCGCCTCAGCTTCCCAAGCAGCTAGGACTATAGGCAAGTGCCACTGCACCCAACTAATTTATGTTTATTTTTATTTTTTGTAGAGATGGGGCTCACTTTGTTGCCCGGGCAGCTCTCAAACTCCTGGTCTCACATGAATCTCCCTCCTTGGCCTCCCAAAGTGCTGGGATTACAGGCATGAGTCACGGTGCCCGGCTGATAGTTGGATAATTTTCATTGCCTTTTTCTACCAATTTTCTTCCCTATCCCTGAGGCCAGGTGTAATTCACGCTTCCCTTTGGGAGTCCAATACTTTATCTAGGCCTATTCTCTTCCAAACTATTTCATACTTCAAAGTTATCGTTTTATTCTGACCTCCTGCTTCCTCAAATCTTTCAAGCAAAATTTCCTTTTATTCCTTCACTGACCCTTGCCCCCTCCAAGTCATTCTGCATGTAATAGAATGGTGATTATTCCATTTCTGAAAGGTTGCTAAACCCTGTTTAACACATTTGCTTTTACTTTCTAACAGTCACATTCCTAATCAAAAGACCCCAGCAGCAGTGCCACTAGATTATATAAATAGACCAAGGAGCTTGGTGGATAAAAGTGAAAGCATTAGGGCCGGGCATGGTGGCTCACGCCTGTAATCTCAGCACTTTGGGCAGCCGAGGTGGGCAGATCACTTGAGCCCAGGAGTTTGAGACCAGCCTGGGCACTGTGGCGAAATCCCATCTCTACAAAAATACAAAAAATTAGCCAGATGTGGTGGTGTGCGCCTGTGCTCCCAACTACTTGGGAGGCTGAGGTGGGAAAATTGCCAGAGCCTGGGAAATCAAGGCTATAGCCTGGGCAACAGAGGACACCCTGTCTCCAAAAAAGTGAAAACATTAAAACATAAGCCATGTATACAATCATGCCACTTGAAATTGAAGGATATTTGGTCTTATGCATATCATCTTACCTACTTTTCAGTCTAGACCACTTATTGGAAGGTCAGACCCACCTAAAGAAATAGTTGGCTACTCTGTCTCATCACAACCCTATTGTAACAATTCGAAGTCTAGGATATATAAATTTCCATGGCAAAATAGTTCATCTCTGCAAAGTTAAGCCATCTGTTATTTTAGTTTGCAAAAACTACATGACATGTTAGAAGCACAAATTTAACAGATACTATTTTATTATTTACAAAATACATGGTGATCATAAGAGAACATTTTACAAATTACAAATGGGAAAAGTACAGGGAAAAGTAGAGACAAATGGGTTAAATAACAAGGTAACCATTTGTAATGAGTCTGTTTAGAATAAAATAGTTCTTCACAAAAGTTAGACAAGGCCATGAGTAAGTATATCACTGTATAAAAAATATCAGTGACGTCAAAATATACCTGTACCAAAAAGTAGAACAGCAATGGTAGTGCATCTAAATGTGTCCTAAATTAAATTACAGCACATACAGTTTCAGTGTTCCACAATACAACCATTGCTCTGAGGCAGCAATCTGTGAGACTTGATTGCCTAGCTCACTGAAAGAGCAAAGCCCCAGGACTAGTTAACTTCCCTACCTTCCATAAGGCTTTGTTCAGGTGACTTTGGAATGTAGTGTCAAAAACCCCATTCATTTCTGCTGCAAGCTCCCCAAGAACAGACACTGTGGCCTCATCATTGGCATTCAGAATCCGCACAAAGAATTTATTCCACAATTCACCATCTTTTAGCCTAAAAATATATAAAACCATTTCCATCAAGATTAGGCATATGAAAATTATAATTCCTTTTAGTTTAACTCAGTGGTACATTTATGCACCAAAATGGTGTAAGGTAATACCTAGAACTCTAGGGTTAGAGATCATTCAAATAGTCCTTTGAAAGCCCAGGGAAGAACTACAAAAAAGGGCTACCATAGTGGGAAAAGCCAAGATACAATGCACATAAAGGGAAAGAAGATCTCTCATCTAAATCTATAAATTTCCTCTGTGTACTAAGACATAGCACTTTTCTTCTACAAATAGAAGAAAAAGGAATTTTATTTCCTCTAACTTTCCTAGAGTCTAGGTCATTAAAAAGGCTACAGCTCCTTTCTCCTACCCCAGTAGTGGATCTTCTTTACAATTCTCTGATAATCGTAAGCTTGACTAAACTAACTACTGCTTAATATGTTTGTACCTTTGCTTCTTATTATTTTCTTTTGATCAGAGAAACTTCCCTTATTAGATAAGGCAGGGCTGTTAGGAAACCCCAACTGACCCCACTTGTTTCTGCTTGTGTTAGCCAGACCTGCCTGGACCATAGCCAAGTGGACATGCCTATATCCATCCTATATGTCTTACATTGTATTTCAAGCCTATTTTTAAAAGTTCATGTAAGAGACAACACTGGCCAAGTTCTGAATTAAATGAAGAGAAAAGTACAATTCAATTATTCAAAGATGAAAATAGAGAAGGGGCATTAAATCTTCAACACTCATTTTTTTTTTTAACCAAAGAATATAACAATAGGTGACAGGCTGGGAACTTATTTGCTAAGATAAGCTAAAGTGGAACGTAGATACTTAGTTTTTTTTGAGACGGAGTCTCACTCTGTTGCCCTGGGTGGAGTGCAGTGGCGCGATCTCAGCTCACTGCAACCTCTGCCTCCCAGGTTCAAGTGATTCCCGTGCCTCAGCTTCCCAAGTAGCTAGGATTACAGGCATGTGCCACCACACCCAGCTAATTTTCTTGTATTTTGAGTAGAGACAAGGTTTCGCCATGTTGCCCAGGCTGCTCTCAAACTCCTGACCTCAGGTAATCTGCCTCGGCCTCCCAAAGTGCTGTGATTACAGGTGTGAGCCACCATGCCCGGCTGACTTAGTAAGTTTTATGAGCAGGCTTGAGGGAGTACTAAGGTTCTGAGACCAAGCAGTGCTTATTAAGAGACCACTTACTTCTTCTCCAGGAGAGTCAGTTATCTGGTTTGGTTCTATCCACTTATTAAATAAAAAATAGCCTAAAATTAGCATATAGTTTAGAAATGTAAGTCTTTTCAAAGGATGCTTATTAACTTTTGGTAATAATTGCTATTAAAAAGGAATTTAGGCCAGACACGGTGGCTCACACCTGTAATCCTAGCACTTTGGGAGGCCGAGGCGGGCGGATCACAAGGTCAGGAGTTCGAGATCAGCCTGGCCAACGTAGTGAAACCGCATCTCTACTAAAAATACAAAAATGAGCCAGGCATGGTGGCGCACGCCTGTAATCCCAGCTACTCAGGAGGCTGAAGCAGGAGAATCACTTGAACCTGGGAGGCAGAGGTTGCAGTGAGCCGAGATCATGCCACTGCACTCCAGCCTGGGCAACAGAGCGAGACTCCGTCTCAAAAAATAAATAAATAAAGAAAAAGGAATTTAAGGCTAACACCAATTAGTTAGAAAATTATTCTCATGAAATGCTTCTTTTCACATATCTAAACAGGGAAGCTTCCATACTATAGCTGTAGTCTGGAAGATACAGCTAGATTCAGAATGATGTCCTGAAGTCTGAATAGTTTTGAATCTTATTTTTAGTAAGCAGTTCCTTTTTCCTGCACTAGCTGCTCTGCTGATACTCTAATGAAAACTGGCTGAAACTACTGGAACCATGGCATTTGGATTAAAAAACTAAGGCTGCCAAAGCAGAGATAGCACCCAAGAGAAACAGAAAATTATTGGGACAGGCAGAGACCCTGACATTCATCAATACTTACTCAGAAATATTTTGGCTAAGTTTCCAGAAGGACCCATCCCAGAAGACCTGTAGGTGTTCCTTGAACAATAGTAAATGTGCTAAATCTGCTATACCAAACAGGTCTACCTGAAATCACAAAAAGCACCATCAGCTAAAATAATTCTCTGCCTCTACCATGGCAGCTTATTTCGGTAGGAAGTTGAAAGGTATTACAGTGCTTAACTAAGTTTATTTTATGACATACATTTTAGTAGACTGTTCCTCACCCTTACAGTAAAGGGAGAAGCTCTCCAAAGAAGTGATCAATAGAGCCAATTCTAGGAATTATCCTTAAGAACAAAAGATGAAATATTTGGACTATCACATTCAAATTTGTAGACCTACTGAGTTTGCATGAACTCCAGCTGTGATCTAAATGGGGTCCACATGATTAGTTCAGGTTTGTGCTACATATTCAATCAGCAAATGTCTTATGTCTAAAGCTGAGTTAGAAGGAATTTCTGCATATAATGCCACCATACAAAAGACTTTACATTTGTGCTAATGTTCTTTTTATATACATTACTTCATTTACTCCTCATAACAATTCTGATAAACACATAGCAGAGACTGTTATCCCTATTTTACAGAGAAGATCACAGAAAATGACTTATAAAAGATTACATGGGTGGTAGGCAGTAGGAGTGGCCCTGGCACTCGGTTACAGAGTTAGTCATGTGTTTGCACATGTATGTGTATATTCTTCAATGCTGTAACACAAAAATGTTACATTTTACTTGACTTGGTGATATTTGAAAACTAGGTCATCTATTCTAGGAGTCGGTATCAGTAAACAGTAGCTTTTATAGCTTATCTAGATAATAAAGAGATTAAGAAACCCTCTCCATATTTGCTCAGGCTTGTTTTACACTTACCTGGTAGGGAGAAGAACAGTTAGCCAGGATCTTTTGTCCTTCCAGGATCTGTACAGTCCGAAAGCCGCTGAGGGTAAAAACATCCAGCTGCACCCTAAGGTCAACACTGTAGGAAAAGTCCACTATCTTCAAAGCTTGATTGTTCTTGTTACAATCATAGGGATCGTGGATTCTGAGCCCAGATTTAAGAGAAGGAGATAATAAAAATAGGCCATGAAAGAAGCTGCATAGCTGGTCTTTAAAAAAAAAAGGTACCTTGGGTACATCTTAGCTATGCCAACAACTCCCTCCAGTGGTTAATTTTGAAAATGCACCTGTAAGACAGAGCAGTGGCAGTGTCCACCCAATGCGGAAGGAATGTCACCACTTTGGTGACACAAAGTATATTTCAATCACGGTGCATGGCCACCATTAAACATTTATCAAGCTTCCATATTATATAAAGTAAGTATGGAAGCAGAGCACAGGCTTCTTCCCTGTACTGTACACATTAACACATACAATTGCAATGATTTATACACTGACAGGAATTATGATGGAGGAAATTAAAATTTTATAGGTGTCATAGCCTTTCTTGTTTACTATTCCAGATAGGCTTTCCAAGTATTGTTTAGATTCTTCCTTCCAGAGTTTAATGGAAAACAATGCAAGTCTGTTTTATAAAGTCCTATCTGTATTGTAAAATTTCTTGTAAAACACCATATTTTATCTTACTCTTACTTGTAATTCCAGTTATTTACTAAAAAAATCTTTATAATACTAATTAATTATCAATTAATTTTGTTTTCCTTGGGTTTATCTATCCTATGCAATAATGCTATTCTCCAAGGGGACATAGGAACTGTTTATAAATGAAAAGAGTGGGTTTTCATGTGTTCCTTTTGTCTGTTTTTCTCAATTAATTCCCTCAAACTCCTGATATTGGTGCAATATTCCTAAATACAGTCTTTAACTACTCCAATTACATACCTCCACGGCACAGAATGATCTATGTATTTTACTTTAAAATTGATAATTGCTCTCATTTTTCCTTGGCACAAGAGCCAACCTTTTTTGGCCACCATAAAACTATACTATAATTAAAAAAAAAAAAAAATATATATATATATATATATATATAGTATATATATAGTTATAGGGATCGTGGATTCTGATATATATAAAATATACATATGTATTTTATATATATATGTAAAGTGTGTGCATGTGTGTGTTTTGTTTGGTTTCTTAGACAAGGTCTACACTCTTGTCACTGAGGCTGGAGTACAGTGGTGCGATCTCAGCTCAGTGCAGTCTCTGCCTCCTAGGTTCAAGCGATCCTCCCATCTCAGCCTCCCGAGTAGCTGGGACTACTGGTGTGTGCCACCATGCCTGGCTAATTTCTTAATTTTTTGTAGAGATGAGGTCTCATTATATTGCCCAGACTGGTCTTGAACTCCTAGGCTCAAGTGATCCTCTGCCTTGGTCTCCCAAAGTGCTGGGATTACAGATGTGAGTCACCATGCCCAGTGTAATTGTAAAATATTTATATAACTTTGGAGGCATAGGGAAAAAATGTCTCATAGATTAATAAAAAGAAGCATGCATGAAGGTGTCCTAGCCCTCTAATCAGCTACTCACTCACTGTTACTTTGGGTAGGACATTCCATTTTTTTGGATCTCATTTTCCTCACAAAAAATATGCAGAAACTAAAGTAAGCAACTAAACTAAGCAATTTCAAAAGGTTCTTTCTGGCTTTTATTTTATTTTTGTAGAGACAGGGTCTTGCTATGTTGACCAGGCTGGTCTTGAACTCCTGGCCTCAAGAGATCCTCCTGCCTCTGCCTCCCAAAGTGCTGGGATTGCAGATGTGAACCACTGCATCCAGCCCTTTCTGGCTTTTGTTGTTGTTTTGTTTTGAGATGGAGTCTCGCTCTGTCACCCAGGCTGGAGTGCAGTGGCATGATCTTGGCTCACTGCAAGCTCTGCCTCCCGGGTTCACGCCATTCTCCTGCCTCAGCCTCCTGAGTAGCTGGGACTACAGGCACCTGCCACCACGGCTGGCTATCTTGTTGTATTTTTAGTAGAGACAGGGTTTCACTGTGTTAGCCAGGATGGTCTTGATCTCCTGACCTCGTGATCCGCCCGCCTCGGCCTCCCAAAATGCTGGGATTACAGGCGTGAGCTACTGCGCCCGGCCTCTGGCTTTTTTTTTGAGACAGAATTTTGCTCTTGTTGCCCAGACTGGAGTACAATGGTGCGATCTCAGTTCACCACAACCTCTGCCTCCTGAGTTCAAGCAATTCTCCTTCCTCAGCCTCCCAAGTAGCTGGGATTACAGGCATGCACCACCATACCTGGCTAATTTTGTATTTTTAGTAGGATGGGGTTTCTCCATGTTGGTCAGGCTGGTCTTGAACTCCCAACCTCAGGTGATCTGCCCGCCTCAGCCTCCAAAAGTGCTGGGATTGATTATAGGCATGAGCCACTGTGCTCGGCCCCTTTCTGGCTTTTAATTCCTTATGAATCTATGTGAAATTTCTGATTAAATTTGATAAGCAGTGACAAAGTAAAAAGCAATGCCTCTTTAATACTATGGACTTTCCTAGAGCCTCTAGTGGCTGAGAGAAGGGTTATCGTACTTCATTAGACCACAAATGGCCAATTCTAAAAGGCTTAGAAAAAACCTCTGCTTCCAATTTCCATAGCCCTGGGAATTTCAGCACTGTCATTTTAATGTTAAGTAGAGTGAAAATATACCAGGGGTTCTCATACTTGGAAATTTGGGGGGATTTTTGGTGGTCACAACGGCTTAGGGGATTGTTACTTGCACTTAATTGGGTGGGTGGGGGGGAATAGGAATATAAAACATCCTGCATTGCTTGGAACACACCTGCACAAAGAATTGTCTCACCCAAAATACCTATGGTGCCCTGGATGAGAAATGCTGCTACATTATGTCTGGGAAAGCCTTTGACTCTGCTATCTCAGGGGAGAAGGTGGGATTCTCTGGTTCTTTTGGTTACAATCACAGGAACACATTGAGGGTTCTTTTAATTTCCACGTTAACTATAATTTAGAGTCTAATTCAATCTCTTCTGATAGATTAAGTATTCAGAAGAAATGTAAAGAGTAAGTCCAGCTATTAGTGTATACCAGTGGCCTCAGAAACAAAGTTAACACCTCACCCAAGACACAGGGTTGGGCAGACACAGCATCTTTAAACCAGGCTGCTTTTACTCAAATACTATAACACCAATGATCACTAAAAGAATATAGTAGTCCTCTAGTACTTTTCACAAAGCAAAAATGTTGGACTGTTTTTGCCTAGTTAATGCCTGAACGTGATCTATATTTTCTCAGTCCTTAGTATTCATTTATTATTTCCTGCTCTGTGCTCACCCCTTGAACCTGATGGACACACTGGGTTTAATTTGAACACTAAACCCCATTCCTTGGCATAGTTTGTATTTGAACTCTGGTTTTACCCACTTCTCTTGGCTAACAGGTCAGTTAGGCCTGACTTAAGCTTTGGTCTATGAAACTGAGTAGTGCCTTGATTTTGCTGGCATCCTCGCTAGAGTGGCACTGGTCCCACTCAAAGAATGACTAAACAATCCACTTTATATTCCTCAAAATATTCATATTTTATATCTCATCTTGACATATATCATCACAATACTCAGTGATTAATTCTTTTATCTGATTTAATCTATTTCCTCAATGTGTTTATTTCTTTGAATTATTTTAAACTATTCTTAATGATTTTTGACTTTTAGGTAAATACTCTCTTAACATAATATGTTCCTCGATATGGCATTTATCAAAAGGCTTTAAAAATTGGCAACTTGGCCGGGTGCAGTGGCTCACGCCTATAATCCCAGCACTTTGGGAGGCTGAGGTGGGCAGATCACTTGAGGCCAGGAGTTTGAGACCAGCCTGGGCAACATGGTGAAACCTCATCTCTACCAAAAAATACAAAAAATTAGCCAGGTGTGGTGGTGCGCGCCTGTGGTCCCAGCTACTAGCAAGGTTAAGATGGGAGAATCGTTTGAACCTGGGAGATGGAGGCTGCAGTGAGCCAAGATCATGCCACTGTACTCCAACCTAGGTGACAGAGTGAGACCCTCGCCTCAAAAAAGAAAAAAAAAAGTGGCAACTATCCATGTTTTAAGAGACAGCTGGCAGAATTATAAGAATGAAAAGGACCAACCTGTTTCTGAGAATCAGACACCTTGGACTCAAGTCACCATGGACTATTTCTGCTTTGTGTAGCATCTCCACTATTGTCAAAAGGTTATAAATAATCAACACTGTTATTTCATGGGTAATATATTCACTGTGTTGGAGAAGATCCTGGAAATTGAAGGACAGAAAACTCACTATTTCTCAAGTTTGGCAGATCGTAGTTATACTCAATACCTTGAAAACTGATGGTTTGTAGTCTTCCTTGTTCTCTACTGGAACGTAGGCACCTCTGTAGACTGAGTCTATGTCCCAGTTTTAATAACACTGCCATCTCCCATAAGATTGTTTGTAAGGATTTAATGACATAATGATGAAGGGCATCAAGCATGAGCCTGGCCCAAAATAGGTACTTAATAAATGGATTTAAAATACCCTCATTCCAACCATTTTTGAGAATTCATATTATCATCAAAATCCATAGCAAACCTTCTTAAGAACAAACCGAAGAGTAAAATGACATATTGTGTCTGGGTTTTAAAAACTATCCAGTGGGGGTAGTATAGCTAAAACAAGAGTGACCATGAGCTAAGATTATCATAGATGACTAGTTCATGGGAGTTCATTGTACAATTCTACTTTTATTTATGCTTGACAACGGACCAAAAAAAGTTAAAAAAATACCAAAGAGATCTTTGGTCAAAATAACGAGAAAATTATCAATGCTTCTAACTTATACTTGAATTGGTCTATTTCTAGAAGATTGACAGGAATTTTGTACTAAATTCCTTTGCTAAATGGAGCACAAATCTCTCTACTTCAGGACTTTAAATTATGTTTTTAGTATTACAGACCTGAAGGGTGAAGCAGTTTATATATTGGTGCCAAACAATACAGCCATCTTGATATTGATAACAGCTGCAAAAATGATCAAAATCTTCATTTAAACGTTCCTTTAACTTGAGGTTGATATAAAAGTCCCATGGGACAGGTTGAGAAGATACCTGTAAGACATTGTATTTTAAAAATAAGTTCAGTTAAGTCTATGGTTATGGCTGGCAGGTTGAAACACATTCCTTCCAGCCCTTCTGATAGAGAAATAATAAAGAGATATTTTTAAAGGCATAAATCTACTATAAAAGACACAATAACAACAAATTCTGGAAAGAGGATAAGCTGGAAAGAGAACAGGAGGTAACAATCCAATTAGAATAAAAACTGATTTTGGCAGAGGAGAAAGCTGAGCTACATTTACACTACAAGGCTATTTTCCTATACTATATAACTGGCAGCACCAATTACCCATGGAAGTGAGGCTGAGGGTGGAGCTAAGACAGGAGTGATTGAATCCCATTTAAGAGGAAGGTAGGCCTAGTGCAGTGGCTCATGCCTGTAATCCCAGCACTCTGGGAGGCTGAGGCGTGTGGATTACCTGACATCAGGGGTTCAAGACCAGCCTGACCAATGATTATGAAGGGGTGAAACCCCGTCTCTGCTAAAAATACAAAAAATTAGCTAGGCTTTTGGTGGCGGGTGCCTGTAATCCCAGCTACGCGGGAGGCTGAGACAGGAGAATCGCTTGACCCTGGGAGGCAGAGGTTGCAGTGAGCCAAAATCATGCCATTGCACTCCAGCCAGGGTGACAAGAGCAAAACTCCGTCTCGAAGAAAAAAAAAAACAAAAAAACAGGAAGGTAGACCCCAGCTTCCCTCCTCTGCTCCCATAGCCCAGCCCAGCAACTACCTCTCCCCTATTCTCGAAGTCCAGAAGTTTATTACCTAGTGAGTATAAAACAGAAGGGCTCTGGACTAGAGGGCACTAGGCACCACTGAGGGGGGTAGAAATAACATAGAAAACAGGAAAAAGTATATATATCAGATGTTATATATGCAGCAGTTAAGATGCACCTCCCTGCTCTTCTATTCTTCAGACCAATTTCCTCACTCAGATTTCAGAAAGCTAGCAGCCAGGCTTATATGCTCCAGGCAGAAAATTAGAAGTCTTCTCTGAGGGAGAAGACTTCTATGATCAGGTCAAGAGAAAGGATCTAAAGATTGGAGGGTTTTCCAATAAAATGGCCAAACTAGATCATCCTACATTGAGGTCCACAGCTGTCAAGGTCTTTCCATATACACAGAGCTTTCAATGTCCCATACTTAAATACGAATAGAGAGCCAAAGACTTGAAGAAAGCCTGTAGTGTGAGAGAGATCAAAACAGACAAAAAAGAAAACAAGAAGAAACAGATGACAAAGGGGTAAAAAATTTTAAAAAGAGCTCTTGAAAATTAAATATAGAAATAAAAACCTAGTAAAAAGACCAAAAATATTAAGCTGATAATATACTCAGAAAGTAAAGTAAAAAGACAAAGAGAGAATATAGGAGAAAAAAAGTTAAATTTTTAGAGGTTCTGTCCAAAGATGCCATATACACCTCTAATAAAAGGAATTAGAGAATAAGAGAACAGAGAAAACTGAGGGGAAAAATAATTTTCCCATTGAAGAAAATTTCTCAGAACTGAGGGAATTAACAGATTGAAATGGCCATTGAGTACCTAGCACATAAGTGACAACAAACTTATGAAAAGGCATGTAATTGTGACATTTCAGAATAGTGGGGACAAGAATAAGATCCTATAAGGATCCAGAAAGAAGGAAAAATAACTTCACACAAAGCTTTGAGACTCAGAATGGCAAAAAAATTCAAAAGCAAAGTTAGATGCCTGTAATCCAGTTCTTTGGGAGGCCAAGGTGGGAGGACTGCTTGAGCCATGAATTCAAGACCAGCCTAGGCAACACAGAGAGGCCCCCGTCTCTACAAAAAATAATTAGCTGGGAGTGGTGGCGTGCACCTACGGTCCCAGCTATTCCAGAGGCTGAGGTGGGAGGATTGCTTGAGCTCAAGAGGTTGAGGCTGCAGTGAGCCGTGATCATGCTACTGTACTCCAGCCTGGATGACAGAGACCGTGTCCTTTAAAAAACAAAGATAAAAAGAAACTAGGTATCCAATATAAGACAAAGGTAATGTGAATACCTAGGATGATAATAAATGGAAATTCCAAGGTGATTGTGTGTGGTGATTGTGTGAAAGCTAATGTATAACTTGTCCAGATTGGAGCAGGCCAGAAAGTATCAGCAGAGATTTCCTAAAAAAAATGAAACTGAAAGGATACTTAATATATTTGGACATATTGAAAGAGATTATTAGAAAGATTTGATGGTAACATGAGGACAGTTATTGCTCCAATCCGTATTATTTACAAAGTAACTGAAATTATAAAGAATCAGTCCCACCTTTATTACTGTTAATTCTGCAGAGTTTCTTGGCGCCACCCAGAATAACTTGTAATCTTCACATATTAGGTATTCTCGTTTAATGCAGTAATCCTCATTACCTGTTGAGAAAGTTTGATTCCATTTAAAAATCACTGTGAACATATACAGCCCTGTAGCTTTTACCTCCTGGTTTAAGGGATAGAGGCACTGGTGTATTTGCCAGTTAGTAGTATCTAGAATACTTTTAAAAATAATTTGTTAAAGATTGCAAGAGGAGAAGACATAATTCCTATTATTAGGACATGAAGTTACTGATGTGTCATCCTCTATATTGCTTTTTTAAAAAATACAATCTAGGAATATTTACAGTGCTCAAGCATCAAGCTTAAGTACAAATAATCACTTATTTGTATACTGTCATGAACCAGAGGACATGAGTTCAATGGTACTTACCTAATTCAATTTCCTTCTCAATTTCCAACTTAGGCATTGGTCTGTCTTCTATACACAACTCTGCAGAGGCACTTAACTCTGGTAGGGACTTCAGTAGCTGTCTGCGATACTGTGAACACCATGGTGACTGAGTAGGGTTTTCTGCCAGTGGGAGGGAAAGGTGAAAATATATCACCAAAAAAACCCTAATGCTTAAAATGGATATTATAACAGAGTAGAAGAAAAAAAAAATCAAGATTACACAGTCAGCACTGTTAATTTAACTACACTCACCTGTCTCAGGTGTTTATGAAACTGTGTTCACTTCGTACTAATCTACTCTAGAAATTTCACAATTTATGGCAACTTCTTTGAGACGGAGTCTCGCTCTGTTGCCCAGGCTGGAGTGCAGTGGCGCCATCTCGGCTCACTGCTGCAAGCTCCGCCTCCCGGGTTCACGCCATTCTCCTGCCTCAGCCTCCAGAGTAGCTGGGACTACAGACACCCGCCACCATGCCCGGCTAATTTTTTTGTATTTTTAGTAGAGTTGGGGTTTCCCCATGTTAGCCAGGATGGTCTCGATCTCCTGACCCTCGTGATCCACCCGCCTCGGCCTCCCAAAGTGCTGGGATTACAGGCGTGAGCCACCGCACCCGGCCGGCAACTTCTTTAAGAAGGAAAAACACATAGACTGGGCATGGTGGCTCACACCTATAATCCCAGGGAGTGGGAGGCTGAGGCGGGAGGATCCTTTGAGGCCAGGAGTTTGAGACCAGCCTGGGCAACATGGCGAAACCCCACCTCTACAAAAAATACAAAAATTGGTGGTGGCACAGTTGTGGTCCCAGCTACTCGGGAGGCTGAGGTAGGAGGATCACCTGAGCCCAGTGAGTTTGATTGTGCCACTGCACTCCATCCTGGGTGACAGAGTGAGACCCTGTCTCAAAAAAAGAAAAACATACAGCTCAGTTTGCTGAGATAAACAAGTGTTCACTAGGCATGGATATAGTGGTATGTATATCCTACCTGAAGTCTCATTAGTAAGTTCTAGTTTCTCAGGAATTTGAAGACATTTGATGGAGGAGGTGCTTGCAACCGAGGCAGAAGAACCAGAGAAGCCAGAGGAGTGTGTGGCTTCACGACTGTCTTCAATAATTGGGCTAAAAGAATCAAAAATAAGTTAATTCTTATAGGAATAATATATATCAACTTTGTTATAATTTCATAAATTCTTAATGTATACATTTTTCTTTTTTTTGAGATGGAGTTTTGCTCTTGTCACCCAGGCTGGAGCACAACTGCATGATCTTGGCTCACTGCAACCTCTGCCTCCCGGGTTCAAGTGATTCTCCTGTCTCAGCCTCCTGAGTAGCTGGGATTACAGGCACCTGCCACCATGCCCAGCTGATTTTTGTATTTTTAGTAGAGACAGGGTTTCACCATGTTAGCCAGACTGGTCTTGAACTCCTGACTTCAGATGGTCCACCCGTCTCAGCCTCCTAAAGTGCTGGGATTATAGGCGTGAGCCACTGCACCTGGCCTTAATGTACACATTTTATAATTTTATGTTATTCTTTTATTTTTTAACACAATAAAATTTAGGTTTAAATAATTTATAATTTGTTATCAATTTATTTGATAGCCTCATTTTTTTTTTTTACTTTTCATTTTATTTTTGAGACAGGATCTCATTCCGTCACCCAGGCTGGAGGGCAGTGGTGCGATCATGGCTCACTGCAGCCTTGATTTCCTGGGCTCAAGTGATCCTCCCACCTCAGCCTCCCAAGTAGCTGAAAGGTTGTAAAACAAAAAAGCTAATATCTGGGACTACTTGGGAGGCTGAGGTGGGAGAATCACTTGAGCCCAGGAAATGATAGCTGGGTGAGTGCTACCATGCCTAGCTATTTTTTTTTTTTATTTTTATTAGACACAAGGCATCACTTTGTTGCCCAGGCTGGTCTTAAACTCCTGGCCTCAAGTGATCCTCCCACCTTAGCCTCCCAAAGTGCTGGGATTACAGGCAAGAGCCAATGCACTCAGCAATAGTCTCATTTTTCAAGTCCATTATTTCCCCAAATCAGAATCTAGGTAACCTCCTCTAAACCTGGTGAATAAGCCATGTCCAGCATACATTTCTGGATTTATGCTTTATTTACCTATAGTAAATATCTACTCTATATTCCATAATATTGAGAAACACTAACATTGACACTTTCTTCCTCTTTATCCTTTCTCTGGACTTTTTTTTCTTCAAGAAGAAAAGGTTAGGCAAAGAAAAGAGAAACCCAAATCATGCAATGTGAATACATGCTAGCAAATGTGCTTAAAAGCCTGTAGGGAAAAAGTTTCAAAAAAAAGTTTTTTTGAGTACAGCCATGTTGACCAGGCTGGTCTTCAACTCCTGGCCTGAAATGATCCGCCTCCCTCAGCCTCCCAAAGTGCCAGGATTACAGAGGTGAGCCACTGCATCTGGCCTCTCAAAATGTAGCTTTAAAAGCAAAAATTTGCCAATTACAAAGAATTCCTAAAACTGGAATTAGTTAAATTAGCTGACCTAAAACAAGTGTCAGACCCTGGCCATAAGCCATTCCCTCATATCTATTCCATAGTTCATTTCCACCTCTCTATCAAAAGATAGTTTTTTAAAAAACACATCTCTAGTTGCCTATTTAAAATTCACATAAGCTGGCCAGGCACAGTGGCTCACTCCTGTAATCCCAGCACTTTGAGAGGCCGAGGCGGGTGGATCACCTGAGGTCAGGAGTTTGAGACCAGCCTGGCCAACATGGCGAAACCCCGTCTCTACTAAAAATATAAAAATAAGCCAGGCATGATGGTGCGCACCTGTAGTCCCAGCTACTTGGGAGGCTGAGGCAGGAGAATCGCTTGAACCCGGGAGACGGAGGTTTCAGTGAGCTAAGATAGTGCCACTGCACTCCAGCCTGGGCGACAGAGTGAGACTCCATTTCAATAAATAAATAAATACATAAAATTAACAAAAGCTATCCTACCACTATTTTAAACTCAATATTAAAGAAAAACTAAATGCCTCCTTTTCGTCAGTCATGTACACTTTGCAAAGTTTCCTCAATGGTACTATACTCCTCTCGGACCACTTAGTTTCTCTACCATCAAAATTTACTTTTAACCCTCACATCCAAATCAATCACTAAATCCCATTGACACTTCATCTGGGGCAGCCCTACTCTCATGTAAAGCACTTAGCACAGTACCTGGCAGTTAGTAAGAACTTGATAACTGATTACTGTAACTGACAAGCACATGCAGAATAAGAGAGTAAACAATCTGGTTTGTAAAACCTGTAAATCCCCAATCACCTCAGCTTCTTGATGCTGAGAGTCTGACTGTAGATAGTGCCACAAGCTGTCTGCTGGTCCTCAGAGGTCTTTACATCTAGATCTTCTTCCGGTAACAGTCTCTCAGGATCAGAAGGGAGATCCTTCAAGGACATTATCTCATGAAAAGGAGTGGATACAAAACGAGCTGCTCTGGCAAAGTCACAAGTGTCTTCTGGGTTAGGACAAATTGTTACATTTCTGAAGCCTGTGATAATGGCATCCTCGCTCAAGGGTTCAATTCCTGTAAATTCATCCTGAAATAAAGACCATATAAAGTTTAGCTAAAATATTTCAATACATGAAGAACTTTTTTACTGAGAGAGACATATTAGCTCAGTGACACAGGGTACAGAAATAGCATATCAGAATATCTAGGCAAATATAAAAAGGTTTTTATATCATGAACACAGTAAACTATACTTCATCCAAAAAATGTACCAGGAAGATTCTCCATACAAAGAAAAATATTGGGCAATGGTTTTGTTCCTCAACAAATTTCACCTATGAACTAAAGCACAAATACTATTTTTCTTCTGCTTTCACTTAGTAAATATTCTAATGATTTGCTATCCTCCTAGTTTTTAGGTCTTCTTCCTCTATGCTACATACCTAATTTTTATTTATTTCTTAAAGACAATTCATGTATGTCTGGTAGGATATATGCATAGCATATTCTATGCATTTGAAAAGCAGTTTTACAACCAGTGAAACTGTAGCATTCATGATACTCTGTATTGCTCTTTCTCATACTTTTTGTATTTCTTCCTTCCTATGCTATTAAAAATTCTTTAAAAACATAATGGCCACATTGTGGGTCTATAAGAAATTAACCAACTTTCAGGTTATTCTGTTTTTTACTAGTTTAAAACTACTTTATCCTTATACATAAATCTTTATAAATCCTTTAATTTTCTTAGGATTAATTCCTAAAAGTAGAATTGTAAGGTCAAAAGGTTATAAACACTAAAGTTCTTTATCTATATTACTTAGCTGTCCTCAGAGAGATTATACCACTTTACATATTTACCTGTAGTATACAAATAGTGCCTATTTGATTTAACCCATATGGATACCAGAGATTAATTTTCTAGATCATTACCAATTTGACACATACTTTGAATTTCTGACTTAGTAACTAAAGGTGGGAGGTACATCTGGAAGAAACAAAGTATAGTTAAAAAAAAAATTATAGGCCGGGTGCAGTGGCTCACGCCTGTAATCCCAGCACTTTGGGACGCTGAGTTGGGTGGATCACCTGAGGTCAGGCGCTCGAGACCAGCCTGGCCAACATGGCAAAACCCCGTCCCTACTAAAAATACAAAAATTAGCTGGGCGTGGTGGTGGGCGCCTGTAATCCCAGCTACTCGGGAGGCTGAGGCAGGAGAATTGCTTGAACCCAGGAGGCGGAGGCTGCAGTGAGCCGAGATCACGCCACTTCACTCCAGCCTGAGTGCAAGAGTGAAACTCAGTCTCAAAAAAAAAAAAAAAAAAAAGATTTGGCCAGGTACATTTGCTCACACCTGTAATCCCAACACTTTGGGAGGCAGGCTGAGGTGGGAAGATCACTTGAGCACAGGAGTTTGAGACCAGCTTGGGCAACATGGCAAAACCCTGTCTCTCCAAAAAATAAAAAATTAGCCAGGCATGGTGGCTCACACCTGTAGTCCCAGCTAATTGGGAGGCTGAGGTGGGAGGAATGCTTGAGTACAGGAGGCAGAGGCTGCAGTGAGCTGAGATCATGCCACTGTACTCCAGCCTGGGTGACAGAGCGAGGCCCTGTCTAAAAAAGAAAAAGAAAAAAATATATATATACATATATATGTATTTATATATGTGATTAAAGTAAAATAGATGTTTATAATCTATACATTTTATGCAAATACTACTTATGGCCATATTAGCTTAGACATTTTAAATATGATTTTTTTAGGGGATGAAAATTCTGGTAGGTACTTATTAACAAAATTCAAGTAAAAGACTGGTTAAAAAAAAAAAAAGGTAAATGAAGTTGGACTCCTTTAACAATTAAGCATATCCTTGAACAGCTGAATCTAGAACCACTGTATCCAAATCTAGCCTGTTCATCATGTTCTCTGGTGGTTTACTCCAGAACACAATATGTAATTAATTACTCTTACATCACTGTCTTTTCATAGCAGTCAGTAGACTAACTGTAGCAGAATTATCTGAGAAAGTATTTTTAAAAAGACAAAAATACATGCTTGGACTTCTTCCCTGGAAATTCCAATGGCACCTAGATGGAATGGGGCTTAAGCACTGTTAGTCACAAAAGACTCGCTAGTCTCTTCTGAGTTGATGGAAATATTCTGTATCTTGATATGGGAAAAAATTGCATGGAAAAATTCATCTAGCTGTACAATATTTGTGCAGTTTACTGGATATAAAATATACATCAACAGAGAAGAAACTAAAATGAAAAAGTGCTTTTAAAAAACTTCCTCCAAATGATTCCCTAGGATGTGGAAAACACTGCTTTAAGTTACTAAAGCTACTGCTCACATCACCCCTTAAAAGTCTTCAGATTAAACATACTCAATTCTTTTCAGTCTCATGACAAGCTTCCAGAGGCTGGTTTGAAGAGAATGATTTTTCCTCCTTAAAACTTTAATAAAATGCCAATGATACAGGTTATTTATTTTGACTTAAATGTCTACACAGGGTCTTTTTACCTTAAGTATTATGTCATTAGTCTATAGCGGTTAATATAGAACATTACTGAAGAAAAATGATTGGCCCACATAACTTTTGCATTGCCAAAAAAGGTATTTTATATAAAAAAGAACAAATGTCTTTTGCTATGTTGGTTAAAAAATTAAAAGTACAAAAGGCTTTAAAATTAGTGATTTTTCCCTACTTATAAAAATTGAGATATAATTCATATACCATAAAATTGACCCTTTTAAAGTATATTTCAGTGGTTTTTAGTAAATTCACAAGGTTGTACAACCATCATCACTATCTAATTCCAGAATACTTTCATCACTCCAAAAAGAAACCCTATACCCATTAGCAGTCACTCTCCACCACCCTCTAATCCCCTGGAAAACCTCAATCCATGACACTTTTGCCTATTCTGGATATTTCATGAAAATTAGATCATATAGTATGTGGTCTTTGTATCTGGCTTCATTCACTTGACATAACGTTTTCAAGGTTCATCTATGTTGTGACAGGTATTAGTACTTCATTCCTTTTTGTTGCCAAATAATATTTCATGGTATGGATACATAACATTTTGTTTATCCATTCATCAGTTGATGGACATTTGGGGTTGTTTCCACTATCATGAGTAATACGGCTATGAACATTTGTGTACAAATTTTTTGTATGAACATGTGTTTTCAATTATTTTGAGTATATACCTGGGCAGAGATCTGCAGGATCATATGGTAACTGTGTTTAACATTTTAAAGAGCTGCCAAACTGTTTTCCAAAGTGGCTACACCATTTTACATTCCCACCAGTAATGTATGTTCTAATTTCTCCACAATTTTGCCAACACTTGTTACTGTGCGTAATTTTTTATTATAGCTATCCTAGAGGATATAAAGTAGTATCTCACTGTGGTTTTGATTTGCATTTCCCTGTTGAGTAGTAATGCTGAGCATCTTTTCATGTGCTTAATTCAAGTCAGTGGTTTCAATTTTAACCTTAAGCTTTTGTGGTTTTGAATAAACAATCCACTAGCCCATTTACATTAACTTAAGGATACTGCTCCTTACACAAACATCTGGAGACACATCTTCATTTGAGGTGATGCTTTCTGAGGTTTTGAGAACTGCAAGGGGTCTTCGTTGAGCTAAAACTCGTGGGGGATCTGCAGGAGGACTGGAAAAAGACATACCTCACTTAGCAATTTTTTTCATAACAGTAACCCCTAATTTATCCTCACTTATAATAACAGAAAATTCTTAAGTAAAAAAAAACCAAAAAAACAAAAAAACAACGTACCTTTTATTCTTCTTTTCTGAAAGAAGAAACTCATCAAAAATGGAGAAAGGTACACTGGGACCTAGAGAAAGAGAGACTAGATACATACTCTAGGAGTAAATGCTTTACTCTTCAAGACAACCAGATAAATTAATCAATATTTTGTGTTGTTTGAAAGCAGGAAGGCAACCTGTTTTTTTAATAACAAAAAGCTTCAAACATATAAAAGGTCATTAAACAATTTACCAATTACCTAAACTTAGATGATCTTGTTCCATTTAGATTCTCTACCACTGTCACTACTCCCCAAACCCAACCCAACAGGATTATTTTAAAGCAAATTCCAGACATGTCATTTTATCTGCAAATATTTCAGTATATATTTCTAAAAGAGGCTTTTTAAAAATCCCAATCCCAAAACATGATACCTACCTATAAAATGAACAATTTATGAATATATATATAATATCAAATGTCCAGTGAGAAGTTTCATATTTTACCAATTAAAAAAATGTTTTGGCCGGGTGTGGTGGCTCACACCTGTAATCCCAGCACTTTGGGAGGCCATGGTGGGCGGATCACGAGGTCAGGAGATCGAGACCATCCTGGCTAACATGATGAAACCCCGTCTCTACTAAAAATACAAAAAAAAATTAGCCGGGCGTGGTGGTGGGCGCCTGTAGTCCCAGCTAGTCGGGAGGCTGAGGCAAGAGAATGGCATGAACCCAGGAGGCAGAGCTTGTAGTGAGCTGAGATCGCGCCACCGCACTCCAGCCTGGGCGACAGAGCGAGACTCAGTCTCAAAAAAATATTAATAAATAAAAAAAAATTTTTTTAAAGTTTGTTTGAATTGGGAATGCAGAGTTAAGATCCGTATACTGTGACTGTTCAAATGCCTCTTAAATCTCTTTTATTCTATAGAGTTTTGGGGGGAATTTTTGTTGAACAAACTGGGTTGCTAGCCCCATAATGCTGGATTTTGCCAATTCCATCCCGCTGTGTTGTTTAACAACGTTCCTCCATGCTTTATATTTCCAATAAATTGACGGTTAGAAACAGAGGTTTAATTAGATTTTAATGTTTTTTATTTTTATTTTTGCCAAACCATTTACAAGTAGATATTCATGTTTCACCACTTTTAACACATTTTGAAGAAAAGAAAACCAATTTGAGTATAAAATAGCTTTAAATTTTTTTTTCCCTGAAAAGAAACACTTCCCTTAGTGTCTTTGCTGTTTAGTGTACAGTAACTAAAGTATAAGATTTGGTGGTTAGTGTAAATTTAAAATTACAATTAAACCAAATATTTTGAAGCACTGAGGAATCTTTAAAAAAATACTCTTTCAAATGTCTTTCCTATCATAAAGCATATGCTTATACTAAATTCCTAGTATCCTAGTCCCCCTGTCTTTCAATCCCTTTATCATAATTAAAAATATTTACCATTTATTACATAATACATTTGTTATCAGCAAGTTCTTCTCAAGGCTGTCAAATACAACTCACCTTTAGAATGAGGTTGTTCCTGCCAAATGTTCTCCGCAAGTGAAGTTTCTCTGTAAAGAAACTTGTTTTAAATCATGTGCTCAATACCCACAGAAAGAACTGTTTAATTTTTAAAAGTCCAAGAGGCTTTTCCATTAAATATAATATTTACTCTAAGATAAATTATTACTGTCAATTCAAATTCTCTTAAAGAAGATGGAAGCTTTGGTTATCAAAAATGTTGCAGAAATATATTTGATAATAGATGTCAAGTTGCATTAATAGTATAAGCAGATTACAAAATGGTAAGCTGCCATTTTTATAAAACAAAACAAAAATACAACACAAAAGAAGAGACAGAACAGTGTTAATGGTAATCATCTCTTAGTGGTAGAAATGGGTGATTTTGTTTTTTAAAAACAGTATATGTATTTGTTTCTATAAGAAACATGTTTCTTCAGTGGAAAATAGTCAATGCTCTGTCCTCCCTCATCAGCATCAAAGCTTATGTTGTGACAGAGACTTACAAAAACCATGTCTCGATACTGTAAACGTCAAGGAGACTTCAAGGCACTAGAGAGTCAAAGGTTGGTTCTAAATGCCCTCCTATATGCATTGTCCCTTCCACCTATGTAGTCTTACCTGGCACAACAGTTTACTTGACAAACAGAACTGGATAGAGTCATTCCTGGTATTTTCTGAGACTCGGAAGCAATTTGCAGTTTAGTTGTCTCCTTTGTAGGCATCGTCTCTTCTTGCTGTTTGCATTAAATAAACAAAATCAATGTCCCTCCCATCCAGAAAATGCTATTTTCTAGTTCTAACATTAGCTTTACTGTACTCTTTCCCTAGACATCCACTAACAGTACAAAATGAGTGTACCACAAAAGTCATTTCCAATAATTTTTATTCCTACTCTAAACCAGTACTGTTGTACTCAACTGAGCAGTGCCAGGCATATACTAAATTTCTTTAGGCAATCCCATTTTAATGGAACATAGCTAGAATAAAAAGCTTAAGCCAGAATTAATAACATAATGATTTGGAGTATAACTAAGAAGTCAATAAACTGCACCACTTATTTCACATGCCACAAATTCCATTTGAAGTCACCTGTTAAATTACTTTCCCGCTCAACTTTCCGGCTACTAACAGCTAAGAAACTACCAGAAACTCTAAATGGGGGTTGGGAGGACTTTAACCTTCTATATTTTTATAATGTTTAAATTTGTTTCAATAAATTCTAGTTTTGTGTATGAAAAAAGAAAAATTACCTGATCACCTGTTCTTTCTTGCTGAGTAGTTTGGATTTCTTTTAGCTTCTTCTCCATCTCTTCAATCTGTTTCTGCATTTCTGCTCTCTTCTCTGCACTGGTCAATAGCTCGGCTAGAAACAGTAAAGTTGCTTGAGGTATTATTCCTCATAGTAACTCATTCTGTCAAAAACTGCCTTTGGAGCTCATCTCCTCAACATATATGTTACTAATACAGATGAAAATGATTTAAGTGGAATAAGGTCCTCAACTTGTGGTCTAGGCCTCTATTCTTTATCCATTCAATAAAAAAATAGAATACCTTTGAACAACACAGGTTTCTACTAAAAGGAAAAAAACATTGAATACCTACTATGTGCCAAGCACAGCTCTGAGTACTTAGGTTTCAGTGGTACATAATACAAAGTCCTTGGTTATGTGATACTAACATTCAAATTTGGGGGCAACACACACACAAGAAAATCAGTTTAGGAAAAAGAATAAAATAGGTGACGTGAGAATGTTTGACTGGGTAGGGAGATGGAGGCCAAGGGAGGGCTACTTAAGACCAGTGATCAGGGAAGATCATTCTGATAAAGTGACAGTATTAAGCTGTAATTTAAATGATAAGGGGCCAAAGTTCTGGGGAAAGATTCTAGGCTAACAAACTAGGTGGCACAAAGGCCCCAATGCAGGAAAAGACCACTGTGTCTAAGAATCCAAAGGAAGTCCAGTGTAGTTGCAGCATAGTAAGAGGGTGAATAGAAAAAGATGGGGTTGGAGAGGTAGGTAAAGGCTAAGCCACATGGAGTTTTGTTTGTTTTTGGAGATGGGGTCTTGCTATATTGCCCAGGCTGGTCTCAAACTTGTGGGCTCAATCCTTCTGCCTCACTCTCCTGAGTAGCTGGGACTACAGGCACATGCTACCATGCTTGGCCATGCAGGGTTTTGCAGGTTAGGGTAAAGAGGCATAGATAGTAAGCCATGTGCTTATTAGTCAATTAATGAATGATGGAGTGTGACTGAAAAGTCTGAGGTGAGTACACTAAGGAGGCTCAGGAGATAGAAAAGAATTAGAGGACAGAAATCTGAAAGAAGCTAAAGTTTTTGAAAGAAGAGGGAAAAAATGATTTGGAAGTGCAACGCAAAGAAAAAACAACCTTTGTGTAGGCCCTGATTGTGGCTTCCTCTTTTCTTGTATTTTTCCCTGAGAGTAAGTAGTTGGCAAGTCTTTGAAGTCAGTTTTTGACAGTAACTAGAAACCACATTTATTGAAATGAGGATTTATGTAAGGGTACAAACTTATACACAGATGGGAATTTATACAAGTTCATGAAATAGATTCAGAGACCAGCTTAGAAATAAGCATTAAGGTCTGCATGGTGGCTCATGCCTATAATCCCAGCACTTTGAAAGGCCAAGGTGGGAAGGATAGCTTGAGCCCAGGAGTTTGAGACCAGCCTGGGCAACACAGGGAGATCCCATCTCTCTATTTAAAAAAAAAAAAAACACAATAGAAATGAGTATTAAAAAATTCTCAGAGGTCAATGCCTTCTTATTCCTAATTAAATCCCATGTAATCTAGAGTAGGTCCTTCTTTGGCTAGTTGAAAACAAAATGTACCTTTTCTTTTTCCCACAGAGATGAGAATTCACCATGTTGCCCAGGCTGGTCTTTTTTTCCCAAAGTGCTGGGATTACAGGTGTGAGCCACTGTGCCTGGCCCTAAAATGGACTTTCATTTTCCTTCTATATATCTGGTACAGACTAAGCTTTTCCCTTAGGAAACAGTTTTTATCTAGATACCTAGTTCCTTTTCTGGTTCATATTTGGCCACCCTCCTAGCCTATTTCTTTGCTGGAGTGGTTCTCCTTTTTTAAAAGCCTTACTCAACACCTTGCTTTGCAACCATCCCTCTCTTCTACCTAGACACACAAGTTCCATTTGAACCCAGAGCACTTTTGACAATCTTGGATGACACTAATTAGTGTAACAAATGAAGGCAATTTCAAACTTACTAACAGTCTGCTTTACCAAAGTTTGCTTCCAGGTTGTCACCTGGAACTCAGAAAAGATTGCTCCTCAAAGTATAAGTGATGGTTAAGTTTCCCAGCTAACCCCACAAACACCACATCCTGTTAAGAGAGCTGAGCTATATTAGTAGGTTATTCTGGATACGGATGTATAAAAGAAACATTACTTTCTCCTTACAGATCCTAATAAAAAATGTCTAAATGGAAGTGGACCCTCCCCTACCTCATTTTCTGTACCCTTCTTTATTCTCCTTCACCTTCTCATGCCTTAAGCCCCATATGCCTTACTTCCCTACTTTCCAGCCCATTCTGCCCTACCTCTTGCCTTCAAGTACTCCAGGCTCCAGAATCAGAACTGCTTCCTGTTTCCCAAAAATTCCCCATATCTCAATTTTTAAACCTTTTCCTTTAATTTAGAAATATAATGTCTTTAAAAAACAATACGAATATCTATAATCTAAATCACTGCAGTATGACCTACTATGTTAATCTAAATAAGCCCTTGGAGAAATTTCAGACAAAGTATCAAAGGTAAAGTGAAATATTTCAAGCAATAACATTAGGAAAAGTACTTAATAGGGATGCATGGAATGTACATATATGCATGTCAGGGATCATAGCTGCTTGCTTATTGTATTGGGGAATATAAATTGTTCATACAGTTCAGAACTTCTTCCTTTACTTCTAAACATACTCAGTGCCCCCACACCCCAAGGAGTTTTCATGGAAGGCAGCAATGGGAGTTTGGCTGATACACAGAAACAGTACAACCATAGAAGGCAGCAGTGGGATTTTGGCTGATACACAGAAAGAAACAGTACTACCATAGAAACATCATACAAAGGTACAAACTATAAGGTTAGTTTTCTTCAGACTTAATAGGTCAGCTCAACCTTCACACAACTAAGTTAAGTCCTCTTCACAAACTTGAATTACACACACCTTCCCTTTGCTCTTTTAATTTCTTCCGGAAAACTTCAGCCCGAATTTCTTCAAAGGAGAATTCCCCTACTCCTGCATAAATCTTCTCCTTACAATACATCATCTTCTCTTTCTTCTCCTCAGACGCTTGCTGATGGCTCTGAACCCTTTGTAGAGGATCTCCTTCTTCCTTTCCAGGCTTTCTGGTGCTTAGGATGTGGTTTATACTAGGTTCAATTTTACATGGTGTCCTAAAGAAGCAAAATTACTATTATTCATATGGGTCAAAATAAAAAAAATCAATAAGATTGATAAAAGAAGCTAAAAATAATTTACAAGGGCCATCAATAATTATGTTCTGCAAATCTGGAGGCCTTACATTACCTGACTTCAAACTATGCTGTAAGGCCATAGTCACCAAAACAGCATAATACTGGTATAAAAACAGGCATATAGATCAATGGAACAGAATAGAGAGCCCAGAAATAAAGCCAAATACTCACAGTCAACTGATCTTTGACAAAGCAAACAAAAGCGTAAAGTGGGGAAAGATACTCTATTCAACAAATGGTGCTGGGATAATTGGCAAGTCACAAGTAGGAGAATGAAACTAGATCCTCCTCTCTCACCTTATACAAAAAATCAACTCAAGGTGGATCAAAGACTTAATTAAATCTAAGATCTGAAACCATAAAAATTCTAGACGATAACACTGGAAAAACCCTCCTAGACATTGGCTTCGGTAAAGACTTCATGACCAAGAACCCAAAAGCAAACGCAACAAAAACAAAGATAATTAGATGGGGCTAAACTAAACTAAAAAGCTTCTGCACAGCAAAAGGAATAATCAGCAGAGTAAACAGACAACCCACAGAGTGGGAGAAAATCTTCACGATCTATGCATCCGACAAAGGACTAATATCCAGAATCTACCAGGAACTCAAACAAATCAGCAAGAAAAAAACAAACAATCCTATCAAAAAGTGGGCTAAGGACATGAATAGACAATTTTCAAAAGATAAACAAATGGCCAACGAGCATATGAAAAAATGTTCAGCATCACTAATTATCAGGGAAATGCAAATCAAAACCACAACGCAATAACCCCTTACTCCTGTGAGAATGGCCATAATAAAGAAATCAAAAAATAATAGACACTGGCATGGATGTGGTGAAACGGGAACACGTTTACACTGTTGGGGGGAATGTAAACTCGTACAACCACTATGGAAAACAGTACGGAGATTCCTTAAGGAACTAAAAGTAGATCCACCATTTGATCCAGCAATCCCACTCCTGGGTATCTACCCAGAGGAAAAGAAGTCATTATATGAAAAAGATACTTGCACATGCATATTTTAGCAGCATAATTCACAACTGCAAAAATATGGAACCAGCCCAAATGCCCATCAATCAATGCATGGATAAAGAAAATGTGGTATATATCTACCATGAAATACTACTCAGCCACAAAAAGGAACAAAAAAATGGCATTTGAAGCAACCTGGATGGAATTGGAGACCATTATTCTAAGTGACGTAACTGAGGAATGGAAAACCAAACATCATATGTTCTCACTTATAAGTGGGAGCTAAGCTATAAGGACACAAAGCCATAAAAATGATACAATGGACTTTGGGGATTTGGGGGAAAGGATGGGGGGAGTAAGGGTTAAAAGACTACACATCGGGTACAGTGTACACTGCTCAGGTGACGGGTGCACCAAAATTTCAGAAATAACCGCTAAGTAACTTATTTGTGTAACCAAACACCACCTGTTCCCCAAAACCTATTGAAATGTAAAAAAAAGGAAAATAAAATTATGTTCTGAGTACCACCTCTGCTATGATAAGGAAGGAAATTAGCCATAAGTGGGATAATCAAGTAGCTTATATTACTTATAGGTGAAAGCAAATCTTAATACCATATCCTCATCATAACCAGTATATAAAAAGAAATTAACCTATGCAATACAATCCATTTTTCATGGTTTAGTATCCAAAAGAATTAGAGTTAAGAATATAGCATTAGGAACCTAATAATATTAAGTCCAAGGTGCTCAGCTGAGGGGGAAGAATCAGAGTGGCAGCATAGCTTTTAAAAGAATGAAGTATAAGATACCTCAACCATGATATAGCAGGTATTTTCAACCCTGTGGATCAGAATAACTTATATACCTTTTATTTTCTTATATACCTTTGTACAACTAAAGATACCGGTCCTTCCCAGACTCAGTGAATCAAAAACTGTAATGGTAGGGTCCAAGCATTTACATGCTTAAAAAGTTTCCCCAACTTGCTCAACCTGCTAGAGGACATCTATGAAAAACCCACACTAACATCATACTTCATGGTAAAAGGCTAGATGCTTTCCCCCTAAGATCAGGAACAAGACAAGGATGTCCATTCTTGTCACTTCTATACAACACTGTACTAGAAGTTCTAGTCAAGGCTATTAGGCAAGAGAAACAAAGAAAAGGAGTCCAGATGGGAAAGGAAGAAGCAAAACTATCTCTTTTTGCAGAAGATATGGTCTTAGATAACAAACGAGTTCATCAAAGTCAAAGAATACAAGATCAGTATACAAAATCAACCTATTTTACCCATTTGCAATGAACAATCTGAAAATAAAATTAAATCACATCTCAAGGCAGCATGTAAAAAAGGGGAAAAAAGAAAATGAAATTAAGAAAACAATTCTATTTACTATAGCTTCAAAAATAGTAAAATACTTCACAATAAATTTAAAATAAGGAAGTGAGAGAAGACATATAGATGGAAGTTGGACACAGTGGCCTGTAATTCCAGCACTTTGGGAGGCTGAGGCAGGAGGATCACTTGAGGCCAGGAGTTCAAGACCAGCCTGGGCAATACAGTGAGACCCTGTTTTTTTTTTTTTTTTTAGACAGAATCTTGCTCTTGTCACCCAGGCTGGAGTGCAATGGCATGATCGCAGTTCACTGCAACCTCCGCCTCTCAGGTTCAAGCGATTCTCCTGCCTCCGCCTCCCGAGTAGCTGGGATTACAGGCACCTGCCACCACGCCCAGCTAATTTTTGTATTTTTAGTAGAGATGGGGTTTTGCCATGTTGGCGAACTCCTGACCTCATGATCCACCTGCCTCACCTTCCAAAGTACTGGGATTACAAGCATGAGCCACCACGCCCGGCTGAGACCCTGTCTTCAAAAAAAAAATTAGCCAGGCATGGTGTCATGCACCTATAGTCCCAACTACCAGGATGGATAAGGCAGGAGGATTGCTTGAGCCCAGCCTGGGCAACAGAGTGAGACACTGTCTCTAAGGGAAAAAAAAAAAAAAAAAAAAAAAAGTGGTAATAAGCATATAAAAAAAAAAAAAGATGATAGTAAGCATATGAAAAGATGCTTCCCAGATGTCATTAAGGAATTGCAAATTAAAACAATAAGATACTGCTGCACACCTATTAGAGTGGTTAAAATCTAAAATATTGACAACACTGAATGCTGCCAAGGATGTGGAACAATAGAAGCTCTCATTGATGGGTGGTAGGAATGCAAAACAGTATAGCTACTTTGAAAAATAACTTGGCACTTTCCTACAAGGCTAAAATTAGTCTTATTATACAATCCAGCCAAATGAGTTGAAAACTTATGTCTGCACCAAAACCTGGCTGGGTGTGGTGACTCATGCTTGTAATCCCAGTGCTCTGGGAGGCTGACGCAGGAAGATCACTTGATCCCAGGAGTTCAAGACCAGGCTGGGCAACACAGTGAGACCCCATCTTTAAAAAAAAAAAATAATAAGCCAGCCATGGTGGCATGCACCTGTAGTCCCAGCTACTAGGGAGGATGAGGTGGGAGGATCACTTGAGTCCAGGAGTCAGGACTGCAGTGAGCCAGGATCATGCTACTGTACTCCAGCGTAGGTGAAAGAACAAGACTATTTAAAACAAACAAACCTGCACATGAATGTCTACCGCAACCTTATTCATAATTGCTAAAACTTGTAAGTCACCAAAATGACCTCCTGTGGGCGAATGGATAAACAAATCGTGGCACATCTATACAATGGAATATCATTCAGCACTATAAATGAGGTATTGTGTCAGAAGAAGATGCAGAGGAACCTTATTGTTAAGTGGAAGGAGCCAGATTGAAAAGGCTACATATACTATGATTCCAGCTACATGATTTTCTGGAAAGGGCAGAACTATAAAGACAATGAAAAGATCAATAGTTACAGGGGATTTGGGGAGAGAGAGAAAGGGATGAACAAATGGAGCAAAGGGGATTTCTGGGACAATGAAACAATTCTGAATGACACCGTAATGATGGATAGATAATATTATGTATTTGTTAAAACACACAGAACTGTAAAACACATTAGAGTGAATCCTAATGTAAACAAAGAACTTTAACCAATAATAATGTATCAATATTGGTTCATCAATTATAACAAATGTACCACACTCATGCATGATGTTAGTAATAGGAAAAACTGTGTACAGGGTTGAGGGGTGGGGATGGAGTATGTGGGAACTCTCTGTACTTTCTACTCCATTTTTCTGCAAAGCTAACACTGCCCTAAAAAATAAAGTCTATTAATTAAAGAAAAAGAAGTGCAAAACTTGTATTCTGAAACCTACAAAACACTGAAAGAATTCAAAGACATACATAACTGGAAAGACATCCTATGTTCATGGACCAGAAGACTTAATATTTTTAAGATGTCAATATCATTAAATTAACCTACAGATTCAACAGAATCACTATCAAAATTCCAGCTGGCTTTTCTGCAGAAATTGACAGGCTAATCTTAAAATGTATAAGGAATTACAAGAGAATCAGAATAGTCAAAACAATCTTTAAAAAGAGGAACAAAGTTGGATTCATCCTTCTCAATTTCAAAAGTTACTACAAATCTGCAGTAATCGAGATCGTGTAGGGGAAAAAAAAAAGACTGTGTGGTATTGACATAAGGATAGACAAAAAGATCAATGGAATAGAATTAAGAGTCTAGAAATAAATTCATACATTTTGGTCAACTGATATTTCAACAAGAGTGCCAAGACCATTCAATAGCAAAAGAGTAGTCTTCAACAAGTGGTGCTGGGACCACTGGATATCCACATGAAGAAAAATGAATTTGGACTCCTTCCTTATACCATACACAAAAATTAGCTAAGAATGGATCACAGACCTAAATATAAGAGCTAAAACTATAAAACTCCTAGAAGAAAATGTATAAAAGCAAATCTTCATGACTTTGGATTAGTCAGAGCCTTCTTAGATATGACAGTGAAAGCTCAGGGACAAAATTTTAAAAAACAGATAAATTGCATTTCATCAAAATTTTAAATAACTTTTGGTCTTCAAAAGAGATCATTGAGAAAATAAAATGACAACCCAGAATGGGAGAAAATATTTGCAAATCATGTATCCGAAAAGAAGTTGTATCTAGAATACATAAAAGACTCTTAAACTCAACAATAAAAAACCAAATAGAGTAGTTTCCCCTTACTCATGGTTTCATTTTCAGCAGTTTCAGTTATCTATGGTCAATGGTGGTCCAAAAATATTAAGTGAAAAATTCCAGAAATAATTCATCAGTTTTAAATTACAAGTCATTCTGGCCAGGCGCAGTGGCTCATGCCTGTAATCCCAGCATTTTGGGATGCTGAGTCGGGTGGATCACTTGAGCCCAAGAGTTCGAGACCAGCCTGGGCAATATGGCGAAACCCCGTCTCTACTAAAAACACAAAAATTACCTGGGTGTGATGGCACAAGCCTGTAATCTCAGCTACTTGGGAGGCTGAGGTACAAGAATCGGTTGAACCCGGGAAGCTGAGGTTGCAGTGAGCCACGATGGCACTACTGCACTCCAGAATGGGCAACAGAGTGAGACTCGGTCTCAAAAAAAAAAAAAAAAATTACAAGGCGTTCTGACTATCCTGATGAAATCCCATATATTCCCATTTTGTTCCACCTAGGATGTGAATCATCCTTTTGTTCAGCATCCACATATTAGTCACTTAGCAGCTGACTCGTATCAGATCAGCTGTCCCAGCATTGCAGTTCTTGTGTTCAAGTAACCCTTATTATACTTAATAATGGCCCCAAAGCACAAGAGTAGCGATGCTGATGATTTGGATATGCCAAAGGTGAAAGTTCTTAACTTTTATTTTATTGTTTTATTTTATTTTTAGAGACAGGATCTGAATCTGTTGCCTAGGGTGGAGTACAGTGGCGTGACCCTGGCTCACTGCAGCCGTAGACTCCTGGGCACAAACAATCCTCCCACCTCATCCTCCATAGTAACGGAAACCATAGGCATGTGCCACTATGCCCAGCCAGTGTATTTTTATTTTTAGTAGAGATGGGGTCTCACTATATTGCTCAGGCTGGTCTTGAACTCCTGGTCTCAAGCAATCCTCCTGCCCCAGCCTCCCAGAGCCAAAGTGCTGAGATTAAAGGCATCAGCCACCATGCCCAGCCTCAACTTTCACTAAAAAAAATAAAATAAAAATAAAAAATAAATCACATGCTGAAGTTGATAAGATTTACAGTAAGAATGAATCTTCTATCAGTGAAATTGTGAAGAAGGAAAAAAAGTTAGTTTTGCTGTCATACCTCAAACTGCAAAAGTTATGGCCACAGTGCATGTATAAGATAAAACATAGTATATAAATGGTTTGGTACTATCAAGTTTCGGGCATCCACTGGAGTCTTGGAACGTATCCCCTACAGATAAGGAGGGACTACTGTAATCCAAAGGAAAAATAGGCCAAGGATTTAAACAGTCATTTCTCCAAAGAAGATATACAAAAGGCCAATAAACCTATGAAAATAGGCTCAACATCATTAGTCACCAGGAAAATGCAAATCAAAACCAGCGAAATACCACTTCACATCTCTGTTAGAATGACAATAACCAAAAAAGCATAATAACAAGTGTTGGGAAGGAATTGGAGTACTCGTACATTAGGGGAATGTGAGAAGGTAAAATGGTACAGCTTTTTTGGAAAACAATTTGACAGTTCCTCAAAATATTAAACATGGAGTTAATCACACGATCCAGCAATTCCTCTCCTAGGTATACAGCCAAGAAAAACGAAAACACATGTCCACACAAAAATGTATACACGGTATTCACAGCAGCATTATCCATAATAGCCAAAAAATGAAAACAATTAAAATTTGTATCAACTGATGAATGGTTAAATAAAATGTTGTGAAGCCACACAACGGAATACTACTTGGCAATAAAAAATAATGAAGTACTGATACATGTCACAACGTGGATGAACCTTGAAAACACTACCCTAAGTGAAAGAAACCAGTTAGAAAAGACCATACACTGCCTGGACGCAGTGGCTCACGCCTATAATCCCAGCGGTCTGGGAAGCCGAGGTGGGCGGACCACTTGAGGTCAGGAGTTTGAGACCAGCCTGGCCAACGTGGTGAAAGCCTGTCTTTACTGAAAATACAAAAGTTAGCCAGGAGTGGTGGCACATGCCTGTAGTCCCAGATACTCAGAAGGCTGAGACAGGAGAAATGCTTGAACTGGAGAGGCGAAGGTTGCAGTGAGCAGAGATTGCACCAATGTACTCCAGCCTGGGCGACAGAGCAAGACTCTGTCTAAAACACAAAAAACAAACAAACAAAAAAAAACAAAGACCACATATTATATTATTTACACGAGATGTCTAGAATTGGTAAATTATCTATAGAGAAAAAAACAGTTGGTTGCTAGGGTGGGGATTGGGGTAATGGTGGGGAATCGAGTCTTACAGGTATGGGTACAAGGTTCTTTCTGGAGTGATAAAAATGCTCTAAAATTGATTGTGGTAAGGGTTGCACAACTCTGTGAACATACTAAAAGCCACGGAATTATATTTCGATGAAGTTTAGAAAAAAAAAGAAAAAAAAGCTTTAAAAGGCTGAGTGCAGTGGCTCATGCCTGTAATCCCGGCACTTTGGGAGGCTAAGGCGGGCAGATCTCGAGGTCAGGAGTTCGAGACCAGCCTGGCCAATATGGTGAAACCATGGCTCTACTAAAAATACAAAAATTAGCTGGGCGTCGTGGCGGGCGTCTATAATGCCAGCTACTCGGGTGGCTGAGGCAGGAGAATTGCTTGAACCCGGGAGGCGGAGGTTACAGTGAGCTGAGACGGCGCCACTGCACTCCAGCCTGGGTAACAGAGCAAGACTCTGTCTCGAAAAAAAAAAAAAAAAAGAAAACTTAAATTTGACTGTATGATAATTAAAAGCATAATGGTTACTGCTACATGAAGCCAAAAGACAAGGACAAAGTAGGGGGAAAATATTTGCAACTCGTATTATAGATTTTTAGCTGATTTTCTTCATCTATGAAGAGCTTCTATACATCACTAAGCAAAACGCAACCTAAAGAAAAATGTGTGGAGAGGTCAAATAAAACATCCATGGAAAAGAATTTAAAATAAAAATAAGTTTAGGTCGGGCATGGTGGCTCATGCCTGTAATCCCAGCACTTTGGGAGGCCGAGACAGGCAGATCACGAGGTCAGTTCGAGACCAGCCTGACCAACATGGTGAAACCCTGTCTCTACTAAAAATACAAAAATCAGCCGGGCGTGGTGGCCCGAACCTGTAATCCCAGCTACTCAGGAGGCTGAGGCAGGAGAATTGCTTGAACTTAGGAGGTGGAGGTTGCAGTGAGCCAAGATTGCACCACTGCACTCCAGCCTGGGCAACAGAGTGAGACTCCGTCTCAAAAATAATAAGTTTAATATTTCCTGTACCATATTAATTTTAACATAAGTCATGTTTCTACAAAATGACTTGAAACATTAGAAAAACCAGACATCTACAAATGTATGTTATCCATTTCTATAAAGGCTCATAGGATTTTCTTTTTTATTTTCGTTATTTATTTTTGAGACAAGGTCTCACTCTGTACTCAGGCTAGAGTGCAGTGGTGCAGTCACAGCTCACCGTAGCCACAAACTCCTGGGCTCAAGTGATCCCTAGCCTCCCAAGTAGCTGGGACCACAGGTGCAAGCCACTGCACTTGGCTAATTTTTAAATTTTTTGTGGAGACAGGGTCTCCCTGTGTTGCCCAGGCTGGTCTTGAACTCCTGGGCTCAAGCGATCCTTTCACCTCAGCCTCCCAAAGTGCTGAAATTACAGGCATGAGCCACGATGCCAAGCTGATTTTTCTTTATTATTATAATTGATTTATTTTTTAGAGATAGGTTCTTGCCCTGTTGCCCAGGCTGGAGTGCTGTGGCATGATCATAGCTTACTGTAGCTTCAAATTCTTGGGCTCAAGTGATCCTCCTGCTTCAGCCACTCGAGTAGTTAGGACTACAGGCACCCACCACCATACCCAGCTAATTAAAAAAAAATTGTTGACCGGGTGCGGTGGCTCACATCTGTAATCCCAGCACTTTGGGAGGCTGAGGTGGGCGGATCATGAGGTCAGGAGATCGAGACCATCCTGGCTAACACGGTGAAATCCCGTCTCTACTAAAAAATAGAAAAAATTAGCCAGGCGTGGTGGCAGGCGCCTGTAGTCCCAGATACTCAGGAGGCTGAGGCAGGAGAATGGCGTGAACCTGGGAGGTAGAGCTTGCAGTGAGCTGAGATCATGCCACTGCACTCCAGCCTGGGCAACAGAGCAAGACTCCGTCTCAAAAAAAAAAAAATTTGTTTTGTAGGGTCAGGTTTTTGCTATGTTGCCCAGGCTGGTCTCGAACTCCTGGCCTGGAGTGATTCTCCTACCTTGGCCTCCCAAAGTGCTGGGATGGCAAACGTGGGCTGCCATGCCCGTTGAACCAGGAGGTCGAGGTTGCGGTGAGCTGAGATGGTGCCACTGCACTTCAGCCTGCTGGGCAACAGAGCAAGACTCTGTTTAAAAAGAAAAAAAAAAAAAGAAAAAAAATAGCCTTCCCCTTGTCCTGAGCACTTAGGCAGAATTTTTGCTCAAAATCTTAATTATTATTTTTGCATTCCTAGCATGTAGTGGGAGTTATAAATTAGTTATGAGGTAACTCTTGCACTGGGACAGAATTCAACCTAGTATTAGGACTAGGGCTGGGCGCAGTGGCTCACGCCTGTAATTCCAGCACTTTGGGAGGCCAAGGCGGGCGGATCACTAGGTCAGGAGATCGAGACCATCCTGGCTAACACGGTGAAACCCCGTGTCCACTAAAAAAAAAAAAAAATTAGCTGGGCGTGGTGGCAGATGCCTGTAGTTCCAGCTACTTGGGAGGCTAAGGCAGGAGAATGGCGTGAACCTGGGAGGCAGAGCTTCCAGTGAGCCCAGATCGCACCACTGCACTCCACACTCCAGCCTGGGCGACACAGCGAGACTCCATCTCAAAAAAAAAAAAAAAAAAAAAAAAAGAACTAGGCAATGTTAAGCATTAGACTAAATCTCAGGCTGGCTTGTTTATTTAACCACCAGCTACTATACTTTTTCTTAAAAACAGAAATGCTAAGGATTAGGAAGAAAGAGGAAAAATATGTCCAGAAGGAAAAAGCAGGATAAGAGGGAAAACTATCATAATTTCTCATTACTATCAATGACAAAATGAGAACGTCTCATTTAAATCACATTATCTTTTCCCTACATCCCCATTATCCCATCAGACAAATCTTCTAACTCTACTGCTGAAGCCTCTCCCATCCAAGCTCCCTTCTCCTTTCATTACCACTACCCTGCCCAAATACCGCCCCTTAATATCCTTGCCTGAACTATTCCAATAGCTTATTTATGTATGTTCAATCCATCTTCCAGAATAGCCACCATTGATTTTCCTAAAGCAATGTTCAGTAATGAAAATATAAACCTAATTAATGTTTATTCCTTAATAAAATATTAACAAATGGTCTTTTAACCCTAACATACTCAAAGGAATACAAACATAAAGGATATACAAAATTTTGTCTGGTTACTTTTTTTTTTAATAAATAGAGACAGGGTCTCACTAGGCTGCCCAGGCTGGTCTTGAACACCTAGGCTCAAGGGATCCTCCTGCCTCAGCCTGTGCTGGGATTACAGGTGTGAGCTACTGCGCCTGGCCTGGTTACTTTCATCTTCATAAAGAAGAAACTGCCTTTGGGAAGTAGAATAGGTGCCTCTGCCCACCCTTAATAATTCCCACTTCAAAATATCCAAAAACCACACTCACATAACTGGCTGTCGTGCAGTCTCTTCCACATATGGAGTGAAACTGGGAAGCACAGCGGGTACAGCTATCAGTGAAGCTGTATTGCCACGAGGCTGGAGATGAAGAAGAAAACTAAAATTACCATAGTTTTATGTTCTCAGACAGCATATATAGACCATGGCTAAATATTCAAGAGGAATTAAAAGAGATGGTAAAAATACTTCTCTACCCTAAATGTGAAGTCTTTGTTGTGTCAGCAAAGCACTGGATCTAAGAGTCCTTACCCTGTGTTCCAAGGACCTGCCTGTGTTCCAAGGGCCTGCTTGCAGCTCATTCTCTTTGGCCCTGGGCATGGGGGGTGCTATCCATGGCTGGACTGTAGGCTTAGACAACTCTGCTGTAGAAGCCTCATCAGCATTTTCATCAAAAACAGTAATTCTACTATTATTTTGCATCTGTTGAGGAAATGGATTTTGGAGTCCTCTGTTCTGGCTTGGAGCTAGGAGCAAAAATATTAAAACCTCATGTAAAATGTTTCATTATTAACTTAGATGCCAGATAAAGTATACCTATTCTTCCTCAACTCAAGGACAGTATTTCCACTACAACAGAAAAAAAAAAAGAAATTTTAAAAATAATCTTTAAAAAAATTAATAAATCAAAAATAGAATCGTTTTATCCATTCTTTGTTACTTATATTCTGCCTTCTTTTCCCTCCTCCAGTCACCCCACATCTTTTATTCACAAATTTCCAAAAAAGACATTCTGCATCTTCCTTCAGTCATCATTATAACATTATCTAGTTTTATCAGAAACTAACCTAAGTTTTATTCTTCAGTTTTAAATTTTCTCTCAATGGAAATCAGCAGAGATATACTGGAACTAGAGAATACAAAATTAACCCATTTATTAGGGGTTTTCTCTGTTGTGGGGCTGGTTATTAACCAAGCTTCATCATGATCTGGATGAAATAGCCTTTGGGACCATACACTCCCTATATCCTAATTCTAGAACCACCAAGTAACATTCTGATTATTGATAAATTGATACCAGGAAAGAAATAAGAGATTAAAAAAACAGCCTGGTTTACATGTCTAACTGCTATAAATTTAGTAAATAAAAGCTTATTATTCTCTGTACCTTCTGCTCAATTTTGCTATGAACCTAAAACTACTCTAAAAAATAGTCAGTGTTGTCCAGATGCAGTGGCTCACACCTATAATCCTAGCTACTTGGGAGGCTGAGGCAAAAGAACTGCTTGAGCCTAGGAGTTTGAAGCTGCGGTGAGCTATGATTGCACTACCACGTTTCAGGCAACAGAGCGAGAACCTATCTCTCAAAAAAAAAAAAAGTCCATGTTAATTAAAAAAAATTATTGCTGATCTTTGGGTATATAGAGAGTCTAATTTCTGGTCCCAAAGGGCTCTGAAGGCAGGGTTCTTAACCATATTAGTATCATTCTCTGAGGCTTTGGTATATGTAAGCTTCACTTTAACAACACCTGCTATGTTACTACATATCTTCTTTCAACTAACAATTCAAACTCAGAAAATCTTGATGCTTCCTAAATGTTAGGTCTTTCTTAATTAAGACACAAAATTACTGATGCATTTTGATTTTACTGCACACTGTAATATTAGCTCTCCTTTGACTTCCTTCTTTTTGCTACTCAGTATTCAGCAAACTAGAAGTGTCCACAGGTATATTTATGTATTATCTTCTTACATGATTTTACCACTAGAAACTAACAGTTTTCCGAAATAACGTTTAACAAACTTACCCTTGAGAGCACCTCCTACACGGATGATTGGAGCTCTTGCTGTCTTTTTCCCTTTGCTCTTTAGTTCAGCTAGTGTGCTTCGTTGTGGTACAGAAGACTCAAAAACTTCCTCCTCTTCTTCTTTCTCAAGTGCCAACAGAGTTTGCCGAGACACTCGAGCTTGGAATTGTCTAAAGTAGCAGAATGCACAACTTTTAGTGAGGTGACCACTATTTTACCAGACTCAAAATTTCCAATTTGTTAAAGTAAACAAATTAGAAGAGCAGGCTGGGGGAAGAATGCAGAAATATCCCAAAGAACATGTTTATTCTCTCAGAAGTAAAGAGAGTCACCTTAAGATCATGAAAAGTTTTGGCTAGAATTATTTAACTCTCCCTTTAAATGCCCAAGTTTGACCAATTTAAATTATTCTGAAAATCACCATTAAGTTGATCTGAGGATCAGGTTAGGGTTATTAAGACTAAGATCACAGAGTTTATTAAGATTAGAGTTTTCCCACTAACTTTTTATTAGAAAACTTGACCCACCAATTGTTAACACTGTGCCACATCTATTTTATCACTGTGTCTCTTTTTCTATACACATGCATGCGCGCACGTGCACGCACACACATATACGGTTTCTCCTGACCTATATGAAATGAAGTTGCATATGACATGACATTGTACTTTAGCAAAGCTGGCAGAAGTTTGAAAAGTAAACTTCCTATGCTGCTGCCACAGTTTTAAGTATTATCAGAAGAGATTCTCCATTCCTACCACTGCTTCATTTAACTAGCCTTAAAAAGTATTATCATAAGGGTAAAAAAAACCCCAAAAAACCCAGAATAAATTGCAGGTGTTGGCCAAGATGGAGTATGCCCACTGTACCTTTTCTCTTTCTCTCACTGATAGGAATTAAAAACTATAGACCATATACAAAAAAAGCAACTAACTGAGGGCTCTGAAAAGTCAACAAAAGCAAGCAGACTGTGGAGAGGGGTCAAAACTTGAAGAAACAACCCACGCAGGATTGTTTCCTGTTTTTTTATTCTTCTATTTTCTCTTGTGGTTTTGAACTGTTGCAGTGGTGGTATGTGAATGTAAAACTCAGAGAAACCCCATCTTTCTGGCCTGAGGACTGGGAAAAGAGGACTCTGAAGGCCAAAGAATATGGGAGGAGAACTGCAAAGGAATGAGCTGAACAAGAGGATCTCCTAATTCTGTATGTGAATTGGCATACATCTTAGGTTCCCTCTTGAGCTATGCATGCACAGGGTAGATTCAAAGCAGCACAGAAAAGGCTTTGAGAACTGAACAATGATATAAACCACTGCCCAAGCCCCAGATTAACCCTTAAGCAGGACATGCATGGGACAGACCCAAAGCAACACAGCAAAGGTCTTGAAAACTGAACTGACAGTGGAACCAACAGCCACACAAGATGACAAAGAACTTGTAATATCTGAAGTGTGGTTGTCTACTAAGACAAAAACATAGATATTCTCCAGGGAATATTGGCCAACAGGATCAGAGTCTTATAACATATGGTCAGGATAAATGTCCAGGGTACAAGAATTACTTGACACACAAAGAACTAGAAAAATGTGACCAACTTTCAAAGGAAAAAACAATAAGCAAATGCAAACATAAAATGACCCAGATGGTATAGTTTTCAGATGGAGATTTTATTTTGTTTTTTGAGATGGAGTCTCATTCTGTCACCCAAGCTGGAGTACAGTGGCACAATCTCGGCTCACTACAACCTCTGCCTCCTGGGTTCAAGCGATTCTCCTGCTTCAGCCTCCCGAGTAGCTGAGATTGCAGGCACCCACAACCATGCACAGCTAATTTTTGCATTTTTAGTAGAGACAGAGTTTCACCATATTGGCCAGGCTGGTCTCAAACTGCTGACCTCAAGTGATTCCCCCGCCTTGGCCTCCCAGCGTGTTGGGATTACAGGCGTGAGCCACTGTGCCCAGCCTGGAGATTTTAAAGTACCTAATATAACTATGTTCCATGAGATGAAGGTAAAAACATTTGAAATGAATGGAGAGACAGAAATTCTCAACAGAGAAACAGAAATTATAAAAAAGAATGAAACAGAAATTTTAGAATTGAAAAATACAGTATCTGAAATAAAAAATTTATGTTGAATGGTTTCAATAGCAGGATGGAGATGGAAGAGAAAAGAATAAGTGAACCTGAAGACAGAGCAATAAAAATGGGCCAATCTGAAAAACAAAAAGAAAAATGGTTAAACAGAGCTTCAGGGACCTATGGAATGATATCAAAAGGTTTAATTTGGACAGATTATTGGTAGCAGAGTCGGGGGAAATGGTCTAAAATTTGTGCAACTGAAGTCTCAGAGAGAGAAAGAAGAAAGAGATAATAGGTATAAAAAATCATTTTAAAAATAACGGCTGAAAACTTGTCAAATTTTGTGAAAGGCATACATTTACAAATTCAAAAGGCCCAGTGAAGCCCAGATTAAATGTAAAGAAAACCACATCTAGGCCAGGCGTGGTGGTTCACGCCTGTAATCCCAGCACTTTGGGAGGCCGAGGCGGGTGGATCACCTGAGATTGGGAGTTGGAGACCAGCCTGACCAACATGGAGAAACCCCATCTCTACTAAAAATAGAAAATTAGCTGGGTATGGTGGCGCATGCCTGTAATCCCAGCTACTCAGGAGGCTGAGGCAGGAGGATCACTTGAACCCGGGAGGTGGAGGTTGCTGTGAGCTGAGATCGTGCCACTGCACTCCAGCCTAGGCAACAGAGCTAGACTCTGTCTAAAAAAAAAAAAAAAAATCACATCTAGACACATCACAATCAAACTTCTGAAAACCAAAACTAAACAAGAAAAAATCTTGGACAAGGCCAGAGGAAAATCAACACATTATGTATAGGTCAGGAACTACTAAATGACTACAGATTTCTTATTAGAAACCAGAGAGGGCCGGGCGCAGTGGCTCATGCCTGCAATCCCAGCACTTTGGGAGGCCGAAGCAGGCTCATCACGAGATCAGGAGATTGAGACCATCCTGGCTAACATGGTGAAACCCCATCTCTACTAAAAATACAAAAATTAGCCAGCCGTGGTGGCAGGCACCTGTAGTCCCAGCTACTCGGGAGGCTGAGGCAGGAGAATGGCGTAATCCCAGGAGGCGGAGCTTGCAGTGAGCCGAGATTGCGCCACTGCACTGTAGCCCGGACGACAGAGCGAGACTCCGTCTCAAAAAAAAAAAAAAAAAAAAAAAAAGAAAAAGAAAAAAGAAACCAAGGAGGCCAGAAGACAGTGGGATAACATCATTAAAGTGGTGAAAGAAAAGAAATGTTGGCTGGGTACAGTGGCTCATGCCTGTAATCCCAGCACTTTGGGAGGCCAAGGTGGGCAGACCATTTGAGGTCAGGAGTTTGAGACCAGCCTGGCCAATGTGATGAAACCCCATCTCTTCTAAAACTACAAAAATTAGCCGGGTGTGGTGGCGCATGCCTATAGTCCCAGCTACTCAGCTACTCGGGAGGCTGAGGCAAGAGAATCACTTGAGCCTGGGAGGTGGGGGTTGCAGTGAGCTGAAATCGTGCCATCCATTGCACTCCAGCCTGGGTGACAGAGCAAGACTCCATCTCAAAAAAAAAAAAAAAAAAAAGAAACGAAACGTTGACCCAGAATTCTATATCCAGTAAAAATATTTTTCAGGAAAGAAGATGAAATGAAGACATTCTCAGATGAAGAAAAACTAGGAGAATTAATTGACAACGGACCTGCTCTAAAAGAAAGTGGCTAAAAGAAGTTCTTCAGACTGAAGGGAAATGATACTAGAAGGGAACTTGGAGCTTCAGGAATGAAGAAAAAACAACAACAAAAAAAAGGGTAAACACAACAGACTATTTTCCTAAGTTATTTAAGAGATATATATATATATATATATATGGCTTTTGAAAGCAAAACAAAATATTGTCTGGTGGGGTTTTCAATGCATATAGATGTAATACCTATGACAAGTATACCAAAAGGGTAGGGAATATAAAGGAACTTTTATGGTTATAAAGCTTCTGTATTTTACTTTAAATGGTAAAACATTAAGTAGAATGTGAAAGTTTAGGTATATTATATACCTTATAGCAACCACTTAAAGTTGTAAGAGGCAAAAAGCCAATAACACAAATTAAAATGAAATACTAAAAAACACTCAGATAATCCAAAAGAAGGTAGGAAAGAGGCTGAAGAGGAACAAAAGGCATGGAACAAATAATAAAATAGTAGACCTAAACCCAACAATATTAAAAATTCTATTAAATGGTCTCAACATAACAAAAAAGATATTGTTAGAGTTCACAGAAAAAACAAGACCCAACTATTTGCTGTGTATAAGAAACCCACTTAAAAAATATAAAGACATAGGTTAAAAGTTAAAGAAGCTAATTAACATAAGTGTCACTAAAGTTGGTATATAACCCTCCACTGCTAAATTCAACTAGCTTAACAAAAGGGTAAAAAGAAAATGACACAAAAACCTGTTACGCAAATATAACAGTATTATTTTGTAATAGCCAGAAGGTGCAAACAACCTAAATGTTCACTAACTGATGAATGGATAAATAATATTCATATGATGGAATATCATTCGGCAATAAACAGGAATAAAGTACTGATACATGTCACAACTATGTTCATTTATGATGAACCTTGAAAACAGTATGCTGAAAATCCCTGTTCCACCCTTCCCTCCCTGGAAAAAAAAAAAGGAAATAGTATGCTAAGTAAAAGAAGCCAATCACAAAAGACCATGTATTGTAGGATTCCATTTAACTAAAATGTCCAGAATAAGCAAATCCATAGAGACAAAAAGCAGAGTAGTGGTTGCCTAGGAGCGAGGTAAGTAGGAATGGAGAGTGACTGCTAATGGGCATGGGGTTCATTTTAGGGTGTTAAAAATGTTCTAAAATTAGATTGTAATGATGATTATACAACTCTAAGAGTGGTTTTTTTTTAATGTGGTTTTTAAAAAGTAAAGAAAGGGAAAAGATGTATCATGCAAACAAAAAGGAAGCTGGAATAGCTGTACTAATATCAGACCAGGTAGACTTCTGAATAAGGAGTATTATCAGGGATAAAGGGAGACATTATATAATGATACAGGGGTCAATTCTAAATGTTTATGCATCTAAAAGAACTTCAAAATATATTAGGCAAAACTGATGGGACTAAAAGAAATAGACAAAATCACAAAGAGGCTTCAAAACCCTTCTTAGTAATTGATATAACAAGTAGACAGAAAGTCATCAATGATACAGAAGACCAGAACAGACTACCAGTCAACTTGCCCTAAATTATATTTACAGAATATTACACTCTAAAAAACAGAATACACATATTTTTCAAGTGTACATGAAGCATTCACCAAGATAAACCATAATCTGGGTGATAAAACAAACCTTAACAAATTTAAGACTTGAAACCATATACCTTATGTTCTCTGACCACTATGGAATTAAACTAGATATCAATAACAGAGATATCTGAAAAATCCAAAAACACTTCCTAACTGAAGTAATACACTTCTAAGTAACTCATGGGTCAAAAGGAAGACACGGGGTAAGCTAGAAAATATTTTGAACTAAATTAAAATGAAAATACAGTATATCACAACTTGTGGGATACAACTAAAGCAGTGCTTAGAAGGGAATTTAGAGCATTAAATGCTTATATTAGAAAAAGAGAAAGGTCTAGAATCAGTGATCTAGGCTTTCACCTTAAACTACAAAAAGAAGAGCAAGTTATATCCAAAGCAAGCGGGAAGAAATAAAGTGCAGAAATAAAATTAAGAACAGAAAATCATTAAGAGAAAAAAAAAAAAAATCAATGAAATGAACCCAAAAGCTGGTTTTCTAAAACAATCAGTAAAATTGATATCCAAGCCAGACTGAGAAGACATAAATTACCAGTATCAGGAGAAAGGGAGAATCACTATATAACCTACAGACATTAAAAGCATAATAAGGGAATATTATGAACAACTCTATGCCCACAAACTCATTAACTTGGATGAATGGATCAATTCCTTGAAAGACAAAAATCTACCAAAGTTTACTTAAAAAAAAAAAAGCCTAAATAAATGGAGAATTATACCATATTCCTGTATAATCCTAATCAAAATCCCAGAAAGCTGATTCTAAAACTTATATAGAAAGTCAAATGAACTACCAGAGTTAAATATAAGAATAAAGTTAGAGGACTCATTTTATCTGATTTCTAGACTTACTATAAAAGGTATAGTAATCTAGATAGCATGGTAAACACTAATGGATAGACACGTACATCGGTAGAAAAAATAGAATAATAGAAATAAACCTACATGAATATGATCAACTGATTTTTTAAAAATCAAGGTATAAAGGCAATTCAATGGAGAAAGGTTAGTCTTTTCAACAATTGGCATTGGAACAAATGAACATTAATATGCTAAAAAAGAACCTTAACCTCTATCCTCTACAAAAATTAACTCAAAATGGATCAGGGATCTAAATGTAAAAAGTGAAATTATAAAACTTGAAGATGAAAACTTGAAGATGAAAATCTCTGTAACAATCTTTGGCTAGACAAAAAATTCTCAGACACAACATCAAAAGCACGATCCATACAAGAAAAACTTGTAAATTAGACTTCTTTAAAATTAAAAACTTCTGTTCTAAAAAAGACAGTTAAGAAAATGAACAGACCAGGCTTAAGCTGAGAGAAAATATTTTCAAATCACATATCTGACAAAGGCTTATACTTACAATCTATAAAGAACTTTTACAACTCAAATGCATTATGCTAAATCAAACAGGCCAAACTCAAAAGGCTATATATTATACGATTCCATTTATATGGCAGTCTGGAAAAGGCAAAACCACAGGCTGGAGAATAAATCAGTGTTTGCCAGGGGTTTGGGTTCAGCATAGGTACTAATTACAAAGGGAATTCTTTTGGGGGGTGTGAAATTATTCTGTATCTTGTTAATGATGATGATCACAAGTCTTTTTACTCCTAGTACCATATACCAAAGAGTGGATTTTACTCTATGATAAATAAAATTTTTAAAATATATCTTTAAAAAAATTGAATAGTAACTAAGTAAACTTAACATGCCAATCCACCAGAAAGCACTTTATTCAGATGCAAAAAAGAGATAATTTATTTCTATTATTTTTAGAGTTAAGACAAGCTCCAAAGAAAGTTTACCGGTGCTGGGACTGTAGTCTTTCTAGTGGTTCAGCCTTCTGTTGAATCCCTTCCTGAAATATCGCATCTGCTTTCCTAAAGTTTTCTCTAGCTTCATATTCTTCTGCCCATGAGATATAGAACTGAGCAAGTGAAACACCAATCCCTTGGTTGTGCAAGTAACTGTACATATCCAAAGGCTCATTGCATAAACGCCCCTGTAACAGAAGTGTTAACAGTTAACCAATTTCTACTCACGTATTGAATGCCTATTAGTTGCCAAACAATCACTGGAGATACTACATGCAATTCCTGTATTGAAAAAAAAATCTATTATTACAATGTGATAAGGACCATACTGGGAGGACCTAAAAAAGAGGCAAAACTGAGCGATTTGTAAGAAGAGTTGGAGAGTAAAGGCTTCAAGAAGGAGTAATAAGCCAGGTGCAGTCGCTTCTGCCTGTAATTACAGCACTTTGTGAGGCCGAGGTAGGAGTAGGAGGATCGCTTGAGGTTAGGAGTTTGAGACAAGCCTGGGCAACATAACAAGACCCTGTCTCTACAACAAAATTTAAAACTTTAGCTGGGCATGGTGGAAGGCGCCTGTAGTCCTAGCTACCCAGGAGGCTGGGGCAGGAGAATCACTTGAGCCCAAGAGTTTGAGGCTGCAGTGAACTATGATGGTGCCACTGCATTCTAGCCTGGGTGACAGAGTGAGACCCTGTCTCTAAAGAAAATTAAAAAAAGGGGGGAGGAAGGGGTTAACATTTGAGCTTAGCCCTGAAGGAGAAATGGACTTTTATCAGGTGGAAAATGGGAAGGGAAGGGTATTTCAGCCAGAGAAAATAGCATAAGCAAAGATACAGAAAATTAAAAGTTATGTAGGGGTCCAGGCTAGATAGTTGTCTGGAGAAAAAGGCTGTGATAGGTCTTGAATATCAAGCTAATCAATTTTGAATCTGCCTAATAGTAATTGTTGTATGTGTTAGGGTGGGTGAGCGATAAGCAAAGGAATGACATAGTCAAATCTGTGTTTTAGAAGGGACATTATGAGACCATATACAATGTAGATAATTCTATTAGCAAGAGGGAGGAAAATATCACTAAAAACCTCACATCACAAACATTTTGATAAATTTTTTCAGTCTTTTTTCCCTTAAGGATGAAAGGATATGTATTATCTTATAAAGTTTTGATCATAATAAAATTTGCTTTTATTCCACTATAATACTGCATCATTCACTTTTCCACGCTGCTGCTTACACTTAACCATTATTTTTAATTTTTTTTTATTTCTACAGACAAGGTCTTGCTCTGTTGCCCAGGCTGGACTGCAGTGACGCAATCATAGCTCACTGCAACCTCGAATTCTTTTCACTATTATTTTTAAATGAATGCATCATGTTTCATCTAATAGAGCTTCCATAATTTAATTGTTCATCTACTTCTGGATATTTAAACAACTTCTAATTTTGCCCAATTATAAATAATTCTATAAAAAATAACTTCATGCATACAACCTTTCACATTTTACATTATTCCCTTAAGAGAAATTCCTAGAACTATGTTAAAAGGTAACAAATTGCTTTCTGAGAAGGTTGTAAAAATTGTTAATGCTAAAATTTAATAATTCGCAAAAATACTCATTCCACCAGACTCTAATCAGCATTAGAAGCTATTAAAAACAATCCCTAAATTCACATAAAAATAGCATTTTTTTTCCTTTTTTTTGAGACAGAGTCTCACTCTGTCGCCCAGGCTGGAGTGCAGCGGCGCGATCTCGCCTCACTGCAACTTCCGCCTCCCAGGTTCAAGTGATCCTCCTGCCTCAGCCTCCCGAGTAGCTGGGACTATAGGCGCCCGCCACCACGGCTGGCTAATTTTTGTATTTTTAGTAGAGATGGGGTTTCACCATATTGGCCAGGATGGTCTCCATCTCTTGACCTGGTGATCCACCCACCTCGGCCTCCCAAAGTGCTGGGATTACAGGTGTGAGCCACCATGCCTGGTCAAAAATAGCATTTCAATGTTCTAGTTAGGAGTTCTGTTACTACTAGAGAAGCTACCATTTGTTACTTTACCAAATATCTCCTATTTATCTGTTCCTAATTGTCTAGCCCAGGTTAAGTCCGTCTTGTATTTGTTCCTATAGAACTCGTAATTTTCTCTCTGTTACAGTTACAATTAATGGCTTCATATTTGTCTTTCAGATAAACTAAGCTCTACAAACTCAGAAGACATTGCTATGATATGCCAGCCCTTAATCATGGTCTAGTACAACAAATGCTAAATAAATGGAATGTTTTATTTATATCTTTAACAAAAATAATTAGTATTTTATAGTTTAATTTTGCAGTAATTCAGTAAATGGATTTTTCTTGCTTATTTAAATTAGTGATGTTTTCTCATATGTGGTGGTGTTTCAAGAAAAGTTATAACTCTGAATGTGCTACCAGCATAAGATCCAGTCTTTGATATCTGTCACTACATAAATATAGCTTAACATTGATTTCACTATTTTGAGAGCTTTCTGAATGGTTCTGGTGTTCTTGTGCGTGGGACAGCCAGTAAAGATCAGGTTATTCAGAGTGCTGAATAAGATCACTTAAGAAATAACATAAATAAAAGGACTATATGGTTAGATTAATAGATCTAAAAGTTAAATAAACCTTTTTTTTGGTAACCCTTAAATTGCCAAACTAAAATAATTTTATACCTTTAAATAAAAATACCAGAAGTTTTCCAGAAACAATTTTTTCCTTAGCTAGACTGTAGGAGTCACATAAAATAACTGACTGGAGAAATCCTTCTGCAAAGCGAAAGAAAGTAGTGTGAAGAATTCATCTGTTACTCCTCTTGACCAGACCCACAAAGAAAAAGCAATAGTTTAATATGTACCTCGTTAGCCACATACAAAGTTCAGATTATTGCTGATCATTCTAGTGCTGATCATTTGAATTTGATGGTTGTCTATACCCGTGCTTCTCAAAAAATCTGTGGCGAAGGGGCCAGTTTTATTGTGTGTATGTGTGTGTTCCATTATGGACTGATATAAAGTACAATAAAAACAGAAGTTACTCAAAGAATGATGATGTGCTTGGATGTCCCGGCAATATCAAATTGTTACCAAAGTTTCCAAAAGCTCACTTTCAATTTTTGAACTTATCTCAAACAGTATGCAAACCCTTCTTTCAGTAGCACTGATCTAGATTATGCTTTTTACTTCATGATATTATTCTTCTTCAGTACAAGCACCAGGTTATCAAAAATAAACAGATAAATTATTCTAATTAATTGTTACTTTTAACAACTCCAATTAAATATAATCATAGAATCCTGGGATTAAAAGTCACTTTAGAGGTGCAGCTAGTCCAATCTTTTTTTTTTTTTTTTTTTTTTATCTTTTTTTCTGAGACTGAGTCTCGCTCTGTCGCCCAGGCTGGAGTACAGTGGCATGATCTCAGTTCATGCAACCTCTGTCTCCTGGGTTCAAGCGATTCTCCTGCCTCAGCCTCCCGAGTAACTGGGATTACATGTGCGCACCACCACGTGCGGCTAATTTTTGCATTTTTTGTATTTTTAGTAGAGATGAGGTTTCACCATGTTGGCCAGGTTGGTCTCGAACTCCTAACCTCAGATGATACACTTACCTTGGCCTCCCAAAGTGCTGGGATTACAGGTGGGAGCCACCACACCCAGTCTCCAATCTTATAATAAATTACATGTAAAGATATTATTTAGGCTAGTGACAAATGAAGGACAAAATCCATTGTTACACCACCAGGGTCCACAGACTCCAGGCTAACAAATCTGTTTAGCATTCTTTGGGTGCCATTCTTCATTATAAGTTTCTGTAACTAATATCCATAGGGTAATTTCTCCAACCTTTCACTAAGGATGTAAAAATATTTGTCGAATGTCCTGAGGAAATCAAGATACCTCATGGCTTCAGGATTTACCTAATTTTCTATACTTGTAACTACAGTTGACCCTTGAACAACACAGGTCTGAACTGCATAGGTTCACATATACAGATTTTCTTCCATCTCTGCCACCCGTGAGACAGCAAGACGAACCCGTTTTCTTCCTCCGCAGCCTACTCAATGTGAAGACGAGGATGAAGATCTTTACAATCATCCACTTAATGACTATTAAATATACATTCTCTTCCTTATAATTTTCTTAATAACATTTTCTTTTCTCTAGCTAAGATTGTTGTAAAAAAAAAGATATAATACATATGGCATACAAACTATGTGTTCATCAACTTTATGTTATTGGTAAGGCGTCTGGTCAACAGTAGGCTATTAATAATTTTGGGGGCCAAAAGTTATATGCAGACTTTCAACTGGGTGAGGGGTGGGCACACCTAAGCCCTGTGTTGTTCAAGGGTCAACTGTATTGGAAGTTTAAAATCAGTCCTCCTTAAGACTTTAGTAAGAAATTTATTTCTTACTTTATTACTTTATTTTAGTAAGAAATTTATTTCTTACTTTATTACTTTATTTTAGTAAGAAATTTATTTCTTACTTTATTACTTTTAGTAAGAAATTTATTTCTTACTTTATTACTTTATTTTAGTAAGAAATTTATTTCTTTATTTTAGTAAGAAATTTATTTCTTACTTTATTTTATTAAGAAATCTTATCAGTTTTAATGCCAAGAGATTTATTTTAGTAAGAAATCTTATCAGTTTTAATGTCAATATTTCATCATATTGTGGTGGTTGTAAATAATTCCAAATATTTATTGTTTATTTTTTTAAATTTATTTTAGAATAAAAGCAGTAATATTAATGTCTAACAAACGGTGGTCATTTTTTTAATAAAAAATATGTTTTTCCTACATGTCAAGTAAGACAGTACAAAGTAGTGCTGGGATTACAGGCATGAGCCACCATGCCCAGCTGAGGCAGACATTTTTGGCTGTAGCAATATACTAGGTGAAAAAAGTCCAAAGACCAATAAAAAACTAAAATATCACTTCTTTGTGTTGATGACTTTCATAAAGGAGTGAAAGGGATACCAGAATCACAGAGGGAAGTTTTTCCCCAAACAACCACACTGCTGCCAAATGTTAGCTCCTGCACCTCCTCCTCCAGTACAGTTGAATGGCCCAATTATGTTTTTCTGTTTTGGTTGTTTTTTTGAGACAGGATCTTGCTCTGTCACTTGGGCTGGCGGACAGTGGTGCAATCTCAGCTCACTGTAGTCTGGACGTCCCGGGCTCAAGCGACCCTCCCACCTCAGCCTCCTGAGTAGCTGGGACTACAGGTGCTGTGCCACCACACCTGGTTAATTTCTGTACTTTATGAGATGGGGTCTCACCAATTTTGCCCTGACTAGTCTTGAACTCCTGGGCTGAAGCGATCAGCCCACCTCAGCCTCTCAAAGTGTTGGGACTACAGACATGAAACACTGCACCCAGTTATGTTTAGAATAAATAAATAAGTAATCCGGACTAGGGGTGTTGGCTCACGCCTATAATCCCAGCACTTTGGGAGGCCAAGGTGGGAGGATGGCTTGAGCTCAGGAGTTCAAGACCAGCCTGGGTAACAGAGAGAGAAGTCATCTCTATTAAAAATTAAAAAATTAGCTGGACGTAATGGCACAGCACCTGTAGTCCCAGCTACTCACGAGGCTGAGGCGAGAGGATTGCTTGAGCCCAGGAGGTTTAGACTGCAGTGAGCCATGATGGAGCCACTGCACTCCAGCCTGGGTGACAGAGTGAGACCTTGTTTCAAAATATAAAATAAATTATTAATCCATACTCACTGAGAGATCTACAGACTTTGCGATCAATCTTAAAAGGGCGAAAATACCTTATTATACTATATTTAAGTCCACCTTTAAGTAGAACCAATTTAAGAAGTATTGCATATTTATTAAATGTTTCCAATCTACTAAATGGTTCAAAATGGCTGTTTTACTTTTTTTTTGGTATACCAGATACCTCTAGAGAAAATCTCTTAGTTTAATATTTAAAACTCAGATGGCACTTGAGAAAGACTTACTAATTTAAGCCAGAGATTGAGAAATCGAGGATCACTATAATATCGTTTTTCTCCTTGTAGTGCTTCTACAGCTCTTTCTAATAACGTTGACATATTACTCTCCTTCCCACCTTGAGGATAGTTCTGCTCTGTCCAGCTGATATACCTAAATGGGAGGAAAAAGATAAGAACACATTTTAAATTGAACATGTACTTTTGTTCTTGCTCCAAGACCCATTCTGGATTTTAGCAGAAGTAAAGTATGTTTCTTTTGAGGTCCTCAATGACATACCCTAAGCCTGTATCCCTCAAACTTCTCCAAAGTATCTCTAGTACATGCTTCTGGGGAAAACTGAGGATAGGGATAGAAGGGTGTAGTTCAAAGTTGTACATCATAAACTTGAAATTTCTTGAATCTTAAACACCTCAGGAAGATATATTATGATTATTCTGGATCTCTGTGCCCCCAGGACACCACTGTCTACTCTGACACACACTCCATATACCCCAATTTGAGAAACATGGCCATAAGGACTTATCTGTTAATGTTTCTATTGTCCTTGTGAAATAAAAAGACCCACCTATCCCAAACATCCAGAGGGTCATTTCCAGTGTAAAATCGAATTTCATATTCAAATGCCCTGAAATGTAAACAGAAAAAGTTAGCATATGCAATAGTGACAACAGCCAATGAACAAGTATCACTTCCATTTTTATTCATGTAATAAGTAGGTAATATTGATCTAAATTATTGCACTAGAGTTTATGGGTTTGTTATAGAATAGAAAAAGGCCAGGCATGGTGGCTGATGCCTGTAATCCCGACACTTTGGGAGGCCAAGTGGGGTGGATCACTTGAGGTTAGAAGTTTGAGACCAGCCTGGGCAACATGGTGAAACCTCATCTCTACTAAAAACACAAAAATTAGCTGGGTGTGGTGCCAAGCACCTGTAATCCCAGCTACTCGGGAGGCTGAGGTGGGAAGAGCACTTGAACCTGGAAGTAGAGGCTGCAGTGAGCAGAGATTGCAGCACTGCACTCCAGCCTGGGCAACAAAGCAAGACTCTGTCTCAAAAAAAAAAAAAAAAAAAAAAGAATAGAAATAATTAAGATTCTACTTAACATAAGAAGAGAGAGAAAATATATAGAAATTAGAGAAACAAATTTCAAGACAACATACAGAAAAGTAGTATTAATACTACACAGCAGTTAAGAACTCTGGAACAAGACAACCTAGATTCAAATTCAGCTCCACCAATCACAAGCTGAGTAACACGGACAAGCTACTTAAAACTCTGTTTTCAGTTTCCTCATTTGTAAAATGGGGATAATAATAGTACTTTCTTATTAGGTTGACTAGTCTTAAATGTAAAGGGTTTACACACATGAACAAATATATAAATAAGAATTTTAAAGTTCAAAAAAAACTTCCATGGGTAACATTGGTCAGAGAAGAATAATACTATAAATAATTTGGAGAATACCTCAAAAAAAGGGTAAAATATGACTATAAAAAGCTGGGAAAGGCAGAGGGCTAAGACCAAATTAAGACTGACCAGTTAGAATAGAGGGGAAGAATTAGGTAATAAGCCAGAATTTGGATAATGATTAATAAAAATTGGATAAGCAGTTATGTTTGATCTAAAAATAATTAGTCCCTGACACATGGGAATTTATACTCTAATAAGAAAAACAAAGTACACAAATGAAAAATGAACTAGTAATACAAAGCAGGATACTAAATTACAGTTGCCAAGAATGGATAGTAAAGGCTTTAAGTCAAAAGGAGGTATCACAGAAGCAGCCTCAGAAGGTGAGACTCTGAAAGAACCATGGAATTTGAAAGAAAAACAGTTTTTTCAAGACAGAGGGAAACTAATATTGAATAAAATTACGAAGGTGGAAGAGCTCATCCAAAGGAAGGTGAGTGAACCCTAAGCTATAACATAAAGTCAGTACCGAGAGCAAATGGAGACCCCTGGAGAAGTAAGAAGCACATGCTTTAAATGTAAATTTAAAGACTTTGGATTCCATCTACTCCAGCCACTATTGGTTCTTTAATTGGAGGGCATCTTAAATATAAGATTTCAGAAAGATTAATCAAGCAACTTTATAAGGATAGCCAGGCATTAGAAGAAGGGACCACAGTTATGAGGCTAATATGGCAATTAAAGTGTGAAATAATGAGATTATCTGCAGAAATGGTAAAACAATAAAATCTAAGGCACTACTGATAAAAATCAGCAATCCTACCAATTGATCTATAGATTCAAACCAATGTAATCAAAATCCCAGTAGGCTCTTTTCTTTTCTCTTTTTCCTTTTCTTTTTTTTTTGAGACGGAATTTCGCTGTTGCTACCCAGGCTAGAGTGCAATGGCACAATCTCGGCTCACTGCAACCTCCACCTCCTAGGTTCAAGTGATTCTCCTACCTCAGCCTCCCGAGTAGCTGGGATTACAGGCATGCGCCACCACGCCCGGCTAATTTTGTATTTTTAGTTGAGACAGGGTTTCTCCATGTTGGTCAGGCTGGTCTTAAACTCCTCACCTCAGGTGATCCGCCTGCCTCGGCCTCCTAAAGTGCTGGGATTACAGGCTTGAGCCACCGTGCCCAGCCTTTTTTTTTTTTTTTCTTTTTCAGTAGGCTCTTTTCTAGAAATTGACAAGATGATTTCAAACTTTGTTTGCAAAGGCAAAGGACCAAGAATAACTAAAGCAATTTTGAAAAGAACAAAAGCTGTAGAACTCACTCTGCTGGACTTGCTATGTAAAACTAATCAAAACAGTGTATTTTATTGGTGAAAGGACAGACAATTTGATCAATGGAACAGAATATAGAGTCCAGAAATAACCCACACATATGTGGTCAAATGATTTTTGAAAAGGGCCCCAACGCAATTCAGTGAGGAAAGGAAAAAAAAAAATCTAACAAATGAGGCAGAACAACTAGAAAGATAACCCATATGAGAGGAAAAAAACTTGTTTACTCCAACCCCACACCATATACAAGGAAAAATTTAAGAAAAATCATACACCTAAACATAAAAGCTAAAATAATGCTTGGCTGGACGCAGTGGCTCATGCCCGTAATCCCAGCACTCTGGGAGGCCGAGGCGGGCGGATCACCTGAGGTCAGAAGTTCAAGACCAGCCTGGCCATGGGGAAACCCCATCTCTACTAAAAATACAAAAAATTAGCCAGGCGTGGTGGTGCGTGCCTGTAATCCCAGCTACTCAGGAGGCTGAGGCAGGAGAATCACTTGAACCCGGGAGGCGGAGGTTGCAGTGAGCTGAGATTGCGCTCCAGCCTGGGCAACAAGAGCAACACTCCGTCTCAAAAAAAAAAAAAAAAAAAAAAAAAGCTAAAATGAAGCTAGTAAAAGAAAACATAAGAGAGTAACTTTGTCACTTTGGGGTAGGCAAAAGTCTCCTGAAGAGGACACAAAAAATGCTAACCATAAAAGAAAAATACTAATTAATTGAACTTCATCAAAATTTAAAACTAAGCAGTTTAAAAAAAAAAAAACACCCAGAAAATAAACAGCCATGGGTGAGGGAAAAAAAATTTGCAACACATATATTTGATAAAAGACTAGTATAGAGACTTTATAAAGAACCCCTACTGAGGAGCATAGATTCAGGGAATCTTGAATCTATGCTCCTGAAACTTGAATCAGGGAAACTTGAATCTATACTCCTGGGAAAAGTAAATAAAGAACCCCTACAACACAATTTGAAAACTGGGCAAAATATCTAAACAGATACACCACAAAAGAAGATATACAAAAGGCCAAAAAGCATGTGAAAAAACGTTCACCATTATTAGTCACCAGGGAAATGCAAAGTAATGAGACACAACTCCACAAAACTAGAATGGCTAAAACGAAAAAGATCGACAACACCAAATACTGGAGTGGATTTGGTACAAATGAACTCTCATGAGTTGCTGGTAGAAATGTAAAATGTCACAACCTCCTTGGTAAACCAGTTTCTTCAACAGTTAAACATACATCTATTCTATGGTCCAACAATTCCACTCCAAGGGAAATGAAAATTATGTCTACTGCTGGGCGCGGTGGCTCACGCCTGTAATCCCAGCACTTTGGGAGGCTGAGGCGGGTGGATCACAAGGTCAGGAGATCGAGACCATCCTGGCTAACACGGTGAAACCCCGTCTCTACTAAAAAATAGAAAAAATTAGCTGGGCGTGGTGGCAGGCACCTGTAGTCCCAGCTACTCAGGAGGCTGAGGCAGGAGATTGGCGTGAACCCAGGAGGCAGAGCTTCCAGTGAGCCAAGATCGTGCCACTGCACTCCAGCCTGGCCGAAAGAGCGAGACTCCGTCTCTAAAAGAAAAAAAAAAAAGAGAGAGAGAGAAAATTATGTCTACAAAAAGCCTTGTTCAAGAATGTCCATAGCAACATTATTTATAAAGCACAAAACTGGAAGAATCTAAATATTCATCAATTGGTGAATAAATAAATGAAATCCTATTCAGCAATAAAAAGAGCAATCTACTGATGCATGTAACATGAAAAAATATGATGAATGAGGCTGAGTGCGGTAGCTTACGCCTGTAATCCCAGCACTTTGGGATGCCAAGGTGGGCGGATCACTTGAGCTCAGGAGTTCAAGACCAGCACAGCCAACATGGCAAGGACCCATCTCTACTAAAAATACAAAAATTACCCAGGCGTGGCGGCGCACGCCTGTAATCCCAGCTATTTGGGAGGCTGAGGTGGGAGAATCACTTAAAACCGGGAGGCAGAGGTTGCAGTGAGCTGAAATCAGGCCACTGTACTCCAACCTGGGTGATAGAGGGAGACCCTGTCATATTAAAAAAAAAAAAAAAATCCAAAGAGATGAATAAGAATAGTCATTGCATTATAATCCCAAATTATGATATTTTGCCAGTAATGGCAGTATTTCTTTTTGTCAGAGATTGAAGGTAGAAACTGATACTCTGATTTACCTTTTTTTTTAAAAAGCATATTTATCAAAACATGTATTAGTTAAAGGAGATCCACAGGTCCATTTGAATAACATAAGAGTATTTTTCAGCTTTTATTTATCCAGAGTTTGTTAAAATTATTGAGAACTTTCTGGTATAAATTCAATTGTTCTGAGGTTTACATGTCTTTGGAGACCACTTCTTTTTTTGTCATACTCTCAAAAATAAGTTCCTAACATAATACTTTTGGGAAGCATTGCAATATAATACTTGCTTTACTATGCTTATCACTGCCCCCTGTATAAAATGTATTTCTATTGATAAAAAGAGTTTCGCTGCACCACAGTGAAATGAAATCCTATAGCCCTTGTTCTTAATTATACCTGAGGACATCTTCAGATAGCTGTCATGTGATACGAAAGCAGGTAGAGAACAGATTCTCATACTACCAATTTTTGAAAAGTACTCATTATGCCATCTCTCATGGATCCACACCCACGTTATCTACAACATTTAGGATGAATGACGACAGGTTGAGACTCAGCCATTCTACACACCGTTTCTGCTGCTGAAGAGTATTGTTACAGGCAGATTCTTGTGCCAGTGCTCCCTGAAGCGTGGACATGATCCGCCCTTGCCTTAAAGGTTGTACATTTTCTTTACTCAGTTCCCATTCATCTCCCTCCAGGGACATGGCTTCACTGTGAAGAAGGAAACAAATGTAAATCTCATACCAACATTGACTATTATAGCACTAGATTATTGTAAATGTCTTCCGAAAGGTGATTATTCATGGTCTTGGGTTGAATATAGTGGACTGACACATAATTATTATTATTATTATATGCCTAAGCTTCTTTGTTAGCTGTTTTTCAAGTTTATGGCTACAGTATTGCCTGATAGAAGACAACTTGGCAAGGATATCGTAGACAGTACTATAAGAATAGGGCATGGCTATGTGCGGTGGCTCACACCTGTAATCCCACCACTTTGTGAGGCCGAAGTGGGAGGATTTCTTGAGCCAGGAGTTTGATACCAGCCTGGGCAACATAGCAAGACCCTGCCTCTTTCTTTAAAAAAAAAAAAAAAAAGAAAAATGAATAGGGCTTAAGGCAGAAAGAAAAGAAGGGAACAAAAGTGTTATAAATTTGGCAAAGTAGACAAAAAGGCAACAAGTAATTCTATGCCTACCATTGAATGCATCATCTAGTTTAATTTAAAATTAGTGCCGGATGTGGTAGCTCATGCCTGTAATCCTACCACTTTGGGAGGCTGAGTCAGGAGAAGTGCTTGAGCCCAGGAGTTCAACACCACCCTGGGCAACATAGGAAGACCCCCATCTCTACAAAAAGTGAAAAATTAGCCAGGCGTGGTGGTACACGCCCATGGTCGTGGCTACTTAGAAGACTGAGGTGGGAGCATTGCTTGGGTTCAGGGGTCGAAGCTGCAGTGAGCCATGATCACACCACTGCACTGCAGCCTGGGCAACAGAGCAAGACCCTGTCTCAAAAAAAAAACATTAAAATTAGCAAAGTGTGGGTGAGACTAATGTCCCATGTTTCAATGATGATTCAAAACTGAAGTTTGTACATATAAGTAGCTAAAAGCAGAAGCAAACAAACACAGTTTACTAGTCACAATTCCCTGCATCCTCACACCCAATTCTAGCAAGCCTACTGAGAAAACCCCCGAAACGTTTTGGAGGTAATTCCCATTACGTATTCTGCAATTCAGAGCCCTGCAATGGTTAGATAGAAGACTATTTCTAAGAGACATTACCTCTGGACTTAAAACAAAAAGAGAGACACATTGGCACTAATCTTTGAAATAGAGTGAAAGTTATATGTGACTTCAGTCTAGATGAGCACTGAAAACTCGTTGGAGACAGCTTCTTGGAAACTATGACTTTAATCAAAATGACATGTAACAAAACCAATTTTACCACAGGCTGATCGACATAAACAAAAGTTAAGTTCCTATGGCATATTTCTGGTCACAAAAACGTCACCAAACTTCTGAATAAAGACTCGAAACAAACATTTTTAATACTAAATATTGAAATAAATGTGAGCTATCCGTACACTTAAGAACATTTAATGAAAACAAAAAATAATCATTTACCCAATTTTTGGCGAATCAGTGAATGACTGCAGTCATAGTGTTGGTGGGTTAACTCAAGGAATAAATGTTTGAGAGTGAAAATTTCAAGAAGTACCTCCTACCACCACAAAGTTCAAAAAACAAATAGTAACACTATAGTGGGCATGCTGGGCACTTTCATAAGGCATTGTTTATTGTCATGCATTTATATGATTATCATACACACTTTATATAAACTTTTTAAATAGAGACAGGCCTTACTATGTTGCCCAGGCTGGTCTTGAACCGCTGAGCTTAAGCAATCCTGTTGCCTCAGCCTCCCGAAGTGCTGGGATTACAGGTGTGAGCCACCGCTCCCAGCCTTTACAGATTTTTATTTTACAGTAATTTGTATTCATTCCTTCATTCATTTTCCAACTCACTTATTCTAGTTCGGGGTTGAGGGTGGCCAGAGCCCATCTCAGCAACTCAGAGAGGAACCAACCCTGGACAGGACACCACTCCATCACAGGGAGCATCACATTCACACCCATTCAGACTGGGATCATTTAGACACGCCAATTAACAGGCACATCTTTGGGATGTAGAAGGAAACTGGAGTACCTAAGGAAACCCATGCAGACATGCGGAAAACATGAAAACTCCACATACACAGCAGCCCCGCAATGAATTGATTTTTTTTCTCATCAACATTATAACGAAACGATGTTATACCAGGACCTGCTCTATATTGTGTGAACTCTGTAAAGGTAAGGGCTATGCCATTTATTTTTGTATGCCCATGATCTAATACGAGATATAACACTATTATGCCCTGTTTGTTGAATTCATCTGAACTTTCTTCTCTTGCTCTTAAAAATAGTGAATTACACTATCTCAGTTAAATATCCCAAATTGAGCTAAGACTGCCCCCACTTCCTCCCAGACCTGCTCCTCCCACAGTCTTCCTCTTTCTCAAATAAATGGCAATCCCATTCTTCAGTTACCCAAGCCAAAAATCTTAGTGCCAACTTTGATGCCCTTCTCATACCCCTCAGTCAGTCAGCAAGTCCTACTGGTTCTACCTTCAAAATATATACAGAAATCAACCACTTATCATCATCTCCACTGTTTTCCACCTGGCTCAACTCACTTTTGAGCTGAATTATTTCAATAACCTCTTAACTGGTGTCCCTTGCTTCCATCCTTTGCTGCCTTTAGTGTATTCAACACTACAGCCAAAGTGACCCCATTTAAACCCAAGTCAGATTATGTCTTTCCTTTGCTCAAAACCTTCCAATGACTTTTGATTACAACTAGAGTAAAAGCTAAGTCCTTACAATCTGCATCTTCACCATTTTTACATAATATCCTTTTACTCTTCTAGTTAATTCTGCTCCAGTGACAATGGCCTTGGACATGCCAGGTGCAACTTCCTCCCCTAGCTCTCACCCTCAGCCTTTGTACTCTCCTCAGATATAGAACCTCTAGCTTTTGAGATTCCTTCAAGTCTTGACCAAAGTGACATCTCCTCAGTGAGACTCCAGTGTTCAAGTTAAATTGCACCAATCCCCACCCCCAATATTCACTACACCCAGTTGCTTTATTATTTTTTTTAGTACTGACCACATCTCCACCTAACAGTTTGTCTTTATTGTCTGACTCCCCCACCTTCATCCCATGCCAGAACTTAAGCTTCATGAGGGTTGAGATTTTTGTGTCTGTATATTTGCTGCACTCAGAGCTTAGCCAAAAAAATACTTGTTACATGAATGAAAGAGCCCATGACATAGCACTTATCTAGGTATTGCGGGCACCACAGTGAAAACACATACAGATTTCCAACCTAGAACTGCAATATAGTTTTTTTAATACAAGGAAAAGCCGCAAACATGCAGAAAAAGGCTTTTAGATCTCTATGTTATTGGCATAATTTAGATCTCTATGATATTGGCTAAAGGCTTTCAGATCTCTGTGCTATTGGCATAGCACCTGCCATTTGTTGAGCGCTTATTTGGAAGCAGTTACTTAACAAATACTTTGAATTCCCCCAGAACCACGTAAGGCAGCATTAACATCAGCATTTTCCATACAAACGATTTGCCCAAGGTCAAACAACTAGCAGGTGGCTGAGCTGAGTTACAAACAGACAACATTGCAACTTCCAAACTCTTTGTTCCGCTGGGGTCCCGCAGCCTTCTTCGCTTTGAAGCTGGATGCGGCAGGATTCGCACGTGCCCTCAGTCCACTGCGTTTTCACCTCCACCTCCGGCATTCTACTCCAAAAGGAAGGAGGCTCCGGTGGGGTCTGTTCTGACGGTGCCGATCTCCCCCTCGACTGCTCCGAGCGGAGCCTTCTATTACCTACCAGGCCGTGTCCTCTCAGGCCCAGCCCCCAGCAGCTTTCTCCCGTACCTACCTCAGAGCACCCCCTTCCTTCTTCACCGCCGCCATCCTGCATTCCTGGCTCAGGTCCTCGTCCTGCTGCAGGCCTTTCCTCTGGGCCACAGACCGCCTGGGCTTTCTTCCGCAACCTGCCCTCGGAGCTACAGAAGCGACCAAGGCACGTACACGACTCCCTAACAAACCGGCCACCTCAAGCCCACACCCCTAGCCGCCAAGTTTCAAATTTAACGGTCCCGCGCGGTCGACGTGGCCACGCCCCTCCGCTCCTCCGTGCTCTCGCGTCTCGCCCAAGGCATTCTGGGGCTTGTAGTTTATGCCTGTTTAGTCCGCGAACTCGCGGTGCATAATGGGAATTGTAGTTTTTGGGATTCAATGGCCGTGGAAGTGCAGCAGGCTTAGGCAAAACAAATACCCCCAGGTGCTGTCTTGAGTCGCGGCTCGAAGCCGAGTCTCTGAGCCGAGCGAGGAACACTTAAAGCACCAGAACTTCTTTGCTGTTTTGAGTGTTGGGAGATGTCTCTGAGTGCTTGCACTTGGCGTGACTCTTGTAGGGTGACTACCCCTGCTGTCTGCCCCAAATCTCACCCGTCCGGAGTTCTTAGGCCACTGACCTAGCTGTTTCCTGCCCCACCCTTGAATTCAAAAAGCTGGATTCTAGTTCTGTAAAATCATACCAAATGTGCAACCTTAGGCAAGCTACATAATCTTTCTGACCATCAGTTTTCCTCATCTATAAAGTGATGATACTGTCTTGCTTTCTCTTCTGCTCAGTCCACAAGCAGTAAACACAGCCATGCTATGGTTCCCAAGGTGTTACCTCTTTTCCCCTTCAGGGGACTAGCCTTGACTGACATTAAACTGTTTGTTGCAATTTCAATTTTCTGAGGAAGAAATTGTGATAGCTCAGATGTGACCAGGGGAGTAGAGTCTTTTTGTTTGTTTGGTTGGTTGGTTTTGTTTTAGAGACAGGGTCTTCTTCTTGCTCTGTTGCCCAGGCTGGAGTGCAGTAGCCCCATCATGGGGCTACTGCATTCCAGCCTCCAACTCCCGGGGTCAAGTGATCCTCCCACCTCAGCCTCCGCAGTAGCTGCGATTACAGGCATTAGCCACCTTGAGGAAGGAACAGGGTCATTTAAGAAAGCCCAGGTACAGGGGAGTTCTCCTTTATGACTGTGGGGATGGTCAGAGAGGTGGCACTTCCCAGAGGCAGATGCTGAGGATACTGTCCACTACCCTCTGGTTCTTAGTTCCCAGCTTTCTGTCTTTGTTCATGTTATATAAGTCCTTCTTTCCTCTGAATCATCAGGACTCTTGATTCCAAAGAAGTAGAAATCCAACTTAAATCGGCCTACTCAGAAAAGGGAATTTACTGTCTTTTATATATAAAAGACTTCAGATAAAGCTTAACCCAGGACTCATGTGGACTGGGCCTCTCTCCATTTCTCGCCTCTACTCTTGTTGTTGGCTTATTGTCATTCTCCATTGGGTAACAGATTCACGACTTTATCCTTACAGGTTCAAATTCAGACTTAGGAGTCACCCTGCTTAACCCCTTCCTCCCAAACAGTCACTGGGGATAGTGGATTCAGGGCTTTGATTGTTCAGAACCAAGTCATGTGTTTCACCTTGGGACTGAGAGAGGGGAAGGGGTGATTCCTCATAGGAAATTTTGGTTACTCTTTACATCAAAGTCCTCCACATCCAGGAAGCTTTCCTGGATCATATGAGGTGTGGTGCGTGGGATTCTCTCACTGGCTCATTTTATCTCTTACCTTATGTCAGTACTGGCCTAGCACTTCATTTTCTTTCAACAGGGTGTCCTGTTCATATCTACAGCTTCTCAATTTTGACTATTTCCTACAAACAATCTTGGAAACGTAGTGTTTGGTCTTTTGATCTCAGTCTTTCCTATAACCTAGTCGGATTCCCCATAAACTCTGCTACGATGTAGAATGCATTCAGGCTAAACCCCTTGCTTGTTTCACTACGGGAAAAGAAGGAGGTAGGTAAAACAAAACTCCAAAATGTATGACAGAAGGTACTCTGTGGTTTAATTTGGAAAATGAGTTTTTAGGGATGTCCCATGAACTGATGGGTGGAGCTCCCAGCAAGCAAGGTTTGCCTTTGAGGAAGAGGAATGCTGAAAGCAGCAGGGTTTGTCTGTGGACTTGGGGGAACTGGAGTGAGTGGGGCACAGGATATCCACCTTGGATTGTGACCCTTTGTTGGCCTGGTCCCAAGGACTTACGGTTTTGTGGAGTGAGGGCCTGAGGCAGTGGCCTTAAGAGCTGGTTCTATGTACTTTGGAAGGCTGAGGCGGGCGGATCACTTAAGGTCAGGAGTTCAAGACTAGCCTGGCCAACATGGTGAAACCCCGTCCTACTAAAAATACAAAAATTAGCTGGGTGTGGTGGTGCATGCCTGTAATCCCAGCTACTCCGGAGGCTGAGGCAGGAGAATCGCTTGAACCCGGGATGCGGGGGTTGCAGTGAGCTGTGATCATGCCACTGCACTCCAGCCTGGGCAACAGAGTGAGACTGTCTCTAAAAAGGAAAAAAAAAAAGCTGGTTCAGTGTGATGCCAGCCTCCAACAGCACTGCCTTCGTGCCCAGGCGCCGAGGGCACAGCCTCACTTGGCCATTCTGAGAGCACAGGGAGGCCCTCCCTGGAGCCAGACATCAGCACCCCACAGTGGACACCAGCAGAAGCAAGATGTCCTCCAGTAGCCTTGGAGACAGAGGCCATCAACCAGAGAGAGCTTGAGCAGGACAGGAGGAACATGGCAGATGCTCTGAAAACACCCAGACCACCTAGGGAAGGCTTCAAAAGGAGGGACTCATTCAGTGCCACACATACAGTTGCATAAATATTGCTGCATCCGAGAGTGCCTGTCACGCAAATGGGGACATTTTTCTGCTTTTTCTACTCAGAGAAGGCACCTTCAAAAGTGCCCAGAGAGGCCTCCTCTCTCTAATTCACACAAAGCCCTGTGTGCAGCGGCCCTGGGGCCCTATGGAAGAGCCAATGGGATTCTCCTGACTAGTGCATGTGACTCCATAGGTCTGAGGCCTGAGGAAATGGGTTACATAATGTTCTGTCCTTATTTCAGGAGGTGACAATTCTAAGATAGCTGAATGGGGGTAGGGATGGCTCCTGGCAGAGCCAATCCATTGTGGGGACACTTGCAGGAGAATGGAGTGTCTGTGGGTGGATATGTCTGAGCCGCCATTGCTTTTCTGCCAGGCAGGCTTCCTCACTTCCTCTCTGACATTGCCTCCTGGGTCTTGGTGCAAACTGTGGAAAGTTTGCTTCTTCCCTTCTCGGGGGCCCAGCTGGGAGCTACTCCTGCAGATCTGGACTCTGCATTGCTTTTCCAAAGAAAGGCCAGAGGTCAGAGGCCCCCAGGCTGGGAGGGGCCAAATGATTGGAAACAACTTAACTTCGCTGAATGTGGGAACTAAGTTGGCTACAGCTAGGTGCGAGAAGATTGTTAGAATTAAGAGAGGTGACAGCTGTTTTACCTCTTTCCCATCTCTGCCTTCTTCTCTAAAGGCTGTCCTTTTAAAGTTTTACCTGGAGGTGTGGGTCCCAGTCAGAATTGGCCAACATTCTCCCTTTAAAACAACCTTAGGAGACTGAGGGCCAGTGGGAAACTTGAATTTGGGACCCGCCCAGAGCAACTTTGGAGGAACTCTTTATGTTTTAGAATTTCAGGCTCACCTCTGGGATGATTGAACATACCAAAGATGAGAACCCCAGCCTCTTTTTTGAGATGCAGTCTCACTCTCTCACCCAGGCTGAAGTGCAGTGGCACAATCTCTGCTCACTGCAACCTCCACCTCCCAGGTTCAAGCGATCTTCCTGCCTCATCCTCCCATGTAGCTGGGACTATAGGCGCCTGGCTAATTTTTGTATTTTTAGTAGAGACTGGGTTTCACCATGTTGGCCAGACTGGTCTTGAACTCCTGACCTCAGGTGATCTGCCTGCCTCGACCTCCCAAAGTGCAGGGATTACAGGCATGAGCCATCGTGCCTGGCCAACCCCAGCCTCTTGAGCCAAGACAACCACAAGCTTCCGCTCTCCATGTAGGTCTTTGACACTTGTTGCTCTGAGGCATTTCAGTGCCTTTCTTCCAACACGGGCTCCCAAGCTAAAGCAGGGAGAACAGAATCCAGACAAGCAGAGTTAGAAACATCATCTCCTAACAGCCAAAGATGGCATGGAGGGCTGCAAACCTCTCTGGATCTATCTGAGCCTATTTCTAGTTTTCCGTCCAAACCCTTTGTAAGGAGCTATTGACATGGTTTGGATGTTTGTCCTCTCCAAATCTCGCATAGAAAGAGGCTTCTCCATTGTTGGAGATGGGGCCTGAAGGAAGGTGTTTGGATCCTGGGGCAGATCCCTTATGAATGTCTTAGTACCATCCCCTTGGTGAATGGTGAGTTCTCATTCTGAGTTCACCTGAGATCTGGTCGTTAAAAGTATGTGGTACGCCCCTTTCTCTCTCTTGCTCCTTCTTCATCTTCCACCAGAAGTAAAAGCTCCTTGTGGCCTCCGTCACCAGAAGCCAAGCAGATGCTGGCGCCATGCTTCCTGTGCAGCCTGCAGAATCTCTAGCTAATTAAACCTCTTTTCTTTATAAATTACCCAGCCTCAGGTATTTCTTGAGAGCAATGCAAAAATGGCCTAACACAGCTATAGAAGGCAGTGGGCATTCCAAGAGAAAAGGCTTTTTTTTTTCTTGCTAGCTCTGGTTCCCTTTGTTGTCAATGAGGAAGATGTGGCATTTGAGAGGCTGACTACTGCCAGCTGTGGGATGTGTGCCTGGAACAGACTCCCAACAATGAATATGAGTTACCTATGGCAGCTGACATGAGGAAGACCCCACTACACAGACGAGCATGAGAGAGGCCCATCCGTCTACCCACAGGCTGCGCCTTCCTCCTCAGTGGTAAACAAAGATATTGGACCAGTTGACCTCTTTCTAGCAGTCAAAGGCTCCAGTTAGCCTTGTTTTCTTCACTGGTGTAGAAAAGCTATGAGAATATGGGTTCTAACTCTTCATCCCTAGGACCTGGCCCGAGGCAGGTACTCAATCAATACTGGTTAACTGACTGATTGACAGTAATGAACAAAAGAGAATAGCTAGCACATGACCTTGTTGGACCAAGCACTCTAGGATGTCCACCATTCATTTGACAAACATTTCTTGAATATTTTGTGTCGGGTGCTGTGCCAGGCACCAGAGATATAAATATGAAAAAAGCACCAGTCTTATGCTCAAGAAAAACAAAACAATCTATGATATAACAGCTTATGAGCTATAGCCCCAGCAGGAGCCTGGAGTTAGGGGAACTTGAAAGAGGATGGGGGCCCTCCCACACCCAAGCATGGGGGCTGAGAGAACAAGAGAAAGGGAGGTTGGGATTGCTGCCAAGAGGGGTCTTTAAAAATGAGTAGGAGTTACTAAAAAGAGAGAAGGGGCTTTCCAGGTGGAGAGAATAGCACAGGAAGGACTAGGAGGCAGGAGAGTGAGAGTGCATTCGGCATCTGGGGAAGTGCAGGTGGTTGCAATGGCAGGAGCCTAGGAGAGTTGTGAGGACCTGAAATGAGACCCTGACTCACTGTGCCTGACAAGCAGCAGGTGGGGAGCAAACCCAGCCCCTTCAGTTTTGAGCCCAGGGCGGGCATCCAGCTGCATTGTCAAAGCAGGGGCTTATCCCACTGAGCTCTCAAGTTTCCCAGCTGTGGAACCACCTATTCCTCCCACTTCTGGGAAGGGCCTGCAGGTGAGAAGGGGGTGGGGCACAGAATGGGCACCTCACCCACCTGTATGCATTTCCTTCCTCTCCCCAGACAGGCTCTGGGATGCCAAACTGTTTTCAATCATTGGCTTTATTCTAATGAGCCCGTTAAGGCTGCCAGGACTCAGGGGGAACCGGCCCAGCTGGTCTGACTGGTTGGGCAGCACTTTGTAATTCCTGCTTCTCCCGGAGGGCTCCTATATCTCCTCTGTTCCACTCCTCAATGCTCCTAGCTTGGACATTGCCTGGGATATGCCAGGCTCATGGCCCTGGCTCCCCTTTGGCCAGTACTTATCAACCTGGCACTTCCTAGCAAGCCCCTAACCCCTTGAAGCCGTGATGAAGAGCACTGTGATGTTTTAACTTCTGCATCTTTCCTTTCCTCCCAGACCCATCTGTAGACAGGCAGTCCTATTGTCAGGCAAATTGCATTCATCCAAGGTCTTAAGAGTGGAGGGACTCTCCTCTTCCAGAGTTCACACCTCAGGGCAGCTCTACTCCACCAAGAGTCTTAGAGGGAATGTCTACTTGTCTTGGGCACTGGGGAGCATTGTGAACATTTAATGGGGATGGGATAGTCTGTCCCACAAAGCATGGGACAATCCCACACAACAATGCATTGTCCCACCCAAAATGGCAGTAATCCCCCTCCCACCCTTGAGAAACACAGTTGGGCCCACTCTAGTCACACACAGATGTGCGGTTTGTATAAACTCCATGAATGTGATTCTCAAACTTGATTGTGTAGATGAATCACCCGGGGATCTTGCTGAAAGGCAGATCCTGATTTCTAGGTCTGAGTGGGGCCTGAGATTCTCCGTTTCTAATGACCTTCCAGGCATCCTTCAGGCTGCTAGTTTGAGGCCCACAGGTTATGTAGCTAGGCCCCACAATACAAATGTGCTTGTATTTTCTTTTATGGAGGGGCATTGTCTTTTGGGGAAACTTTATCTGCAGAATTGGTTGAACTGGGAGTGCTACTGGCATCTACTGGGCAGAGGCCAGTTATTCTGTTAAACATTCTACAAGGGTCAGGGCAGCCCCTCACAACAAAGAATTCCCCAGCCCAATGTGTCAGTAATGCCGAAATTGAGACACCCTAGCTTAGGTGAAATTTCAAAACAATGTGAAATACATTTGTGGACAATCTTACTTCACTGCAAGTTGGGGACTCCAGCCACAAGGCTGTGAACATGTGTCATTGACTGAGGTTCTGGTCCCTCTAGGCATAAGCAAATTCAGCCAGTTAGGACTTAGAAGCACTGGCTCAGGTCCTGGTGAATAAACTGTGGTAGTAGGTGTGATCCTTCACAAGCCTCACACAGGCTCACGGTCTCATAGCTCACACAGTTTAAGAGATCAATATTTTTATTTATTTATTTATTTATTTATTTGGGACAGAGTCTCACTCTGTTGCCCAGGCTGCAGTGCAGTGGCGCAATCTCACTGAAAGTTCTGCCTCCCGGGTTCATGCCATTCTCCTGCCTCAGCCTCCTGAGTAGCTGAGACTACAGGCGCCCGACACCATGCCCGGCTAATTTTTTGTATTTTTAGTATAGACGGGGTTTCATCGTGTTAGCCAGGATGGTCTCGATCTCCTGACCTCACGATCTGCCCGCCTCGGCCTCCCAAAGTGCTGGGATTACAGGCGTCACCCGCCACGCCCGGCCGAGATCAAAATTTTTAAATAATCTAGGCTGATGGCCAGGCTCAGTGGCTAACGCCTGTAATCCCAGCACTTTGGCATGCCGAGGCAGGTGGATCACTTGAGCTCAGGAGTTCGAGACCAGCCTGGGCAACATGGCGAAACCCCGTCTCTATTAAAAATACAAAAATTGGGCCAGGTGCGAGGGCTCACGCCTGTAATCCCAGCACTTTAGGAGGCCGAGGCAGGCAGATCACGAGGTCAGGAGATCGAGACCATCCTGGCTAACACGGTGAAACCCCGTCTCTACTAAAAATACAAAAAATTAGCCAGGCATGGTGGTGGGCGCCTGTGGTCCCAGCAACTCGGGAGGCTGAGGGAGGAGAATGGCGAGAACCCAGGAGACGGAACCTGCAGTGAGCTGAGATGACGCCACTGCATTCCAGCCTGGGCAACAGAGTGAGACTCCCTCTAAAAAAAAAAAAGAAAAAAAAATACAAAAATTGGCTGGGCGTGGTGGCTCAGGCCTGCAATCCCAGCACTTTGGGAGGCTGAGGCAGGTGGATCACCTGACGTTGGGAGTTCGAGACCAGCCTGACCAACATGGAGAAACCCTGTCTCTACAAAAAATACAAAATTAGTTGGGTGCGGTGGCGCATGCCTGTAATCCCAGCTACCAGGGAGGCTGAGGCAGGAGAATCACTTGAACCTGGGAGGTGGAGGTTGTGGTGAGCCCAGATCGCACCATTGCACTCCAGCCTGGGCAACAAGAGCAAAACTCCGTCTAAAAAAAAAACCAAAAACAAAACACAACAACAACAATTAGCCGGGCATGGTGGCACGCGCCCGTAGTCCCAGTTACTTGGGAGGCTGAGGCAGGAGAATCACTTGAACCCAGCCAGGAGGTGGAGGATTCAGCAGAGGTTGCAGTGAGCAGAAATCAGGCCAGTGCACTCCTGCCTCAGCAACAGAGCAAGACTCTGCCTCAAAAAAAAAAAAAAAAAAAACCTAGGCTGGGTGTGGTGGCTCATGCCTGTAATTCCAGCACTTTGGGAAGTTGAGGCAGGTGGATTGCTTGTGTCCAGGAGGTCAAGACCAGCCTGGGAAATATGGCGAAACCCAATCCCTACAAAAACTAAAAAAATAGCTGGAGATGATGGCATGCACCTGTAGTCCCAGCTGCCCAGGAGACTGAGGTGGGAGGACCACTGGAACCCAGGAGGCCGAGGCTGCAGTGAGCTGAGATCACACCACTGCACTCCAGCCTGGGCGACAGAGTGAGACCCTGTCTCAAAATAAACAAATAAATAAAATAATAATAATCTATGTGGAGTAGCAGGATAACAGATAGAGGGATAGAACGGACGAGGTGCACATAGGTACATGTGGGTCTGCTTCATATTTTAGTTCTAGCCCTGGGTGGTAGTTTGTGTTTCTTATATTATTTTGAAATAAATAAATAATTAAACACAAATAAGCACAAAGATGGGCCAGGCCTGGATCAGTAAAAAGAGAGGATTATAGACCAAAGACTGTGGTTCATCCAATGTACCTGAGGTGTACAAAAAAGTGAATTACTCATGATGATGACTAGTAATAAATTAATACCATTCTACTCATGGCAAAAATATCTATGAGGGGGAGCGCACATGACAGGTTATGCAAAAAGGCAAAAGTATGCACCTTGGGAAGAATGCCACTCGCCTTGTGTGTGACTTTCTCCCCTGCATGCCGTGGCGGAGGAAGGGTCTGGAAGGTACAGGCTAAATGAAAAAGTGACAGGCTCTTCCCTCTTTTGTTCCATTTCAGCCATGCAGGGACCCTAAGGTCTGTCCCGTGGGGTATCACTGTGGAAGACAGATGGCCGCAGGCCACACACTGACAACCTGGCCAGAGGAGTCTCCCATCAGGTCCTCTGGCCACCCTGATTGGAGCAAAGCATGATTTTTTGCTCCACCCCTGCCCCAATGCCCCTCTGCAACACACAGCCTGGCTCGTTCATGTTCAGCTATTCTGCTAGACAGACATGAACAAACGAATGGCACTTTCTTTGGCACCTTTCTGTGCCCCCATAACTCCCCACTGTCCTTATGTCACCTACATTCCAGTTACTCAGGCTCCCTGTCTCCTGTTGCAGGATCTCAACGAGTCCCAGAGTAACTGGACGGTATATCTCACTTCAGACTTTCCTATCCACATTAAAGCTTCTCTCTCTACGCTTCACTCCCTCAAGAAAATTCACTCTAAGACCTGCTAATCATAACACCAGAGATTTTTCCTCAGTGATGCTGATGGAATTCTTATTTGAATAACGTCCTCATATGGTGCATATACAATTTAACAGAGAATATCTGGATAGCTAATGCCTCAAACCAAATAAATAACTCCAGAAATGGGAGTTCTGTGGTTCACGGTGGGAGTTAAAAATCACCAAATGTCAGAGCGAGAAGGGGTCTTGGAGATGTTCTAGTGCAACTCTCCCAATTGACAGATGAAGTACCCAGGTTCAGAAAAGTTATTTGCCCAAGGTCACCCAGTGTATTAGGATAGAGAGCACAACCCAACTCCTATTCCTTTATTTAGTCAATCAGTTGCTCAGTCAACAAATCTTTATTGAGCATTTGTGGGGTTTTTTGTTTTTGTTTTGTTTTGTTGGAGACAGGGTCTTGCTCTGTTGCGCAGGCTGGAGTGCAGTGGCATGATCATGGCTCACTGCAAAGTCTACCTCCCAAACTCAGGTGATGCTCCTGCCTCAGCCTCCCGAGTAGCTAGGGCCACAGATGCACACCACCATTGCAGGCTTTTTTTTTTTTTTTTTCTGTAGAGACAGGGTCTTGCTATGTTGCACAGGGTGATGTTGACTGCCAGGCCTCAAGCAATTCTCCTGCAACAGCCTCCCAAAGTGCTGGGATTACAGGCATAAGCCACCGCGCCTTGCCCTTATTGAGCATTTGTTATTGTTATTTTATGTCAGGCACTAACTGGGCAAGGGATCACAAATACAAACAAGACAGAATTTCTGTCCCCAAGTAGCCCCTGGTCTAGTGGGTGAGGACAGCCTTGTGTGGAAAGATAATTGCAACACAGTGGGGTCAGAGACTTAGCAGGAGTATCATATGAAGCCGGGGCACGTGGAGGAGGGAGAGAGAAATGCTAAGGTGGCTGTGGAAGATTTCCAGAGGAGTCTTCTGACTGTGTCTAGGGTTTGTCTCTACACCTTGTGGTCTTGATCATTCTCACTAAAGTGGGGAACTGGGCATGAGGTAGTTTTAGGGACAGTGTATCCCTAAAACCTATCTCTGGGTACAGACACGGCTCTCCACCAGCTTGTCTCAGTTTCTGTTCACTGTCACATTGTACACAGGCTGCCTCCCCAGCCTTCGGAAGCTTCACTGCAGCTGTTAGTATTCATGGCCTGCCCAAAACCAATTCTCCCTGCTCTCCTTTGTTAACAGAGTGAGTGGTTGGGATGGCAATGTGCCAGGAGTGCCCCGAGCAATGAGTCATGATTTGCCCAACTCAGTCATGACAAATGTGTTCCCCGATTTCTCGGCCTCCCTTGCATCCAGGAGTAGTCCTGTGATCCAGGTATGACCCAAATGGAAGTCTGGAGAAGACTGGGGCAGAAGAGACATGGTTGGCATGGCCCTTTTGCCCTTCTTCCTACTTTGAAGATAGGTGGAATGTCTAGAGCTGGGCAGCATCTTGTGGCCATGAGGTGAAGGCAGAAAGACAAAAGCCAACAGGTTAAGGGAAAGGAGAGTGGAAAGGGAGAGCCTGGCTTTATGACAGCATCATGGAGCTTTTGCACCATCCTGGAACTACCACCCCCAGACTTCTCATAATGTGGATAAAAAGACCTATTTGCTTAAGCCACTGTTTGTAAGGCTCGCTGTTATGGAAGCCAGATTCATTTCTAACGGAGACACCATCTGTATCATCAGGGTCCTAGCAGGAAACCAATGATTCACTGTCCGTGAAATAAATAAATGAAGGGAAAATTTACTATGGAAGGGATGGGATTAAAGGGAACAAACATGGATAGTGAAGAACTTAGAAACTGGCAACAAGGGGAAGCTGCTACCCCTAGTTCTGATGGGAAGAGAGTTAAGATTTGCTCCTGGAGCCCATTGAGAGACTACAGCAATGAGAGAGCCTGACAAAAGCTGTGTCAGGAAGGCAGCCACTGGCAAGCATGGCACCACGGGAGCGTTAATGACCAGTCTCCCCTCCCGCCTTCTGATGTCCTGCCAGGGACCCCCACTGGCCAAACCAACTGGAAGTCAGAGGAGAAAAGAAATGATGGGCACAGTGCTTCCAGGACACTGTTGAGAGAAGAGCGGAGGGTAAATCAGGTGGGGCAAGTGGGGAAGACACAGCACACCAACCAGTGCATGTTTCTAACTCACATCCTTGCTGTGGGGTGATGCTATTGATAACAATGGGTTTGCTTTGTAAGATGGCCCCAGGACTAGAATCTTGTTCCTTCACCACCCGCACGGATAATAAGGAGTCTGTAAGTCATCCGGTGTTCCTTATTTCACTTGACTGCTAGGAAGTTAGATGTGAAAAATTGCACATGGCTATAATAATGACCCCCAATTCACATTTTCTGGAATAACTGTCACCCCATTTTTATTATGTGCCTCTTATTCATTTATGCTTGTTTGAATGATTCTGTCATTTCTTTTTCATTTGCTGTAAATTGTCTCATTCTTTTTGGAAATAATTGGAGTGTAAACAGTAAATCTTAACATAGCGATATCAGTTAGGATTAGGTTTGGCTGTGGTAGACAGACAGACAAAATAACCATGGCTTCAATAAAACAAAGGCCAACTCTCTCTTAAGTGAATGTCTGCAGGTAGGCAGGCCTTGCCTGGCATGGTGGTTCTGCTCTACAAAGTCCTTAGGAGCGCAGTTCTCAAGGGTGCTCAACTGTCAGTTGCAATTTGGCCTTCTTCTCAACTATCTGCCACGACCAGCCAAAAGCTCAGTGGAGGACTCTTCAGCTAAGCAGAGGCACCAGCCCCGGTCCTCACCCACCATCTTGACTTGGGCATTGTCACACCTGCTGCAGTAAGAGCCCTCCCGGAGGCCTAGGGACCCTCTGGAAACTTGGAACATAGGAACATTTCAGGTGTGGAATAAAGTTAGCCTCCCACCTTGGAGAGCAGTGTGTGATGGTGAAGAGAGACAGGGAAGTTGAGGCCCCAATTAGCATACATGAAAGGAGGAAAATGTGGCTCATTCAGAGGTGTCTTAGTCTGTTTGCTGCTACTATAACAGAATACCACAAACTGGGTAACTTATAAAGAAGTTTATCTGCTTTGTGGTTCTAGAGCCTGGGAAGTCCAAGAGCATAGGGCTCTTGGTTGGGTCTTGGCATCTGGTTAGGTCTTTCATGCTGTATCATCCCATGGTAGAAGGTGGAAATGAGAACCTGAGACAGAGGAGATGGGGCTGAACCTATCATTTCACCAGGAAACCACTCCCATGATGATGAACCCACTTCCGAAGGTATTAATCTATGAATGAGACCAAAGCCCTCATGATCTAATCACCACTTAAAGGTCCCACATTTTAACACCATCACAAGGGCAATTAAATATCAACATGAGTTTTGGAGGGGACATTCAAACCATGGCAAGAGGCAAAGGCCCAGATTGAGATCCCATGGGAAGGCAAGTCTGGTATGTAATTCCCTGGGATATAACCTCGTCAGATACCTGTAACTGAAGTATGGTAGAGCTAGCCCGCAGGTAAAGAAAGGCAGCGTGCAACCATAGAAGTAGTCAATGAACAGTGTTATTGTAGTTTTAATTAAAATTAGTTAATTTACTTTGCCTTGGGGTAGTGTCCTGGCCTTCCCGAGTTCAGATTCAGCACTATACAGTCCTTGCTGCCTCCTCAGCCGCATCCCATGAGGGGAAAGTGTAACTTCATGGTGCAAATATTCTGGAAGTGGGTGCCCTGTCCCAAGCCCTGCTCCTTCCCAGCAAGGGGCTTTCAGTCAGCTTTAGAACAGGCCTGGCTGGAGCTTGGGTGCAGTCAAGGGGCATCTGCAGCCATCTCAGATGTTGAGTCAGCCCCAGAGTGCCTCCAGTTCCCTTCCCTACCCTTCTGGAGCTGCCCTGGGGCCAGGCTGAGCTTCTAGGGCTTCTAAGAAGAGTGATCTCCCCACAGGAACCCGATTCCTACCTGTACTTGATCCTGGAGGTATATCTAGAATGATTCGGAGCAGAGGAGCGGCAAAGAAGGAAGGCCCCACAGGGCCAGGACAGGGGCTCAGCAACCCCACCTCTTAGCCTTGGTGGTCAAAGTCTTGGAGTTACACTGGGGTGACCATAGAAATATTGTCTGAAACAGGATAGTTTGGGTAGTGAAAGGGGAACCTCTAATAGTTATGCTCAGATAAAAGTTATATATTATGTAATGGGACCGTCCTAAGCAAATCCAGACACATGGCCTGTCTAAGTTTTGGGGGGCGGTATCCATCGGACCCCACTCTTGCTGGCCTTCCATCACTCTAGGGATGGGGTCACACTCCAGGTTAATTTCCACCATTCTCAGCAGCCAAGTGCCCCGGCCTTCCTTCTGGTTCTGCTCCTTGGGGACTGGATCTCCAGGCACACAGCCCTGCCTACTGGCCTCTGAGAATGGCCTGAAAGCTGATCAACCAGCCTTCCTCACCCCTGACCCTCCACCCCAGGCAGAAGCTGTACCCCTTTTCTCTTTATCCCTGCTGCCTTGCTGAGGGCTTCGAGGCGGGTTTCTACAGGGACTGGGGAGCAGTCTATACTAGGGGTCTAAGCTCCAGAGTAAGGGGAGCACGATGCCAGAGTTTGAGTTTGGGGTGTTTCCTTACCATAAAGAGAAAGTGTTGGGCCACAAGAAGGGCCTACGAACTCTAAAATCCCATGATTCTCTGATCCGGCCCGTGATGGTTAACACCGAGTGTCAACTTGGCTGGATTGAAGGATGCAATATTGATCCTGGATGTGTCTGTGAGGGTGTTGCCAAAGGAGATTAACATTTGAGTCAGTGGGCTGGGGAAGGCAGAGCCACCCTTAATTGGGTGGGCACCATCTAATCGGCTGCCGGTGAATATAAAGCAGGCAGAAAAAAGTGAAGCAGCGAGATGGGCCCAGCCTCCCAGCCTCCATCTTTTGCCCGTGCTGGATGCTTATGGCCCTCGAACATCAGACTCTAAGTTCTTCATTTTTGGGACTTGGACTGGCTCTCCTTGCTCCTCAGCTGGTAGACAGCCCATTGTGGGACCTTGTGATTATGGAAGTTAATACTTAATAAACTCCCCTCTCTCTATATGTGTATACATATATAACACACACATATATATCTCTCTCCTTATTAGTTCTGTCCCTCTAAAAGAACCCTGATGAATACACTGCTCTGTGCAGATACTGAGTGAGGGGCCTGACTTAGCCCTGCATCAGGGAGGTTTTTAGATTTAAGATTGTACCCAAATCTATACCCATCAAAGCAGACCTGATTGAAAAGAAGCAGGCAGAGCCCTCTACTTAGAAATGACAAGAATTCAAGACAAGTCATAATGAGTCATGCTCTTGCTTGCTGCTCGGCCCTCTCTGCATTGCCCTTTGTAAGAAGAGTCCACACCTGAACCGGTACTCAGGGCCTATTTCTCCGAGGTGCCCCACAGCCAATCCTGGGCCTTCTTTGCCTACAGTAAAACACCCACATTGCCCATGCCAAGACTGGGCCATGTCTCTTCCCCTTCAGCAATTGCCATCAGAATAAAGCGAAAAAAAGAAAGGATCCCAGTAGCGTATTCTTCTGGGTTGCATGGACACTGGCTTCATCTACACTTCTCTGAGTTTTGGTGTAGCCCAACTCTCTCTCTTACCAAATGGCCTTACTCACTAAATCTGTCAAGTGTCTACCAAAATCATGCATTTTTTATTGAAACCGGTGAAATTCTTCCTCTGTTGTCTTTCCACCACCCTTTGGGCACTGCTCACCTTCTCCCCCATGCTGTTTTGTATGGATTTTAAGCCAAAGGAAGACAGGGACCTTGTCTTGGTCATCTCTGATTCCCCTACCATGATAGTCAAATAGCCTTGATAATCAAAATGTAGTTTTCTGTGTAACAAGATCTCCGGGCAATTCATTAGGGTTTGAGCAGCACTGTACTAGGCACTCAGCACAGTGCTCTTCAAGTGTTTGGCCGAGCCAGGGAAGTGGGTATGGTTAAAGGCAATGCAGATGGTTAGTGGCAATGCACTTTTTTCTTTTTTGAGACAGAGGCTTGCTCTGTTGCCCAGGATGGAGTGCAGCGGTGCACTCATGCCTCACTGCAGCTTCGACTTCCTGGGATTGAGAGATCCTCCTGTCTTGGCCTCTGAAGTAGCTGGGACTACAGGCACACGCCACCAGGCCCAGCTACTTTATTTTTTATTTTTTGTAGAGACAGGGTCTCACTATGTCACCCAGGCTGGTCTTGAACTCCTGAGCTCAAGTGATCCTCCTATCTTGGTCTCCCAAAGTGCTGGGATTATAGGCGTGAGCCTCTGTGCTCAGCTGGATCAATTGTTTTTTAATATCCAATTTTGTTGCCTCTGTTGACCTTTTGTGTGTGTGTGTGTGTGTGTGTGTGCGTGCGTGTGAGAGAGAGACAGCATCTTGATCTCTTACCTAGGCTGGAGTGCAGTGGCACAATCACGGGTCACGGCAGCCTCAACCTCCTGGGCTCAAGCAATCCTCTTGCCTCAGCCTCCCAAGTAGCTGGGACTACAGGAATACACCACCATGCCTGACTAGTTTATTTTTTATTTTTTGTAGAGACTGGGTCTTGCTGTGTTATCCAGGCTGGTCTCGTACTCCTGGCCTCAAGCAGCCCTCTCACCTCAGCGTCCCAAAGTGCTGGGATTATAAGCGTGAGCCACCACATGCAGCCTCTAGTAGCTTTTTAGCTATACCTCTTTGTTTTATTTTTAATAATTGCTCTAGGGATCATAGTGTGCATCTTTAACTTGTTAGAGTTTATTTTGGGTCTACATTATACCACTTCACAAATAATTTAAGAAAATTCCATTTTACTTCCATTTGCCCCTTCCATCCTTTGACTATTATCTATTCTACTTGTGTGCATGTAATAAGTCCCATAATATATGGTTGTTATTTGTGTTTTTAAAAGCCAATTGTCATTCAAAATAAATTAAAATAGTCTTCTATATTTACCCACATACTTACCATTTGCAATGCTCTTCATTCCTTCTGGTAGATCTGAGCCTCCAACTGCTATCATGCTATCTTTTCTCACTAGCCTGAAGAACTCCCTTTAGTATTTCTTTCTTTTCTCTTTTTCTTTCTTTCTTTCTTTCTTTCTTTCTTTCTTTCTTTCTTTCTTTCTTTCTTTTCTTTCTTTCTTTTTTCTTTCTTTCTTTCTTTCCTTCCTTCCTTCCTTTCTTCTTTCTTTTCTCTCTCTCTCTCTTTCTTTCTTTTTTTTTTTTTTGCTTGCTTGTTTCTTGTGATGGAGTCTCCCTACGTTGCCCAAGTTGATCTTGAACTTCTAGGCTCAAGTGATCCTCCTGCCACAGCCTTCCCAGTAGCTGGGACTACAATTGCACCCAGCTTTTTTAGTATTTCTTGAAGTACATGTCTGTTGAAAATTATTTCCCTTAGCTGTTGTTTATCTAAACATATCTTTATTTCTGTTTCATTTGTGAAAGCTATTTTTCTTGGACAGAGAATTCTATATTTTCTGGTTTTCTTTTCATGTATGTCATTTTATTGTCTTCTGGTTTGCATTGTTTTTAAAGAGAAGTTAGGCATCATTTTTATCATTGTAATGTTCCTTTTTTCTCTGGCTGCTTTTAAGATTTTCATTTTATCTTTGGTTCAACAACTTGACTGTGATGTGTCTAGATGTGTTTTTCTTTGTATTTACCCCACTTGGGGTTTGACGACCTTTTAAAATCTGTAGGTCTGCCAGGTGCGGTGGCTCATGTCTGTAATCCCAGCACTTTGGGAGGCCAAGGTGGGCAGATCACTTGAGGTCAGGAGTTCGAGACCAGCCTTGCCAACGTGGTGAAACCCCGTCTCTACTAGAGATACAAAAATTAGCTGGACATGGTGGCGCACACCTGTAGTCCCAGCTACTTGGGAGGCTCAGACAGGAGAATCGCTTGAACATGGGAGGTGGAGGTTGCATTGAACTGAGATTGCGCCACTGCACTCCAGCCTGGCTGACAGAGTGAGACTCTGTCTCAAAAAAAAAAAAAAAATTAGTTTAAATCTGTAGGTTGATCCTTTTTGTTACATTTTAAATTTTTCACTATTATTTCTTCCTGTAGAAAAACAATTGGTGCTATTTGTTCTCTTTCTGAGACTGCAATTACACAAATCTTAGGACAGCTGCTGTTATCCCACAGGTCACTGTACTGTGGTCATTAATTTTTTTCTCTCTTTTTATCAGTTTGGATACTTTTGATTGGCTTGTCTTTAAGTTCATTGATGCTTTTTCTGTGGTGTCCAATTTGCTATTAAGCTCATCCAATGAATTTTATATATATATATATATATATATATATATATATATATATTTAGTTCATATATATATATATATTTAGTTGTAGAATTTCCATTTGGTTCTTTTTTAGAGTTTACATTTCTTTACTAAAATAACCCTCTCTTCAACCATCATAGCTATCTTTTCCTGTGAACTTTAACATATTCATATTAATCGTTTTAAAGCTTTTGTCTGCTAACTCCAATAACTGGATCATGTGTGGATCTGCTTCTCTATTTTCTCTTGATTATGGATCACATGCTTCTTTTCCTTACTCTCCTGTTTCTCAAAACTGTATTCCAGAAATTTTGTATAAAAGAACAGTAGAAATGAAAATATATCTTTTTGTTTACTTCTCAGAAATTGCAGTTCCTTTCCCCTGTCTGGTGGTTAGGTTGAAGCTGATCACTGGGACTCCTCGGACAGTGGAATTGAGGTAAGGCTGCACTGCAGCTTTAATTAGATTGTGTTCACCTGTAAGTAGCCCAATCCCAAGCTTCTGCCTCCTTTTCAAGTTGTCAGTAATTGAGCTGGGTGGGGGTAGCGTACAGATTCAGATCATTTTGATTCAACTTTGGACTCTACTCCAGCAGGGCCCCAGAATCTAAGCAGGACCGTGTCATTACTCTCTGCTTTCCAGCCCCTTCTCCAGTGCCACAGTTGTGGCAAAGTTCAGGAATGGGGGTGGGTGGAGAACAGAGAATTATCGGCCTAAATGACCTGCTTTTATATTGGGCCTCTTCCAGATTGTCATCTGTCTTGCCAGCCCATGCCGCAGCTCGCTGATTTCTTCTTATCCTTACAAAACCCCTGCCTATGGCATGTTTCTCCATCCACCTGTAGCCAGACCAGGCACATCCTCAGGTGTGAAAGCTGTGCTGACCTTCTGCTCATCTATAAAGGGCTTGTTTCTTTGTGGAATTCAACTCATCAAGGCCATGCCTGCACTGCTCAGTAGAAAAGCACGATTTTTATTTTTGTCTAGGTTTTTCTTGTTGATAGCATTGTAGCAAAGGCTTTTCATATATTTCTACATCCTAACCAGAAGCGGAGCTCTCCCAGATGTTAGAGGAGCAGTAAGGAGGTCAATGTGTCTGGAGCAGAATGAGTGAAAACAGGAAGAAGAGATGAAGCTGGAGAGGTGACCAGGAGTCAGTTCATGCTCAATCTCACAGGCCACTGGAAAGATTGGCTTTTACTTTGCATAAGATGGGAAGTGATGGCTTTTGAGCAGAAGAATGACAGGGTCTTGTATGGGTTTTAACAGGAGCACTGTGGCTGCCGGGATGAAAATAGTCTGTAAGAGGCAAGGGAAGCAATAGAGGGATCAGTTATTGCAACAATCCAGGGAAGGGATGGTGGTAGCTTAGATTGGTGTGGCCATGGTGGAGTGGTGAGTCTGAGTACATTTTGAAGGCAGAGACAGCAGCGTTTATTGACAGATGATATGTAAAGTATAGGGAAAGAAGAGGATGACTCTAAAGTTGTGGTCTGAACAAGCAGAAGGATGGAGTTTTCTTACTCAGATGGAAAGACTGAGGAGAGTCAATATCTTGGACCATTTGTGCTGCTATAATAAAGTACCACAGACTGGGTCACTGATGAAGAACCAAAGTTAACTTTCTGACAGTTCTGGAGTCTGGGAAGTCTAAGATGAAGGCGCTGGCACTTGGCAAGGGCCTTCTTGCTGCATCATTATATGGAGGAAGGCGGAGGGGCAAGAGAAAGCAAGAGTGGGTCAAACTTGCCCTTTTATAATGGCACCAGTTCTACCCATGAGGTTGGAACCCCCATGGCCTAATCACCTCTTAAAGGTCCTACCTCGTAAGACTGTTACAATGGCAACTGAATTTCGTGAGCTTTGGAGAAACATTCAAACCACAGCAAGTAGGTTTGTGGGAAGTACTCTTTCTTTTTTGTTTTTTTGAGACGGAGTCTCGCTCTGTCGCCCAGGCTGGAGTGCAGTGGTGCGATCTCAGCTCACTGCAAGCTCTGCCTCCTGGGTTCACGCCATTCTCCTGCCTCAGCCTCCCGAGTAGCTGGGACTACAGGCGCCCACCACCACGCCTGGCGAATTTTTTGTATTTTTAGTAGAGACGGGGTTTCACCGTATTAGCCAGGATGGTCTCGATCTCCTGACCTCGTGATCCGCCTGCCTCAGCCTCCCAAAGTGCTGGGATTACAGGCGTGAGCCACCGCGCAAGGCCAGTGGGAAGTACTCTTATTTTATTTTATTTTATTTTTAATTTTTAAATTTTTATTTATTTATGTATTTATTTATTTATTATTATTATACTTTAAGTTTTAGGGTACATGTGCACAACGTGCAGGTTTGTTACATATGTATACATGTGCCATTTTGGTGTGCTGCACCCATTAACTCGTCATTTAGCATTAGATATATCTCCTAATGCTATCCCTCCCCGCTCCCCCCCACCCGACAAAAGTCCCCAGCGTGTGATGTTCCCCTTCCTATGTCCATGTGTTCTCATTGTTCAATTCACACCTATGAGTGAGAACATGAAGTGTTTCGTTTTTTGTCCATGCGATAGTTTGCTGAGAATGATGGTTTCCAGCTTCATCCATGTCCCTACAAAGGACATGAACTCATCCTTTTTTATGGCTGCGTAGTATTCCATGGTGTATATGTGCCACATTTTCTTAATCCAGTCTATCGTTGTTGGACATTTGGGTTGGTTCCAAGTCTTTGCTATTGTGAATAGTGCCACAATAAACATACGTGTGCACGTGTCTTTATAGTAGCATGATTCATAATCCTTTGGGTATATATCCAGTCATGGGATGGCTGGGTCAAATGGAATTTCTAGTTCTAGATCCCTGAGGAATCGCCACACTGACTTCCACAATGGTTGAACGAGTTTACAGTCCCACCAACAGTGTAAAAGTGTTCCTATTTCTCCACATCCTCTCCAGCATCTGTTGTTTCCTGACTTTTTAATGATCGCCATTCTAACTGGTGTGAGATGGTATCTCACTGTGGTTTTGATTTGCATTTCTCTGATGGCCAGTGATGATGAGCATTTTTTCATGTGTTTTTTGGCTGCATAAATGTCTCCTTCTGAAACTATTCCAATCAATAGAAAAAGAGGGAATCCTCCCTAACTCATTTTATGAGGCCAGCATCATCCTGATACCAAAGCCTGGCAGAGACACAACAAAAAAAGGGAATTTTAGGCCAATATCCTTGATGAACCTTGATGCAAAAATCCTCAATAAAATACTGGCAAACCGAATCCAGCAGCACATCAAAAAGCTTATCCACTATGACCAAGTGGGCTTCATCCCTGGGATGCAAGGCTGGTTCAACATACGAAAATCAATAAACATAATCCAGCATATAAACAGAACCAAAGACAAAAACCACATGATTATCTCAATAGATGCAGAAAAGGCCTTTGACAAAATTCAACAACCTTCATGCTAAAAACTCTCAATAAATTAGGTATTGATGGGACGTATCTCAAAATAGTAAGAGCTATCTATGACAAACCCACAGCCAATATCATACTGAATGGACAAAAACTGGAAGCATTCCCTTTGAAAACTGGCACAAGACAGGGATGCCCTCTCTCACCACTCCTATTCAACATAGTGTTGGAAGTTCTGGCCAGGGCAATCAGGCAGGAGAAGGAAATAAAGGGCATTCAATTAGGAAAAGAGGAAGTCAAATTGTCCCTGTTTGCAGATGACATGATTGTATATCTAGAAAACCCCATCGTCTCAGCCCCAAATCTCCTTAAGCTGATAAGCAACTTCAGCAAAGTCTCAGGATACAAAATCAATGTGCAAAAATCACAAGCATTCTTATACACCAATAACAGACAAACAGAGAGCCAAATCATGAGTGAACTCCCATTCACAATTGCTTCAAAGAGAATAAAATACTTAGGAATCCAACTTACAAGGGATGTGAGGGACCTCTTCAAGGAGAACTACAAACCACTGCTCAATGAAATAAAAGAGGATACAAACAAATGGAAGAACATTCCATGCTCATGGGTAGGAAGAATCAATATCGTGAAAATGGCCATACTGCCCAAGGTAATTTATAGATTCAATGCCATCCCCATCAAGCTACCAATGACTTTCTTCACAGAATTGGAAAAAGCTACTTTAAAGTTCATATGGAACCAAAAAAGAGCCTGCATTGCCAAGTCAATTCTAAGCCAAAAGAACAAAGCTGGAGGCATCACGCTACCTGACTTCAAACTATACTACAAGGCTACAGTAACCAAAACAGCATGGTACTGGTACCAAAACAGACATATAGACCAATGGAACAGAACAGAGCCCTCAGAAATAATGCCGCATATCTACAACTATCTGATCTTTGACAAACCTGACAAAAACAAGCAATGGGGGAAGGATTCCCTATTTAATAAATGGTGCTGGGAAAACTGTCTAGCCATATGTAGAAAGCTGAAACTGGATCCCTTCCTTACACCTTATACAAAAATTAATTCAAGATGGATTAAAGACTTACATGTTAGACCTGAAACCATAAAAACCCTAGAAGAAAACCTAGGCAATACCATTCAGGACATAGGCATGGGCAAGGACTTCATGTCTAAAACACCAAAAGCAATGGCAACAAAAGCCAAAATTGACAAAAGCGATCTAATTAAACTAAAGAGCTTCTGCACAGCAAAAGAAACTACCATCAGAGTGAACAGGCAACCTACAGGATGGGAGAAAATTTTTGCAACCTACTCATCTGACAAAGGGCTAATATCCAGACTCTACAATGAACTCAAACAAATTTACAAGAAAAAACAAACAACCCCACCAAAAAGTGGGCGAAGGGAAGTACCCTTTATTCATCCGAGTAGAGATGTTGAGTAAGTTGTATATATGAGTCTGCAGTTCAGGAAGAGAACTCAGCTAGGCTTATTCATTACTTTTTCTTGTATGAGAAAGTGAATGGATGTGATAAATGCCATTAGTCTGGTTTTACATCGTAATAGCTAACTTTCACTGAGTGCTTACTCTGTGTCAGGAACTGCACTATGTTCATACATTGGTTAACCCATTCAAACCTCACAACAAATCCAACCGTTAAATTCTATTACTATCATCCACAAAACAAAGGTGTTATTAGTTTGCTAGGGCTGCCATTACAAAATAGCACAGAGTAGGTGGCTTAAACAATGGAAATTAATTTTCTCCCAGTTCTGGAGGCTGGAACAAGGTCAGGGGGTCAGCAGGTTTGGTTTCTCCTGAGGCCTCACTCCGTGGCTTGTGGATGGCCGCCTTCTGACCGTGTCCTCATGTGGCCTTTCCCCAGTGCATGCCCCATGAATGATTTTGCTTAATCACTGATGAGATACACTGCGGTTTGTCCCATGATGGCCACCAAATATGTACTGTGTGAAGCCCCTCCCATGAGAGAGGGAAATGGAGGGAAGTTACAGGGGCAGGTTTTGGTCCATGTCTTTGGTCACAGGAAGAAATCCCTTGCGGCTACATGGTACACCAGAGAAGCTGGAGCTCCTCCTAGGGGAGGCCACAGCCTCTTTCTCCAAAGCGGTTTTCTAGCAACAGCTTCATCTTTTTTTTTTTTTAACCTTTTTTGATAGAGATGAGGTCTCACTGTGTTGCCTAGGTTGGTCTCAAACTCCTGGGCTCAAATGATCCTCCTGCCTCAGCCTCTCAAAGTGCTAGGATTACAGGCATGTCCCACGATGCCCAGCCTACAGCCACATCTTAAGAAGGCCTTCTGGATAGTCCAAAGAAAGGATTCCAGTTGTGAGATCTACAGGACCCAGCACAGGCTGCGGGAACCCAGGGGTTTGGGGCTCCATCTCAAGCCATTCCAGTGGACAGTGCTGTGAAGAGAGAAGGTGAGCAATGCCAAGTGGCGTCTCTGGCCTGAGGGTCATGACGGATCCAGAGACCTTGCCCACAGTTGGGCTCTGCCCTAGGGAGAGCAGGTGACTCAGAGGCTAAATTGGTCCTTGAGAGTGGAATTTGGGGCCAGAGTATAGGGCGGCCCAGACTCCCCACTTGCCCAGCAAGGCTGAGGCCCAGCTGTAGATCCTGCCACACCTACTGTCCCCTCCCACTTCTTCCAGGCATTGCCTGGCTTCTGAGGCAGAGTTCTGAGTGACAGCTCATTAGATGCAGAGAGCCAGTGGAAATCCACACTTTAGAACAATCTGTCTGGCTTTGTCTGGGAGCCAGGCTGGTCAGCAATGGCCAGAGGACAAAGGGCTCTGCAGACATGGGAAGAAAACAGCATGCAACTTTGATGGTGCACTTTAAAGGCAGGTGTAATGAATCGGGGCCAAGTGTCCCCACACTCCCAGATCTGTCCCTCTTCCTGTCCCCTTGGAGATTTCCTTACAAGGCTCCATGCTGTTGGCATGCTCCTGCACGTCTGCCCCACTGCTGTGGGGATTCTCTTGGTGTGTGTGTGGTGGCGGAGGGGGGCTATGACCGAAGATGTACGTGTCCAGCCTCTTTGTCCCAGGCTGGACAGCTCTCTGAAGATCCTCTGAGGCTCAGGCAGGGAGTGAATGAGCCATGGCCTCCCCTGGATATCTGGGAGGAAGGAGCAGGAGTTGAGAGGGGAGAGAGTTCAGAGGTATTAGGTCTCTGAGGCACTGGGCCTCTGCCCTTTACTTCAGGAAGGTCCCAGAACAGTAACTGCATCTGGGCTGCAGCTACTGTCCTGTCCTTGGGCCCTGCCCTGCTCTACCCTGTGGTCTGCAGCTACTGACCTGTCCTGGGGCCCTGCCCTGCCCTGCCCTGTGGTCTGCAGTGCTGACCTGTCCTGGGGCCCTGCCCTGCCCTGCCCTGTGGTCTGCAGTGCTGACCTGTCCTGGGGTCCTGCCCTGCCCTGCCCTGTGGTCTGCAGTGCTGACCTGTCCTGGGGCCCTGCCCTGCCCTGCCCTGCCCTGTGGTCTGCAGTGCTGACCTGTCCTGGGGTCCTGCCCTGCCCTGCCCTGTGGTCTGCAATGCTGACCTGTCCTGGGGTCCTGCCCTGCCCTGCCATGTGGTCTGCAGTGCTGACCTGTCCTGGGGTCCTGCCCTGCCCTGCCATGTGGTCTGCAGCTAATGACCTGTCCTGGGGCCCTACCCTGCCCTGCCCAACCCTGTGGTCTGCAGTGCTGACCTTTCCTGGGGTCCTGCCCTCTCCTGCCCTGTGGTCTGCAGCTACTGTCCTGTCCTGGGGCCCTGCCCTGCCCTGCCCTGTGGTCTGCAGCTGCTGTCCTGTCCTGGGGCCCTGCCCTGCCCTGCCCTGTGGTCTGCAGCTACTGTCCTGTCCTGGGGTTCTGCCCTGCCCTGTGCTGCATTCCTGCCATCTGCTTCCCACAGGACAGCTTGTAACACTGGGGTTGATTGCAGTCACTAGTGGGTGCCAGAATTAATTCATAGTTTACGTTTGCTTCTAAATGTATGAAAATAAGCACAACATCTGTGTCTATTCCAAGAGGCCTGAGGTTATTTTTATTCAGATTCCCAGGCTGGCAATGTGGGGTCTCTGTGGGCTTTCCAGAGGGCCTGGGGCATTGAAAAGATGGGACCATTTCCTTTGTAAGGACAACAACCCATTTTCCCTGTACTTCTCCTTCTTCTTTAGAAATTCAGCCCTAGATCCTGTGAGGGGATGGAGAAATGTGAACCCAAACCCACAAAGGAAGCCTAGAAGAAAGTCCAGAGCGGTCACAGGAATGGGTCCAGCCCATGAGACGCTGTCTTCCCTGTGAAGGAGCAGAGGTCACAGGATTGTCATATTCATCTTTACAATAGTAATTTCAGAATTAAAATCAAATTTATTTTCTGCTACTTGAGTTTCTAAGTTATGCACTGGAAAAGTAGGTAGTAACTAAAAGTGGATTCAACCACAAATTCGCTGCAGCCCTGGTGGGGGAATTATCAGAGAAGTATTTAACATGTAAATCTTACCCTGTTTTTAACTAGCAATAGCTCCGAAAGACAGTGACACTGAGTGGCATGTTCACTAGAGGTTCTGGGGGGTCAGAGAGGAGGCTCAGGCAGCTGACTGATCACAATCCTGCTACTCCTTCCCTTGTTTTACCCGCGCAATTATCCTCGTAATTGCCCACGGACTTACTTCGTCCTTACTTTTCTGCCTAGCAAATTCAAACTACGAGCAAAACCACAGCCGAATCATATTACTCTCTCGAGGACTTCAAACTTGACTTCCACTAATAGCCTTTTGATGACTTACAGCAAATCTCACCAACCTTGCCCTACCCCCCACTATTAATCTAATAGGAGAACTCCTTGTAACAATGGCTTCATCCTCCTGATCAAACATTACTATCATGCTCATAGGACTTAATATATTAATCACAGCCATTTATTCCCTCTACATACTTGTCACAACACAACGAGGAGCACTTACATACTATATTAACAGCATTAAACCATCCTTTACACGAGAAAATATACTAATATGTATACACCTTTCACCCATTGTCCTACGATCTCTAAATCCTAAAATTATTATAGGATTTCTAACCTGTAAATATAGTTTAATCAAAACGTTAGATTGTGGGTCTAATAATAGAAGCCTTCAACTTCTTATTTCCCAGGAAAGTACGTAAGAACTACTAACTCAGGCCCCCATGCCTAACAACACGGCTTTCTCAACTTTTAGAGGATGAGAGTTATCCATTGGTCTTAGGAACCAAAAATATTTGTGCAATTCCAAATAAAAGTAATAACCATGTATTTTTCCATTACTATAATAACCTTAATCTCCTTAACCTTACCAATTATTATTGCCTTCACCAACCCTGGTAAGAAGAACTCGTATCCATATTACGTAAAAAGCTATCTCAAGCACTTTCGCCATTAGCCTCCTTCCGGCAACAATATTTATGTGTACAGACCAAGAAGCCATCATCTCAAACTGATATTGAATAACAATCCAAACCCCAAAACTCTCATTAAGCTTCAAACTAGACTACTTCCCAAATGTTTATTCCAGTAGCACTATTTATCACTTGATCTATTATAGAATTCTCATATGGTATATAAAGTCAGATCCAAACATTAATCAGTTTTTCCAATATCTACACATCTTCCTCACCACAATATTAATCCTAGTTACCGCCAACAACTCTTTCCAACTTTTTATTGGATGAGAAGGCGTAGGAATTATATCTTTTCTATTAATTGGCTGATGGCATGGCCGAGCAGATGCTCACACGGCAGCCCTCCAAGCAATTCTATATAATTGCATTGGTGATCTTGGCTTTATTTTAGCTATAGCATGATTCCTGTCATCCTCCAATACATGAGAGCCTCAACAAATACTGATCCTAAACACTACCCGGATCTTCTTCCATTAATTGGTTTTCTCTTAGCAGCAGCAGGAAAATCAGCCCAACTTGGCCTCCACCCGTGACTTCCTTCCGCGATGGAAGGCCCAACCCCAGTCTCAGCCCTTCTTCACTCTAGCATGATAGTTGTCGCAGGAGTTTTCCTACTGATCCGCTTCCACCCCCTAATAATTCTCATCGCCCGCCTCCCTGCGATGTGGATCATAATATCCAGCGGGGGAGAAGGGGGCGATATTACTCCCCGCATCCTCTTGCTATGTGTCCACCCTCTTGCTATACATAAGGAGTATATCACCCTCTCCCCTCATGTATATTAGGAACAATTTCACAGGGTGGGTGTACACAGCCTGCGATATTGAACACAATATCGTTTTCTTTTCCTGAGGTTATAAGAACAATATCACAAAAGGGGTGTACACTCCCTGCGATATTAGGAGTAATATCATCCTGTGTTTCCCTGAATATTCAGAGCATTATTACAGGTTGGGTGTACACCCACTGCTATATTGGGAGTAATATGACAGTGTAACCCCTAGAAATTAGGAGCACTATCACAGGGGGTGTGTACAGAAACTGTGGTATTGGAAGTAATATCGTGCTGTCCTCCACTAGTTATTAGGAACAATATCACGGGGGGTTGTACACCTTTTGTGGAATTGGGAGTAATATCATCATCTCTTCTTTTAGATATTATAAAAAATATCACGGGGGGGTGTACATCCCCTGTACTATTGGAAGTAATATCATTCTCTCTTTTTCTAGATTTGACGAATAATATCACAGGTGGGTGTACAACCCCTGTTATATTGGGAGTAATATCATCTTCTTTAAACCCGGATATTAAGAACAATATATCTTGTGGGGTGTCCATCCCTTCAATATTGGTAGTAATGCCATTTTCTCCCCCACTGTATATAAAAAATACAATATCATAGGCGGGGTGAACAACTCCTGCAATATTGGGAATAATATCACCTCTCCCCATGTGGTTGTTAGAGACAGTATCACAGGATGGGTGTACACTTCCTACGCTATTGGGAATAATATCATCCACTCACCCCTTGGATATCAGGAAGCATATCACAGAAGGGGTGTACACCCCCTGTGATGTTGTAATATCCTCTCCCCGCGTGGATATTAGGAACAATATCACATGGGTGGTGTACTGCCACTGCGATATTGGGAGTGATATCAGCCTGTTTCCCGCTGGATATTAGGAACAATATCACAGGGGGTATGGACACCCCCTGCGACATTGAAAATAATATCAACCTGTACCCCACTGCAGATTAGGAAAAATATACAAGGAGTGTTTAAACGCTTTGCGATATTGGAAGTAATATTATTCTCTTTTCCCTGTACATTAGAAACTATACACAGGGGGACTGTACATCCCCTGCGATATTGGGATTAAAATTATCCTCCTTCCCACTGAATAGTAGGAACAATGTCACAGAAGGGTGCACACCTTGTGCGATATGGCCAGTAATGTCATCGTCTCCTTCTCTGGATATTAGAAAAATTATCACAGGGTGTGTACACCTCCTGCACTACTGGAAGAAATAGTATTCTCTCTTTTCCTGCATATTAGAAATAATATTATAGGCGGAGCGTACACCACACCCCTGCGATATTGTGTGTAATATCATCCTCTTTTACCCTAAATGTTAGGATCAATATCACAGAAAGCGTGTACATTCCCTTTGACACTAGGAGTAATATCATCCTTTCCGCCAGAAATAGTAGGAAAAATATCACAGAAGGGGTGGGCATCACTTGCGATATTCTGAGTAATATCGTCCTCCCCCCACCTGGATATTAGAAAGAATATCACGGGTGGGGTGCACACCACCTGCGATATTGAGAGTAACATAATCTTCTACTCCCACGGATATTGAGAACAATATCATAGGGGCGGTGTACACTCCCTGCGATATTGAAATTAATATCATCCTCACCCCTCCTAGATATTAGGAACAATTTCACAGGGGAATGATTCACCCGCTGCAACATTGGGAGTAATATCATCCTTCGCCCCCTGGATGTTAGGAACAATGCCTCATGGGGGTTGTACAGCCCGTTCCATTTTGGGAGTAATATCAGTTTCTTCATTGCTGGACAAAAAAACCCCAATATTACATGGGTGGTGTACACACCCTCTTATATTGCCAGTAATATCATAAATCCCTTGCAAAATATTGGGAACAATACCATAGAGGGGTGTGCACCCCTAGCGATATTGGGATTAATATCATGCTCTCCCCGCTGTATATGAGGAACAATATAAAAGAAGGGGTGTCCACCTATTGCGATATTGACAGTAATATCCTCTCCCTCCCTGGATATTCGGAACAATACCACGGGGTTGATGTACACCCACAGCGATATTGGGGATATTGGGAGTAATATCACCCTTTGCCCCCTAGATATTAAAAAAAAAAAAAGAAAAACAGAGGGGGTGTAAACCCCCTGTGATTTGGCCAGTAATATCATCGTCTCCCCCACTGGATATTAGGAACAATATCACAGGGGTGGTGAACACCTCCTTCAATACTGGTAGTAGTATCATCCTCTCCTCCCCGCTGGAGATAGAATAGAATATCAGAGGCCAGGAGTATGCCGCCTGCAGAACTGGGAGTAGTATCATTCTCTCCACCTCCCCGGATATAGGGAACAATATCACAGAGTGGGCGTACACAGACTGCGATATTGGGAGCAATATCGTGCTCTTTCCCCTGAATATCAGGGGAGGTCTACACCTTCTGCAATATTGGGATTAATATCGTCTTCTCCCCGCCTGGGTATTAGCAACAAGATCGCAGAAGGGATGTACACCCACGGCGATATTTGGAGTAACGTCATCCTCTACCCCCTGGTTATTAGGAACAACATCACATGGGGGTGTACGTGTTCTGAGGTATAGGAAGCAATGTCATCCTCGACCCCCTGGATATCAGGAATAATATTAATAATTATTATTAACAATCGATAATTAATATAATTAATAAAATCAACAACGATAATAATGACGATTAAAATTAACCATTAATATTAATAACAAAATTTATTAATATTAATTATTAATAATGACTGATGTTAATACTGATCTTCTATATACAATAACGAGAATGATGATTAAAATTAACTATTAATATTAATAACAAAATTTATTAATATTAATTAATAATGACTGATGTTAATAATAGTGATCTTCTATATACAATAACGAGAATAATGATGATTAAAATTAACCATTATATTAATAACAAAATTTATTAATATTAATTATTAATGACTGATGTTAATAATACTGATCTTATATATACAATAACGATAATAATGACGATTAAAATCAACCATTAATATTAATAACAAAATTTATTAATATTAATTATTAATAATGACTGATGTTAATAATACTGATCTTATATACACACAAATATGTATAAAATAACATTATTAGCTACTAATAATTATTATTAATATTAGTAGTCTAATAATGCTAACAATTATTTGTTCATATTAATCTTAGAAATTAATATTAATGTTAATGTTCTTAGTAATCACTATTGATAATAAATGATTAGTGATTAATAACGATATTCCTCCTAATACCACAGTGGGTGTACACCCACCTGTGATATAGTTCCTAATATTCAGGGAGGGAGAGCATGATAATACTTTCAATACGGCAGTAGGTGTACACCCACCCTGTGATATTGATGCTAATATCCAGGGGGTAGAGTATGACGTTACTCCCAATATAGCAGTGGGTGTACATCCACCCGGTGACATTGCTCCTAATATTCACGGAAGAAGAGAATGACATTACTCCCAGTATCGCAAGGAGTGTACGCCCCTTCTGTGATATTGTTCCCAATATCCGGAGGGGGAGAGGATGATACTGCTCCCACTATCGCAGGCTGTGTACAACCACCCTGCAATATTGTCCCTAATTTCCAGCAAGGGAGAGGATGATATGACTCCCCATATAGCAGGAGGTGTACACCCACCCTGGGATATTGTTCCTAATATCCACGGAGGGGAGAGGCTGATATTACTCCCAATATCGCAGGGGGTGTACATCCACCCTGTGATATTGTTCTTAATATTCAAAGGCGGCGAGGTTGATATTATTCCCAATATCGCAGAAAGTGTATAACCCCGTGTGATATTGTTCCTAATATCCAGAAGAAGAGAAGATGATATTACTCCCCATATCCTAGGAGGTGTACAGCCACTCTATGATATTTTTCCTAATAGTCAGGGAACGAGAGGATAATATTATTCCTAATATCGCAGGGGGTGTACATGGGCCCCCGTGATATTTTCCTTAATATTGCAAGGCGGAGAGGGTGATCTTACTCCCAATATCGCAGAAAGTGTACACCCCCCCCACCCCCAGTGATATTGTGCCCATGATCCAGGAGAGAAGAGGATGATATGACTTTAAATATCGCGGGGGGTGAACACGCCCCCAGTGATATTGTTTTGAATGTCAACCAGGGAGAGGATGATATTGCTCCCAATATCGCAGGGAGTGTACACCACTTCTGAGATATTGTTCCTAATATCCGGAGGGCGAGAGGATGATATTACAGTCAATATCGCAGGCTGTGTACATCCACCCTATGATATTGTTCCTAATATCCAGGATGGGAGAGGATGATATGACTCCTCATAGAGCAGGAGGTGTACATCCACGCTGGGATATTGCCCTAAATATTAAAAGGCAGAGAGGATGATACTAGTCACAATATTGCAGAAAGTGTACACCCAGCAGTGATATTGGTGCCATGATCCAGTAGAAAAGAGGATGATATTATTTTCAATATCACAGGGGGTGTACACGCCCCCAGTGATATTGTTCCTAATCTCAACCTGGGAGACGACGATATTACACCGAATGTCACTGGGGGTAGAAATATTCTTCTGATATGCTTCTTAACATCCAATGGGAAGAGGATGGTGTTACTGCAAATACTGGAGAGGGTGTACACCCGTAGGTGACACAGCTGGTAATTTCCAGAGGCGGAAAAGACAATACTCACGATAACGTAAACACGCTGTGTGTCCACCGTGGATCGTAATATCCAGGCGGGGAGAGGCAGGGGGATATTACTCCCCGCATCGCGGGGGGTGTCTGCTTTCCATATTGGGGGTATTATTAATATGTACCCCGCTGCATGTTTGGAAAAATTTACAAGGGATGTTTACACGCTTTGCGATATTGGCAGTAATTCTGTTCTCTTTTGCGGTACTTTGGGACCTATGTCATAGGGGGGCTGTACATCTCCTGCGATATTGGGATTAGTATTGTCCTCTTTCCCACTGATTATTAGGAGCTGTATCACAGAAGGGCGCACACCTCCTGCCTTATGCCCAGTAATGTCATCCTCTCCTTCCCTGGATATTAGGAAAAATATCAGTGTGTGTACACCCCCTGAGCTCTTGGATGTAATATTATTTTGTCTTTTCTTGCATATTAGAAATAATATCACAGACGGAGTGTACACCCCACCCTGCGATATTGTGTGTTATGTCATCCGCTCTTAACCAGGGCATTGGGATGAATATTACAGGGGCGTGGTCACTGTTTTCGATAGCTGGAATAATGTCATCCTTTCCCCCCAGAAATAGTAGGAAAAATATCACAGAAGGGGTGGACATCACTTGCGATATTCTGAGTAATATCATCCTCCCCCCACCTGGATATTAGAAAGAATATCACGGGGGTGGGGTGCACACCACCTGCGATATTGAGAGTAACATAATCTTCTACTCCCACGGATATTGAGAACAATATCACAGGGGCGGTGTACACTCCCTGCGATATTGAAATTAATATCATCCTCACCCCTCCTAGATATTAGGAACAATTTCACAGGGGAATGATTGACCCGCTGCACAATTGGGAGTAATATCATCCTTCGCCCCCTGGATGTTAGGAACAATGTCTCATGGGGGCTGTACAGCCCGTTCCATTTTGGGAGTAATATCTATTTCTTCACTGCTGGACATAAAAAACAATATTACAGGGGTGGTGTACACACCCTCTTATATTGTCAGTAATATCATGGACACCCCCCCGCCAGGATCCTAGGAACAATATCATAGGGGGGTGTACACCCCAAGAGATATTGGGGTTAATATCATGCTCTTCCCCCTGTATATGAGGAACAATATCAAAGAAGGAATATCCACCTATTGCAATATTGGGAGTAATATCATCCTCTAACCCCTGGATATTAAAAGCGATTTAACAGAGGGCGTGTATGCCCCCTGTGATTTGGCCAGTAATATCATCGTCTCCCCCACTAAATATTAGGAACAATATCACAGGGGTGTGTACACCTCCTGCGCTATTGGGAGTAATATCATTCTCTCTTCCCCTGGATATTAGGAATAATATCACAGGCGGGGTGTTCACCTCCTGCAATATTGGCATTAATATCATCCTCTCCCAACCTTCATAGTATAAACAGTATCACAGGGGTGGTGTACACCTTCTTCCATACTGGAGCAACATCATCCTCTCCTCCCATGGGGATAGAATACAATATCAGAGTCGCGGAGTATGCTGCCTGAAAATTGGGAGTAGTATCATTCTCTCCACCTCCCCGGATATAGGGAAAAATATCACAGGGTGGGTGTACACAGACTGCGATATTGGGAGCAATATCATGCTCTTTCCCCTGAATATTAGGAGCAATATCAAAGCGGGGGGTGTACACCCTCTGCTATATTGAGAGTAATATCGTATTCTACCCCCTGAAAATTAGGAGCAATATCAGAGGGAGCTGTACACCCACTGAGATGTTGGGAGTAATATCATGCTCTGCCCCCTCTGGATATTAGGAACTACATCACAGCGGGATGTACACCTTCTGCGGTATTGGGAGTCATATGTCCTCTCTTCCCCTGGATATTAGAAACAATATCACAGGGGGGAGTCTACACTCCCTGCGATTTTGGGAGTAATATCAACCTCTCCCAACCTGGATATTTAAAACAAAATAACAGGGTGGTGTCCAGTACCTGCGATGTTGGGAGTCATATCATTTTTTCCCCTGCTTGATATTAGGAACAATATGCCAGAAGGGTGCACACCCTCTGCCATATTGGGACTAATGTCACCCTTTCATCGACTTTATATTAGGAACAATATCCCAGGAAGGGTGTACACCCTCTGCGATATTGGGAGTAATATCATTTTCTCCCCACCTTCATGTTAGGAAGAATATCACAGGGGGTGTGTACACCCCCCACGATATTGGGAGTAATACCATCCTCTCCCTCCCTGGGTATTAAAAACAATATCACAGGGGGGCATGCACACCCCCTGTAATATTGGGAGTAATATCATACTCTTCCCCCCTGACTATTAGGAACAATATCATGGAGGGGGTGCACACCCCCTGCCTTATTGTGAGTCTTATCATGTTCTCTACCCCTGGACTTTAGGAACAATATCACAGGGGTGGTATCCATACCCTGCGAAATTGGGAGGTATATCATCCTCTCCACCTTTGGATATTACGGACAATATCACAGGGGAGGTCTACACCTTCTGCAATATTCGGATTAATATCGTCCTCTCCCCGCCTGGATATTAGCAACAAGATCGCAGAAGGGATGTACACCCCCTGCGATATTTGGAGGAACGTCATCCTCTACCCTTGGTTATTAGGAACAACATCACAGGGGAGTTTACATGTTCTGCGATATAGGAAGCAATGTCATCCTCGACCCCCTAGATATCAGGAATAATATTAATAATTATTATTAATAATCAATAATTAATATAATTATTAAAATCAATAACAATTATAATTAACCAGTAATATTAATAACAAAATTTATTAATATTAATTATTAATAATAATGACTGATGTTGATAATACTGATCTTCTATATACACAAATATGTATAAAATAACATTATTAGCTAATAATTAATATTAATATTAATAGTATAGTAATGTTAACAATTATTTGTTCATATTAATATTAGAAGTTAATATTAATGTTAATGTTCTTTTAAATTAATATTGGTAATAAATGACTAGTGATTAATAATGATATTCCTCCTAATACCATGGTGGGTGTACACCCACCTGTGATATAGTTCCTAATATCCGGGGAGGGAGAGCATGATATTACTTTCAATATGGCAGTAGGTGTACACCCACCCTGTGATATTGATCCTAATATCCAGGGGGTAGACACTCCTCTGATAGAAACACTCCTCTGATATTGTTTCTAATATCCCAGGGGGGAGAGGATGATATTACTTGTGATGTTGGAGAGGGTGTACACCCGTCTGTGATAATGTTCACAATTTCCAGAGGTGGAGATGATATTACTCACAATATCGTAAACACGCTGTGTGTCCACCATGGATCATAGTATCCAGGGAGGGAGAGGGGGGTGATATCACTCCCCATATCGCGGGGCGGGGGGGGGTCCACCCCACCTGACATACTGTTTCTTATATGCAAGGGGGAGAGGATGGTATTACTACCAATATCGAGGAAGTGTACAGGCCCCTGTGATATTGTTCCCAATATCCACGTTGGGAGAGGATGATATTACTCCCAATATCACAGGGGGTGTACACCCCACCTGTGATGTTATTCCTACCAAATGGACACCTCACCCACCTGTATCCATTTCCTTCCTCAGCCCAGGCACAGCTCTGGGATGCCAAAGTGTTTTCAATCATTGGCTTTATTCTAAAGAGCCCGTTAAGGCTGCCAGGACTCAGGGGGAACCGGCCCAGCTGGTCTGACTGGTTGGGCAGCACTTTGTAATTCCTGCTTCTCCCGGAGGGCTCCTATATCTCCTCTGTTCCACTCCTCAATGCTCCTAGCTTGGACATTGCCTGGGATATGCCAGGCTCATGGCCCTGGCTCCCCTTTGGCCAGTACTTATCACCTGGCACTTCCTAGCAAGCCCCTAACCCCTTGAAGCCGTGATGAAGAGCACTGTGATGTTTTAACTTCTGCATCTTTCCTTTCCTCCCAGACCCATCTGTGGACAGGCAGTCCTATTGTCAGGCAAATTGCATTCATCCAAGGTCTTAAGAGTGGAGGGACTCTCCTCTTCCGGGGTTCACACCTCAGGGCAGCTCTACTCCACCAAGTCTTAGAGGGAATGTCTACTTGTCTTGGGCACTGGGGAGCATTGTGAACATTTAATGGGGATGGGATAGTCTGTCCCACAAAGCATGGGACAATCCCACACAACAACACATTGTCCCACCCAAAATGGCAGTAATCCCCCTCCCACCCTTGAGAAACAGAGCTGGCCCCACTCCAGTCACACGCAGATGTGCAGTTTGTATAAACTCCATGAATGTGATTCTCAAACTTGATTGTGCAGATGAATCACCCGGGGATCTTGCTGAAAGGCAGATCCTGATTTCTAGGTCTGAGTGGGGCCTGAGATTCTCCATTTGTAATGAGCTTCCAGGCATCCTTCAGGCTGCTAGTTTGAGGCCCACAGGTTATGTAGCTAGGCCCCACAATACAAATGTGCTTGTGTTTTCTTTTATGGAGGGGCATTGTCTTTTGGGGAAACTTTGTCGGCAGAATTGGTTGAACTGGGAGTGCCACTGGCATCTACTGGGCAGAGGCCAGTTATTCTGTTAAACATTCTACAAGGGTCAGGGCAGCCCCTCACAACAAAGAATTCCCCAGCCCAATGTGTCAGTAATGCCGAAATTGAGACACCCTAGCTTAGGTGAAATTTCAAAACAATGTGAAATATATCTGTGGACAATCTTACTTCACTGCAAGTTGGGGACTCCAGCCACAAGGCTGTGAACATGTGTCATTGACTGAGGTTCTGGTCCCTCTAGGCATAAGCAAATTCAGCCAGTTAGGACTTAGAAGCACTGGCTCAGGTCCTGGTGAATAAACTGTGGTAGTAGGTGTGATCCTTCACAAGCCTCACACCGGCCACGGTCTCATAGCTCACACAGTTTAAGATATCAAAATTTTTAAATAATCTGGACTGATGGCCAGGCTCAGTGGCTAACGCCTGTAATCCCAGCACTTTGGGATGCCGAGGCAGGTGGATCATTTGAGCTCAGGAGTTCGAGACCAGCCTGGGCAACATGGCGAAACCCCGTCTCTATTAAAAATACAAAAATTGGGCCAGGCGTGGGAGCTCACGCCTGTAATCCCAGCACATTAGGAGGCCGAGGCAGGCAGATCACAAGGTCAGGAGATCGAGACCATCCTGGCTAACACGGTGAAACCCCGTCTCTACTAAAAATACAAAAAATTAGCCAGGCATGGTGGCGGGCGCCTGTGGTCCCAGCTACTCGGGAGGCTGAGGGAGGAGAATGGCGAGAACCCAGGAGGCAGAGCTTGCAGTAAGCTGAGATGGCGCCACTGCACTCCAGCCTGGGCGACAGAGTGAGACTCCCTCTAAAAAATAAAATACAAAAATTGGCCAGGCGCGGTGAAGATGTATGTGTCCAGCCTCTTTGTCCCAGGCTGGGCAGCTCTCTGAAGATCCTCTGGGGCTCAGGCAGGGAGTGAATGAGCCATGGCCTCCCCTGGATATGGGGGAGGAAGGAGCGGGAGTTGAGAGGGGAGAGAGTTCAGAGGCATTAGGTCTCTGAGGCACTGGGCCTCTGCCCCTTACTTCAGGAAGGTCCCAGAACAGTAACTGCATCTGGGCTGCAGCTACTGTCCTGTCCTGGGGCCCTGCCCTGCCCTGCCCTGTGATCTGCAGCTACTGTCCTGTCCTGGGGCTCTGCCCTGCCCTGTGCTGCATTCCTGCCATCTGCTTCCCACAGGACAGCTTGTAACACTGGGGTTGATTGCAGTCACTAGTGGATGCCAGAATTAATTCATTGTTTACATTTGCTTCTAAATGTATGAAAATAAGCACAACATCTGTGTCTATTCCAAGAGGCCTGAGGTTATTTTTATTCAGATTCCCAGGCTGGCAATGTGGGGTCTCTGTGGGCTTTCCAGAGGGCCTGGGGCATTGAAAAGATGGGACCATTTCCTTTGTAAGGACAACAGCCCATTTTCCCTGTACTTCTCCTCCTTCTTTAGAAATTCAGCCCTAGATCCTGTGAGGGGATGGAGAAATGTGAACCCAAACCCACAAAGGAAGCCTAGAAGAAAGTCCTGAGCCGTCACAGGAATGGATTCAGCCCGTGAGATGCTGCCTTCCCGGTGAAGGAGCAGAGGTCACAGGATTGTCATATTCATTTTTACAATAATAATTTTAGAATTAAACTTTATTTTCTGCTACTTGAGTTTCTAAGTTATGCACTGGAAAAGTAGGTAGTAACTAAAAGTGGATTCAACCACAAATTCGCTGCAGCCCTGGTGGGGGAATTATCAGATAAGTATTTAACATGTAAATCTTCCCTATTTTTAACTAGCAATAGCTCCGAAAGACAGTGACACTGAATGGCAGGTTCACTAGAGGTTCTGGGGGGTCAGAGAGGAGGCTTAGGCAGCTGACTGATCACACTCCTGCCACTCCTTCCCTTTTCTGGGAAAGGGAAGGGAAACTAACATTTCCTAAGCATCTACGTAGTTGGCACTATGCTTAGGACTTATACATTTGTCATCTCGTTGAAGCCCCAATTTTTATAAATAGATGAAGTTGGGACTTATAAGTTTAAGTAACTTATAAGGTACACACAGTAGGATTTCTGTCTGCCGGAGGATTCCAAATCTCACCTTTCTTTTACTCCTAGCTACTTTCCTAAAACAGCCTGTAGGAAAGCAACTTTACCAGCAAGCGCAACTGAGGGGCCAGTGGCTATTCCCTCTAATCACAGGCATGGCTGGGGTGAAAACCCACTGTTTCCAAACACCTCATCTTGTACAATCACTTACAGAGGATGGCACATGAGCTCTAGGTTATCCTGCCTTCCATTTCACTCCAAATTCTGCTAAACTCCACACCAAGTTCTCTTTCTGAGATATCATCCTGGGCTTTGGAGACACCAAAGTTAAGCCAGGTTGGGCAAGTGTGGCCAGGTAGACAGACTGCATCTAGGGACAACTGGATCAGGCTCTTGGAGTGCTTGGTTGGGGCTCATAAAGGATCTTCCTTGTTGCATGAATAATTAAAGGATTTGGGTGACACAAGAGCCTCTTAATGTCAAGACAGATGCCTGTTTGTCCTCCAGAGGGAATTTATAGCACGGAATGATTAAAAATTAGTATCAGGCTCAAGCTCTCCATGTCTTTTCCCTGGGATGGCTGTTCTTCTAAAGGGAAGAAGCAGGATGAATTGTTCCATGACCCTCTGCTCAACCTCAGGTTACAGAAGGGGCTCTGTCTTCTTCCTGGGTCTTTTTTATAGGGCCAATTTGGGAGGAGGGGTGAAATGATGGAAAGGGTATTTTAGGGTCCTTTCCATAATTTACTTTAGAAAACTTACTCATTGTAAAGATTGAATAGTCTTCTCTTCTTGTAAACTCAAAGCTCTATGTACAGATATATTCCAAAATCCCAGATGTACATTTGAATAACATGGGGGAGCTTTAACAAATCCTAATGCCTGGATCTCATCCCTAGAAATCCTGATTGGTCTAGGTGAAGCATGGCCATCAGGATTTTTTTTTTTTTTTTTTTTTGAGACAGAATCTTGCTCTATTGCCTGGGCGGGAGTATAGTGTTGTGATTTGGGCTCACTGCAACCGTTGCCTCCCAGGTTCAAGTGATTCTTGTGCCTCAGCCTCCCTAGTAGCTGGGATTACAGGTGTGCACCACCACACCTGGCTAATTTTTGTATTTTCGGTAGAGACGGGGTTTTACCATTTTGGCCAGGCTGGTCTCAAAATTCTGGCCTCAAGTGATCTGCCCACCTCAGCCTTCCAAAGTGCTAGGATTACAGGTATGAGCCACTGCACCCAGCCAGCATCAGGATTTAAAGAAATTCCCCAGTAATTCTAATGTGCAGTCAATATGGAGAACTATTGCCTCTGAATCACCCAGAGAGCTTATTAAAACACAGATTGAGCTGGGCATGCTGGCTCATGCTTGTAATCCCAGCACTCTGGGAGGCCAAGGCAGGAGGAACGCTTGAGGCCAGGAGTTTGAGACCAGCCTGAGCAACATGGTGAGACCCTGTCTCTAAACAAAATTTAAAAATTAGCTGGGTATGGTGGTGTGCACCTGTGGCCCCAGTTACTAGAGAGGCTGAGGCAGAAGGATCATTTGAGCCCAAGAGGTAGAGGCTGCAGTGAGCTGTGATGATGCCACTGCATGGCAGCCTGGGCAACAGAGCAAGACTTTGTCTCTAGATAGATAGATAGATAGATAGATAGATAGATAGATAGATAGATAAAAACACAGATTTTTGGGTCCCACTCTCAGAGTTTCTGAGTCAGTAGGTCTGGGAGGGAGATCAATAATATGCATTTCTAACAAGTTCCAGGTGATGCTGATGCTGCTGAACCAGGGATCACACTTTGAAAACCACTATTCTAGAAAGAATCTAGGAGAATGTTATTGTTAATAATAATAACTACTGTACTACCATTTATTGAGTATTTACTATATGTAAGGCACTTTGGTGTCAAGCATTTTACATGCATAGTCTCATTTTATTTCTATAGTCATTATATTCTATTATAGTCATCTCTCAATATCTGTGTAGAATTGGTTCCAGGGCCTCCACTGGATACCAATATCCACAGGTGCTCAAGTTCCTTATATAAAATGATGTAATATTTGCATTTAACTTATGCACATCCTCCCATATACTTCAAGTCATCTCTAGATTACTTACAGTACCTAACACAATGTAAATGCTATGTAAATAGTTGTTATATTGGATTGTTTAGAAAATAATGACAGGAAAAAAAGTCTATTCATGTTCAGTACAGATGCAATTGTTTTGTTCCTGAATATTTTTGAACTGAGGTTGGTTGAATCTACAGATGCAGAGCCTGTGGATACAGAGGGCTGACTGGAATATGATTTTTAAGGTAATTTGTATGCTTTTTTTTTTTTCAGACAGTCTTGCTCTGTCGCCCAGGCTAGAGTACAGTGGCGCGATCCTGGCTCACTGCAACCTCCGCCTCCAGGGTTCAAGCAATTCTCCTGCCTTAGCCTCCCGAGTAGCTGGGACTACAGGCACCTGCCACCAGGCCTCTCTAAGTTTTGTATTTTTAGTAGAGACGGGGTTTCACCATATTGGCCAGGCTGGTCTCGAACCCCTGACCTTGTGATCTGTCCACCTCGGCCTCCCAAAGTGCAGGGATTACAGGTGTGAACCACCAAGCCCAGCCTTATATGCCATTTTTAACATGCTACAGTTATTTTTTATGTGCTAGGTTTGATTCCTCAACTAGAACAGCTTCTATAAACAGGGCCAACAGTTTTTTCATTTTTCTTCCAACTTTATATTTTATTTTATTTTATTTTACTTTTTTGAGACAGAGTCTCGCTCTGATACCCAGGTTGGAGTGCAGTGGCAAAATCTTGACTCACTGCAGCCTCGACCTCCTGGGCTCAGGTGATCCTCCTGTCTTAGCCTCCAGAGTAGCTTGGACTATAGGAACACCCCTCCATGCCTGGCTCAACTCTTTCTCTATCTCACAGTTGTCACACAGTGCTGAACACATGGTAGTATCTACCATTTGTTGAGCATCTATTCTATACAAAAGCACTCTAATAGGTGCTTTGTATAGTTCATTAGAATTTCTACTCCCCAACAACCACATGAGGATGTTATAATTATCTCCATCTGAGAAGTGATGTAACTAAGTTCAGAGAGGTTAATTTACTACTCCCAAATCACCAGCAGGTGCCAAGGCTGAGATTTGAAACCCCATTTGTCTAACTCCAAAGCCTTGTTCTTACCCTGTTACACTGGCTTCTTCTTCTTCTTTTTTTTCTTTGAGATGAAACCTCCTTCTGTCACCCAGGCTGGGGTGCAGTGGCATGACCTCGACTCACCGCAACCTCTGCCTCCCAGGTTCTAGTGATTCTCCTGCCTCAGCCTCCCGAGTAGCTGGGATTACAGGCATGCACCACCATGCCCAGCTAATTTTTGTATTTTCAGTAGAGACAGGGTTTCACCATGTTGGCCAGGCTGGTCTCAAACTCCTGACCTCAAGTGATCTGCCTGCCTTGGCCTCCCAAAGTGTTGGGATTACGGGCATGAGCCACTGAGCCTGGCCAACACTGGCTTCTTAACTGAGTCACAGTGTTATCTCACTGTGGTCATAGTATTATTTCGCTGTGTTATCTGTGGCCACCCAATTAAATCCCCGAGGAATCTTGGCTCCTTCAGTGGCCCCTGGGCATGATGAAAGTGGAGGAGGGGTGGGGCAGGCCAGTGGGAAGGCAGGTAGGAGACATGTCTTATACCTCATGGCCTTCCTAAAATTCCTAATGTGGTTTGATGAGGATAGCACATGGTATGTGCCCTAGAAATACTTAATGTAAAGGAAATAGTTTTTTTCAGAGAGGAAGTAATAATTATTTCAGTTAAACCTGTGGGGAATATGTAGAAAGAGGAAAGGACCCCATTGCCAAGGGGAGAACGTGATCAAATGAAACCAGGTCCCCAAAATATAAGACTAAATTATTTTTTAAAAATCGCATTTCAAAGAAAATGACACAAACTTTGTTGTAAGTACCAAAGAAATGGAATACAGAAGCTCTCTGCCGACAGGGAATATTTGAGCAATAAATATTTAAGCAAAAACTTCCTGCAGACAAGGAAACTAGTAAACTCCAAAAATGCTTTGCTGAGGAACTACGTTCCATACTCAAAGCAACATCAAGGTTCTTTTCTCCTCACCTCTGAGAACTTCTCCAAACCATAGTAAGGGTCATAGTCTATGATCTTGTCTCAGTGGTGATATAAACTGGAGAAGTATTTTCTCCCTCAGGTCAATAAGAATCTATGCCAGAAGCTTATACAGGGGTCACTTTTGTATATTTTACACCTTCACTGTGAGAGGGGTCAAGATTGGCAAAAAAAAATTACTCTGAAGCATCTGGGAATTTTTAAAAATTTCCTCCTTTTTTGTATTTTCCTAACTTTCAAGATTGATCTTGATAGTTTTTATTTATTTATTTAGAGACGGAGTCTCGCTCTGTTGCCCAGGCTGGAGTGCTGTGGTGAGATCTTGGCTCACTGCAACCTCCGACTCCGGGGTTCAAGCGATTCTCCTACCTCAGCCTCTTGAGTAGCTGGGATTACAGGCACGTGCCACCACGCCTGGCTAATTTTTGTATTTTTGGTAGAGAGGGGGTTTCACCATGTTGGCCAGGCTGGTCTCGAACTCCTGGCCTCAAGTGATCCACTTGCCTTGGCCTCCCAAAGTGCTGGAGTTACAGGTGTGAGCCACCGCGCCCAGTCAGTTTTATATTTTTTATTTTTATTTTTTATCACAAGTTTGCATAGCCTCAGTTGATACTAAAGATTCCATGAAACCTGGAATAGATCTCATAACCTAGCCTAATTCTGGGGAAGAATTCAGAGTCCTTGGGGTCCCCATTTGTTTCTTTAGGGTTTATTACATCTGGTGCAGCTTTGTGACCTGAAAACCTTTGGAGTGATTCTGAAATGGTCCTATCATTATCCAGGTTCACACTGCAGCTTGACATTTCTTTAAACAGAGTAAACCAGTGTTGGTCATTTAAGGCTGGGCTGGTCCTAAAAGAACAACTTGATATTTATTCAAATCACTGATCCAGGTGCCTTAACCCCTACCAAGGAGTCGGTCAGGTTCAGCATTTGAAGAGCTATCTGAGAGCTGGGAGAAACCCATATTGGTCTCTGGCTTAGGGTTGATCTCTGTGTGAAGAGACAGTGATAACCCCACCTGTAGAGGCATTTAAAATGTCGCTCAGACTCAAGTGAACCCTTTTCAAATGGGGACGATAACATTAAAAGAAGCAGCCTCTCCACACAAGATGACTTCCACTAAAATGTCGAGTATTTTATGAGCCTAAAAGGCTGACTGCTATTGCTGTGACCCAGGGTGGGGCCAGAGAGAGGTGGTGAATGCAGGAAGAAACCACCGTAGGAAGAGAGATGAAGAGATAAAGAAAGAGTGCTACGTGAGGAGGAGGGAGACAGAAGTTGGCAGAGAGGGAAAGAACATCCAGGACAGGCAGAAGAGAAACTACAGGGACAAGGATCTCTCCTCAGTTCCAGAAGATTCCATGGCAATAGAGGGAGGAAAGTGGCTAGGCGTGGTGGCTCACGCCTGTAATCCCAGCACTTTGGGAGGCAGAAGGGGCGGATCACCTGAGGTCAGGAGTTCGAGACCAGCCTGGGTAATATGGCGAAACTCCGTCTCTGCTAAAAATGCAAAAATTAGCCAGGCATGGTGGCTCACACTTGTAATCCCAGCTACTGGGGAGGCTGAGGCGGGAGGATCACTTGAACCCAGGAGGCCGAGGTTGCAGTGAGCCAAGACTGTGCCACCACTGCACTCCAGCCTGGGTAACAAAGTGAGACCCTGTTTCAAGAAAAAAAATAATAATAGAGGGAGGAAAGCAAAGCCCAGTGTAGCATGTCTGCCAGTCGGATGGGCTGAGACCCCCACATCAGAGACATCCTGGCTGTGTTGGCAGGCTCTTGAGGGCCTTCTTCTCGCTGGCCCACGTCATTGAAAGGTAGCGATAAGGTTATGGTACCTGCCTGGGACTCCCCTCCCTTGCTTGTCTCCTGCATCCGAGAGGACTTTTCTCTGAGCCCACAGGATCTCCGAATGGTCCTTAGCTGAGAAGCCCCCTTTAGCCGGACCCCCCTCACCCACCCGGCAGTGATGAGAAAATGGACCTGTACAAATCTCATCTAAGTAGCAGACTGCAGTCCCATGTCCAGTCATCACATTAGCCTAAAGCTACAGGGCCAGGGCAGGGGCTGGAAGACAGGGCAGCCTGTTGAATGTAGTCAAGGATAGAAGTAGGAACCGAAAATGTGCCTTAGAGCTGATGCTGGGCCGCTGGACCGCTTCCTGCGGGTGATGCAATCGCTTCTGCCACAGGTGGTGGTGGCAGTGGGAGTGTTTGCAACTGAGAGAGCTGGAATGTACCTCGCTAGGCTGCCTCAGGCTTGGCCTTCCTGTTCAGGGGGCAGCCGGGGTCAGTGTGTTATTGATGGGGGAAGGGGAGTGAATCCTGTCTGTGGGGAGGGACTGAGTGTGCCTAAAGGCAGTAGAGGTATGGGATGTTAGCACTGGCTTTCATGCCAGGGTGGCTTCAGACTGTGCTTCTGTTGCTGTGGGCCCATACTCGGAGAAGTAAACTTAGTTTTCTTAAGTGTAAAACACGGCTGATGGTAATAGGTCTATCTTGAGGTTGTTAAAGCCTGAATGAGACACTGTTTGACACAACATGTCTGGCACATAGTAAATGCTCAGCAGGTGGGAGTTGTTTTCATTACAGCCCAGGGACCTGGGCAGGATTGCGCTAAGAGGTGGGTGTCAGCCCCAAATTCTCTTTTTTTTTTTTTTTTTTTTTGAGATGGAGTTTTGCTCTTGTTGCCCAGGCTGGAGTGCAATGGCATGATCTCAGCTCACCGCAACCGCCGCCTCCCAGGTTCAAGCGATTCTCCTGCCGCAGCCACCCGAGTTGCTGGGATTATAGGCATGTGCCACCACGCCCAGCTAATTTTGTATTTTTAGTAGAAGATGGGGTTTCTCCATCTCCAGTCAGGCTGGTCTCGAACTCCCGACCTCAGGTAATCCATCCACCTCGGCCTCCCAAAGTGCTGGGATTATAGGCGTGAGCCACCATGCCCGGCCCGTCAGCCCTAAATTCTAATCCCTGCTAAGCCAGACTATTTACCCGAGTTATGCCACCTCTGAATCCATAAGGGCATATAAATGCATGTTGGAAAAGATCACCTGTGGTAGCAGAGCTGGGAGCTGAATCCAGATCTCCTGACATCTAGCCTAGAGCTCTTTCTGTTTTTTTGTTTGTTTGTTTTTGTTTTTTGTTTTTTAAGAGACAGGGTCTCACTCTGTCACTCACCCTGGAGTGCAGTGGTGCAATCGTATCCCCCAACTCCTAGGCTCAAGTGATTCTCCTGTCTCAGCCTCCCAAGTAGCTAGAACCATAGGCGTGCACCACCATGTCTAGCTAATTTTTAAATGTTTTGTAGAGAAAGGGTCTCACTATGTTGCCTAGGCTGGTCTTAAGTGATTCCCCTGGCATCAAATAATCTTCCTGGCTTGGCTTCCCAAAGTGCTGGGATAAATAGACATGAGCTACTGCACCTGGCCACACTAGCCCAGAGCTCTGTCTACTCCACCTGATAACAGGTGGGCTTTGAGAGCAGGGAAATGGGGCTTCAGACATTTCCAGATGCTTCTATGCGAGGAAAGGCAAGACCATTTGGGAGAAGGCTGTTTTTCCTTAGCTTGTTTAGTTCCAGCTCTTCTTGCTATACCCTCCTCTAATCCTCAGTGTCTCTTTGAGCATGTGTATAGGTGTGTATATGCAAGTTCATGTTTGAGAAAAAAGGGTTCTGATGTGTTCAATGATCCCCAAGGGGATTGTGTCTGTACCTCCAGCTGCTGGCGTGGAGCCTAACATATGGCAAGTGCTCAGTAAATGTCTGATAAACTCACACCTGAGGGATTGAACCCCTGTCTCATGAAGCCCCTTCCAGAGAGAGACCCTGTTCCCCTCCAGGACAGTGGGGACTAAGGAGTTGGCTGAAAAACAGCTGATCTAACTCACTTCTCAGCCCAGATCATCTTGAACACCAAGTTCAAAACCTGGGACACTTGAAGCCGGGAAGGGACTGGTCCCCAGCTCTTCTGGGTGGCAGGTTTCCTTGATAGCAATAAATCTGGCCTCAGCTAGAAATTTCTGAGATTTCCCTGCCAATCCCAAAAAGAAGTGTGTACTGTTGTAGTGATGTACATTTGACCAGGAAAAAGGCTGACATCCTGGGAGAAGTAGAGTTAAAGAAAGTGTATTTCTGTTGGATTTCTTCATTCCTTGGCAGGATAAAGCTAACTTCTTTTCCACGGGCTGCACACTGGGTTGAGGAGAGGGGAGCTGAGGATACTGCCCTGAGGGCCTGGCTCATAGTTTTTCCAGTAAATTTGTCTCCAAAGACTTAGTGAGTGACTCATGTGCCAAGCCTGGAGCAGAGCAGTCGGAGGGTATCAAGGAGTAGATGGCATCACCCTTGTCTTCTTGGAGGATCATCTCGCTGGTGAGAAGAAACTCAGTCAGATAAGCTGGGTGCAGTGGCTTGCACCTGTAATCCCAGCTACTCAAGAGGCTGAGGTGGGAGGATCGCTTGAGGTCAGGAGTTTGAAATTAGCCTGGGCAACACAGGCGGACCCCCATCTCTATTAAATAATTTTTTAAAAAGAAAAAAAAAAGAAACTAAGATAAGACCAGGCATCCTAAATGGCAAAGCCAATGTAGACAGGACATTTATCGGGAATCCCCCACTGTAGCTTTCTTCCCACTTCCTAATACAGAACTACTTGTACTTTTTAAACGTGTGAATATACATTCATTTACTCATTCAACAAATATTTACCGAGTAGTCCCCCCAAATGAAACTGAACATATGCTGTTGTCATACTTCATGGGATCTTGGACTTCACATCTTATCTTCCAAGCTTTCCCAGAGGGTAGCATGCCAGCTTTAGTCCTTAGTTTCTGTATTTCCCTTTACATCCAGGTCTCTGAATTCCCAGATGCTTTCTCTTGAGTAGAGTACCTGCTTTTTCTATTTGAATCCCTCTGAATCAGCAATTGGCAAGAAGTGAGCTCATTGACTAGGCAATCAAATTTCTTAACTTGCCCAGTTAGTAGAAGCCAATCTGTCTGTTCTGGCGCACACACACACACACACGTGCGCGCACCCCCGCCATACGTGTGTGTGCACCCGCACACACGCATACACACACACCCACGCACACGCGTGCACACACGCCCACAAACACCTACCAGCGCACACACACGTGCACACACATGCACGCACACCTACCCACGCACACACACGCGCACACACACGCATACACACATGCACACACATTCGTGCGCACAAACACACACTCTCTACAACTCAGAAGAGAGGAACTATCCTTTGCAGACAGACGGATAACAGATAAAGTCCCTTTGATAGGGCAAGTCCGGCAAGGGAAGGACACCCACGTCTTGCAGATCCCTGGTCTTTCTTACATATATGAGCTCTTCTGGAAGTAGTTAAGGGGGTCAGGCACCATGTGCTCCCCCAGCAAGACCCCAACCTTACCCATAAATCAGTTTCCCATCTAACCCCTCCCTGGGGGTTGAGTTACAAACCTCAGTAACCCCAGGGCAGCCTGCCTGGTAATTCCTATTATTCAGCTGTCAGCTGGTTTTTTAAAAACCGCCCTTTCCAGTGATCCAGTTACTGGAGTTTTAGAGCCATTTCTTGTCTCAGAGAGAAATCCTATAGCCAGGTGAGACAATGGAGAGGGCTCCTGCCCGCTTTCTACAGGAGCTGGGTTTTCTCTCTGGTTGAGAGCAGCCTCCCCTTAACTCTGTATCCCTCCAAGATTGTCAGGGAAGGCCCTCCTCCCTATCAGCCTCCGTGCTGATGCCTTTCTCTGGGGACCCTTCTCCCAGAGCCAGCATCAGTTAGCAGAGGAGAAAACAAATTGAGACAAGGTGCAGGAAGAGAATGAGAGAAAGGAAATTCTCCAAAATAGAGGTTGCTGTGACTGCACTGTGTATTTGCTCCGAGCCCAGTCAAAAGCTCAGGGTTCATCTGTTCCCAGGGTGCTGCTATTGGTCAGGGGGCTCAGAGCCCAGATCTGCAGCACAGCAGGTCCTGATACTGCTGAGTCCATGCAGTGCTGAAAGGGGGAAAAGGGCATAGAGGGAGGAGTCTGCTTTGACAGTGATGAGAGGTGGGGGTGAGGCTCCTGACCTCCCTGACCCCTTTATCCCTGACAGTCCTTCTCTGGTCCCTCTAGCTCAGAAGGCTGGGCCCCTTGCTGCTTGACCTTAGAGACTGAGAGCGCAGGAGGCAAAGCCACAGGTGTCTTTCAGAACCAGCCTGAGGGAGCAGGCTGTGAAGACCTGGGAGAGAGGTCTTAAAATAAATATCAATAGTGATGTGACCCTCCCCATATCTTGCAAACTGCCAGACCCCCTGAGATACTCCCTCCTGTTCCTCAGCCCAGTTCTGTCACAATGACGATTTTCTGAAACCTTTATAGGGCCACAGACCACTTTATGAAACTGTTGTAAGCTATGGATCCACCCCACTCACAAAAATGTTTGTGTGTACCCACAAACACAGTTTAGCCAGTTTCAGGGGTTCATAAACCCTAAAGCTCAGGACTCTGATGAGCCTGATGAGTACATAGATCCCATATCAATATCCCATTCTTGGCTGGGTGCGGTGGCTCATGCCTATAATCACAGCACTTTAGGAGGCCGAGGTGGGAGGAGTGCTCGAGGCCAGGAGTTCAAGACCAGCCTGGGCAACATAGTGAGACCCTGTCTGTACAAAAATAAAAAATTTAAAAAGTAGCTGGCTGTGGTGGTGCACACCTGCAGTCCCAGCTACTTGGGAGGCCGAGGTGGGAGGATCACTTGAGCCTGGGAGATTGAGGCTGCAATAAGCTGTGTTTGCACCACTGCACTGCAGCCTGGGAAACAGAGCAAGACCTTGTCTCAAAACAAACAAAAAGAACCCATTCTCTCAGCTTCTTTGCCTTGTGGACCCAATTTTACCATGCAGGGCTGTGATGAAGCACACAGAGCTTTAGCATCTCAGGTGGGTCAGGAGAGCTACGATGGCCCCAGCCCTCAGGGCCTGTGCTGTCCCAGAGGGCAGATTCAGAGCTGCTGTGGCCTTGAGTTTCACTCTTGAACCGAAGGAATGCTCAGGGGCACCACTGGCCAGCCTGAGACACTGGTCTGATAGGAAAGCAAATGAGAAGAGAAGGATGGAAGGAAGGAGCGGAAGGGAGTCGGTGCATTGGAAATCACGGAGGGCTGCCGGTGCCCTTCACAGAGGCTAGGTTTGGTTTCTGTATCTCCCTACATGTAGCAGGAGTGCAAGGTCACTCTGACCAGCTCAGACATGCACTTTTGGCCAAGCCTCTGGGTAAAATAATATACCTCCTTTTGGCTTAGTGCCTTTTGCTGGAAATCTATCAATTTCGGGGGACTGTGCTACTGGCTAACCTTGACTCCCCACTCTTTCCCTTTTCCCTCTTTGTCCTTTGGAGACAGTATTTTTCTATTCTAGCAACCACAGCCCTCAATATGGCTGGTTCATTCTGTTTCAGGTGACTTCTGAGGGAGCAAAGGAAAGAATGATGGGAAAAAGGTACAAGGAGACTTCAGGCTCTATTGGGCTGAAGGTCCCAGCTCCACTGAACTTAAATCTAAGTTTACAACCCAGAGAGCAGCTCGGTGGTCAGAGCACTGCTGAGCCCTACTGCCCCTGGTGGGTCAGGGTTGTTGCAGGACTGGCTCCCTCTCACTGCTCTCTGGACTCATCATTTTATCTTTCCTAAAACTCAGGCTTGGTCAAGTCACTCATCTCCAATAAAATCTTTGCTGCCTCCCCTTTATAAAATACAGATTCTTCAGTCTGGCATTCCAGGGACACCTCTGTAGTCTGACCTGAACCCACCTGCCCATGCCTACCGTTCGTAAATCTCAGTGTGCACCCAATGATCCAGTCACCAAGCCTCCCTCTGCTCCCTGCACAGGTAAGCTCTCCAGCTCAGCACTTCAGTCTGCTACCCTTAGGCCTGGGCTATTCTTTTTTATTTTATTTTATTTTTATTTTTTTGAGACGGAGTCTCATTGTCGCCCAGGCTGGAGTGCGGTGGCGCTATCTCCGCCCACTGCAACCTTCACCTCCTAGGTTCAAGCAATTCTCCTACCTCAGCCTCCCAAGTAGCTGGGATTACAGGCATGCGCCACCACGCCCGCCTGATTTTTGTATTTTTAGTAGAGACAGGGTTTCCCGTGTTGGCCAGGCTGGTCTCCAACCACTGAGCTCAAGTGAACCACCCGCCTCGGCCTCCCAAAGTGTTGGGATTACAGGCGTGAGACATGTGCATCTGGTTTTCCTTATTGAAAAATATTTCCCATTCAATTTAAAAGCTGTCTCCCTGAGGCCTTCTCCAGCCTTTGTATTCTGAATTTTTCTGCATTCCTCAATAGTCATTATCCTTGGAATGAATACAATTCCAATAACTTTTCACTATTTTCAGGGCTACCTCTCCTAGTAGACTGTAAGCTCCTTGAGGGCAGACGCCAGGTTTCTGGCACTCAGCCCAATATCTGGCACAGAGTAGGTGCTCGGTAAATGCCTGTGAAGTAGCCCATAGACTCCCTTACGCGGTCTGCAGGACATGCTGCTCTCCTGGCAGCACCAGCACAGTCTCTAAATGCTGCCATATGCGAGATATGTGTCAACCGCTCAAGCAGCCCCGGCCTTCTTGAGCGCTCCGCTTCTCAGCCAGGTGCTTATTTTGCCAGTGCCCACGCCCAGTCAAGAAGAGGACCTAAGGGCTCCCCTGGATGTGTTTGTTTCAAACACACCTTCAGCTTTGGAGCTGCAGTTTTCTTCCGACCTGCTCGGCAGGCGGGAGGGAGCTTTCCCCTGAGGCTGGGATCCCATAGGGACCCGCACCCTGCACCCTGCACCCACTGGACGCACCAGCCTCATAAAAAAACTCCCCGCCTCCTTCCCCCCTCCCTTTGTGGACGCGCAGCAATTATTCTGCCCATTGCCGTGAAAAAGAAGACAAAAGTTACTTTGGCGCCCCCTCTCCCACACCTAATACAGAGGATTCAGGGACTCTCTGGCGCTTCCAGAGCCTGTGTTAGGGACAGAATCCGCACTGGCGACGGCGCTCCGACTGCGCTTCTGGCGACGGTCGGAATTTTGCTCGGCCCCTTGCAATGTTTCCATGGGAAGGTTCGTACATTCGTGACCGTCCCTGGCAGCGGCCCAGCCCGGGACTTGGCGCTTCACTCGCCATTGGTCAGTCCTCGGCGTGACGCGCAGGGGGGCGGGGCCTCATCAGCTGTTTGCGGGATGCCCCGAGCAGGCGTATTTTGGAAACAATACCGCACCGTGCGGAGTGGCCTCCTCCCGCCCCGGCCTGTGCCCGCCGCCGCCGCCGCCCCTGCCTGCGCCTCCCGCCTCCTGCCGCAGCCCGGTGAGCGCCCGGGTGGCCGCCGGGGGCCGGGCGGAGTTGGATCGCAGCTCCTTGGGGAAGTGGGGAGCGGAGTCGCGCTGCGCACGGGGGCCCGGGAAGGGTTTGGGCTGCGGACGTCTGGGGTGACCATGAAGAACTGGGGCGCTGGGGTGAGGGAACGGGGTGCAGAACCCACAGTTGGGTGCGCTGCTCCAAGAGGGAACTTGGGGGTAGCATTTGGGACTCGAAGGAGTTGGGTCCAGGTAGGCAGGGGAACCTGGGGTGCACTGCTGAGCAGACCTGGGCGCCCGAGAACGGCCCAGCCTCTGGGTCTGACTTTGGGATAGGACAGGAGCTGTGGGGCATCCTGCCTCTCTGCGGAGTCTGAAGGCTCCTCTCCTTAACAGCTGGGCTTTTTCCCTCCTTCCCAATCGAGTCTGGGCGTCCAGCCCCCGAGTGCTCGTCACGCTGGACCCTGGCGCGGAGCCCTGGCATCACGACTCGGAGGCCGAGACTCTCTCCTGGAGTCACCCAGGTCTGGGGTGTGTGTGTGTGTGTGTGTGTGTGTGTGTGTTCCTAGTCACTGTCGAGGATCTGGGTGTCTGACTACTGCCTTCTCCTAAGAGGAGGAGGAGTCTAAGTTCAGCATCCCTCTTCCAGCCCTTAGGGGTTGGGATGGCTGCAGCGGGGCTTGAGTTCCTTTGCTAGGAATAAAGCATTCCCTGGCCCTGTTCTCAGGAAGTGCCCTCCTCCTCCCACCGCTCTGGACATCACCTCTTAAGCTCAGGAGAAAAATTTCACCCTCTCTTAGTTTACCCTTGACCTTGGCCAGCACCCCTCCAGAGGCGCCCACCTACAGGCAAGCCACCTACAGTTTGTGGAGCGTGAGAGGGGTCCCTGGGGCTTGCAGAGCCACACCTTCTGGCTGCACCTCCCCCACTGTCCAGTCCAGGCAAAGGTTGAACTTTGGGGCTTTGCTGGGAGGGGGAGGGGAAGGTGATAGGCTTCAAAGGAAAAACCAAGACAATGACTCGTGCTGGTGATTGGCTTTGAGGGCCCCTTCTTAGGTCAAGATTGCTAGCCTGAGAAGAGGAGGTTGGAGAGCTGGAGGGGAGCCCCTGCCAGGTGACTGGCGGGACAGCACTTGGTCCTTTCATCAGGAAATTTTGTTTCCTGTTGTTAATAAGCTGGAGTGCACCACCTCACCCCCCTCCCCATACACACACACACACACACACACACACACACACACACACACACTTGGGAAACACGGTCCAAAGAACACCACGTGGCTGCTTGCCATCCTAGCAGGCATCTCCTCATTCTCCAGGGAAGAGGGCACAGACAGGACCATAGACAGCTCAGGGACAGGGATGGGATGGGACGAAGGCAGGGCCCAAGCAAGCAGCTCACAGCTTGTGTTTGGCAAAGGCAGCATTCTGAATTGAACTGAGATTCTTTTAGCTACTTCACCAATCCATAGACCATTTGGCTTGTTCTTCAAAGGCAAGAGACTAGGGGACAGAACCCCCAGGAATCTCTAATTGAGTCTGACAAGAATGAAATTCATCTCTTTTTATCCTTAGCTGTTCAGGTGGTTGCTGCTTCTGGCTGCTGCAGGGGCCCTAAGCAGTTCCTGGTATGTGTAGGGAGCTGGGTTGGAAGCTTAAGATGCTGAGTAGCTCCAAGCTCAGACTTTCAAGAGCCATCAGGTGGAGCAAGAGGAACTTCTTTATCACCAAGAAACTCATATCAATAACTTCAGCAGTATAGGCAGTGAGTGAGGTCACAGGGAGAGGGCTGAATTTCACTTCCTTCTGTAAGACCAGTTGTACCAGTCTCAGGTTCAGAGCTGGCAGGAGCGGGAGGCTGTGGAATCAGGGATTTGAAGTCGTGGAGACTAGTGAGGAGACTTAGTTGGGAGAGGCTGGACCTACCCTCTAGGCCAAACTTTGGTGGGCAGACAGCTCAACTCTGCTCAAAGAGAGCCGAGACGGCAGCTGCAATGACTAGCTTGGGTCTTTATCCCCTCTCCCAGGACACATTCTTACCACACTGCAGAGCCTGTTTGTTGTGTTGTGCAAGCAAGGGGTGGAGATTAGAGTAGATGGGCAGCAGGGCGGGGCTTAGAGGTTTGGAGGGAACCTGGCTGTCCTAGGATTGCTGGCTTTTGTTTTTGCTGCTGAGCCTGGAGCTCAGCTCAGACTGAGATAAGAATTTCCTTGGGACAATGACTCTGTATGTGTGTGTGTGTGTGTGTGTGTGTGTGTGTGTGTTGTGAGCACTGTATGTATAGCCAGTCACAGCACCCTTGACAGCAACTTACAGAGGCTAGTCTTGTTTATATTTTCCCAGGTACCCTGCATGCATATAGCTGCTGATTCTACTCCTGCTATTGCTCACAACCCTCAGAGTCAAACTTTGTGACCGGCCTAGGTCAGAAAACGTGATCAAGAAAAAGGGTGGTTCCAGGCGGGCCCAGGGAAGAGGTGTGGAGAGCCCCTGAACATTCAGGCAGTCCACATTTGGGGAGTGAATGTCACCCTTAGCAGTGCTTTATTACCAGGGTTGTATGTCATCAGTATGTGGTCCGGCCAGCTCAAATAAGAAGGGGGAGTATGGTAGGAAGAAGGGAAGGGGAGTCCTTCCAGGTATGGCCCTGGTGGGGCAGCAGCCCAGATGCCTGCGTTGCCCCCTCACAGGAGAGATGGAGCCATCTCAGTGTGTGGAGGAGCTGGAGGATGATGTGTTCCAACCAGAGGATGGGGAGCCGGTGACCCAACCCGGGAGCTTGCTCTCTGCTGACCTGTTTGCCCAGAGCCTACTGGACTGCCCCCTCAGCCGACTTCAGCTCTTCCCTCTCACCCACTGCTGTGGCCCTGGCCTTCGACCCACCAGCCAGGAAGACAAAGCTACCCAGACTCTCAGCCCAGCCTCCCCCAGCCAAGGTGTCATGCTGCCTTGTGGGGTGACTGAGGAACCCCAGCGACTCTTTTATGGTGAGTGCTCTCAGCCTCAAGACTCCTCCCATAGAGACTGGGGGAAAAGAGGGGACTTTCCCTCCCCAAACCTGCCCTTTGCTGTTTCCTTCCCCCAAAGTGATCAGCGGGGCTGTTGATTCCTTGACTTCCACCTGCTGCCTCTCGGCTTGTTATTGCTCCTCACCTGTGCCTCAGACCCCCCAAAGGGCAAATTGTCCCCTCCTGGAGGGATCCTTGGGTCCATGGTATCTCCTTTTACATCTTGTGCCCCTTGAGTGGCCTGGCCTTTAGTGTCCTAGCAGTGACTTGCCTACTATAAAGTGGCTCCTGTTGCCCTGGAGAAGTCTGGGGGATCTGTGACTGGCTGTTGACAATGAAGGGAAAAACCCAGCCGGTTCTGGGAGGGAGGGTTCCCAAAGGCAGAAGGTGGCCCCCAGTTGCCACATGGGACTTTCTGTGTGTGAAAGGGGAACTGGAGAAAGAGGTTGGGCCTGCCTGGGCCCAATGCCAGGAGAGGGGATGCTTCCAAGGCTAAGACAAGACCCCTTCATTTGTGGGCTTAAATAGTTTGTTTTATGAGAAATATGCCCTCCTCTGGCAAAAGGGCAGGGTTAGACAGTCTGTTTTCTTCTATTAGCACTGCAGCTTATGGAGGGAGGGTAAAGGCTAGGAGCGTGGCTTACTGTGTCTGACGAGCTGATTGAGGAGACACTGCAGTTACTCCCAGAGGGAACTGCCCCTTAGGGCAGTTCTGGCAAAGCAGTTCTGGCGGGAGTCTGAGAAGTTGGATAAGGCGGGCAGGCGGGGAAGAGGGAAAGGAGCGAGGAGCCCGGCGGACTGGCGCCCCTAGCGGTGGTTCTAACGCGTGCACTGGGTAAGTGTGGAGCGCTGGTCTAGAGGTCTTGCCTGGGGCTGTCTCCGGAGAGCAACTTGGCAGCTCTGTGCGTCTCAGTTTTCTCTCCCTCTTTTTGTGCTGCTGCCCAGGAGCTTCGGGAGACCAGCCTTACTCTACTGCACTAAAAAAGTGAAGACACTTTTTGATTTTTTCTTGCTCTGCCTCTTACTTTGCTCAACCCAGAAACTGGAGAGCTACCTCCAGTGCTTTTCCAGAGAAGAGCTTCAACCTGCTACTACGTGAATAACCAACTGTGGTTAAGGGTAGCTTGATAAATAAGGACGGAAGGCTGGCATGTTCGCCTGCACACGTTACCACCTGCCCTTTGTCATGGCACTGTCAGTGAATGGAGAAGCGAAGAGAAGGCTGGGGCCATTCTTTCTGTTCTGCAACTTTTATGCACTTGGGCAGCAGGCTGTCCAAGCTTGGCAGAGTGCTCCAATAGAGGCAGGCTGGCTCCTATCCTTTCTCATATGAGGATTTACCCTCAGCCTCCAATCTTGGCCAGGTCAGGCAGGCGTAGGGAGGTTGGAGCAGTTGTGGAGAATGCTGAGATGTGGATCCTCTATCTTTGCAGGCAATGCTGGCTATCGGCTTCCTCTCCCTGCCAGTTTCCCAGCAGTCTTGCCCATTGGGGAGCAGCCCCCCGAAGGGCAGTGGCAACATCAAGCAGAGGTACAGATTGCCCGAAAGCTTCAGTGCATTGCAGACCAGTTCCACCGGCTTCATGTGCAGCAAGTAGGCACGGGGGTTTAGGGGAGGAGGGTTGAGTCTGCTGGGGCTTGGGGGCCAGGGCCTGCCTCTCTCCTCTTGTCAGCAACTCTGTCTCTGCCAGACCTCAAGGATATTGTCCCAGAGTTTTGGTTATGGCGGTTCCCATGGGCAGGAGGGGCCTAACTGGCTAAGCATCTTGCCCTCATCTCTGAGCTCCACATTGGTTAACTGCCCAGTCTCAATTCATGTTCCATAAGAGCCCTCTCGGGAGAGGCTACAGTCTGGGAATAGGATGGCTTTCTGCAGCTCTGCTTGACAACCTGTCTCTTCTTATGGCCGTGGCTGAGGGGTTGCCCCTCACGGACCTAAGAGGAAGATTTTCCGGGTGCTGCAATGAAACTGGGCAGTTGGGGGGTGCCTGGCTAAGGTACAGTGGGAAACGGGTAACCAGGCCAAGGGATGGGGCCTGAGTTGGGGAAAGTGGTGGAACCGGTTGAAACCTGACACTTTCCAGCTGGGGAGGCCGCTCCTCACTGTCTCTGTCTGGGAACCAGGGTCTGGGACTCCGGAGAGTGTACCTCGGAGAGGCTCCCCAGACCGGCGGCCAGCCGGGCGCTCAGCCGGGCGCTTGGCCGGCAGCCTGGCACCAGCCCCGCCAGGGCGGGGCATCACGTGTCAGCCGAGCATGTGGCAGAGTCCATCAACAAAGGCGGCGGCTGGCAGGCTCGTGCTGGAGGAGCCCTCTGTGCCATGGCCTGGAGGCTGCCTTCCCTGTTCCAGCAGCCGCTGTCTGGGCTGGGTCCCCAGGCACTTAACCCTTCCTCTTCGGGCTGGCTTTCTGGATGGCTGCCAAGGCTGGGAGAGGAGCCTGAGGCTGCATCCGTGCTGGTACAGCCACAGCTGAAGCACAGGCATGCCACCTGGAAGCGAACACATTCTGTACTTCTGGGACTGTGTCCCCAGCCCAGCTGGCTCTGAATGTGTGTTTGTGTGTCTGACTGCGAGGAAATCAAGGGAATAAATAGCTTGACCATGACTGGGCAGACTCCGAGGTTAGAAGGGTAGCTTCAGGTGGTCGGAGGAGAGCTATTGGTAGGTTGACTTAAGGGTCAAACCATTACCAGTGCCAGGGGAAGAGGAATTGACCTTGGCTTTCCTAAGAACAGGACATTGCGGGTTACATATGGTTAGTGCCCTCTGCCAAGGAGTTCTAAGGACAGTTTGGGGCCAGGTCTGGGCCTGGTAAGTCCTCCCAGTCCCTTAGTGATCAGGAAGGGAGGGTGGCCCTATGCTTAGATAATAGATCTAAGCTCCAGTTCTTACTCTCTCCTTTGATTATTTGGTGGAAACTTGGCTTCGAGTTTCCCCTTCAGTCCATGTGTGGACTCACTCTGATTCTTGTTTTCAGTTTCTTGGCCTCCTTCCTGCCCATTCACTCCACCGTGGTTGTACAGGCCTACGGCTGAGCCCAGCTCACAGCTTCCAGTCCTGGTACTGGAGAGGATGGGAGGACACAGTGGCTGTGGCTCTTTTAGACTCATCTAGCGGGCTCCGTGGAAGGCAGCTTGCTTCATTTGCAATAATCTGATCTCTTTCACCAGTTATTCCCCAGAATATTCCCCCATCCACTGGTGAGCCTCTATAGGCTTGGGAATAGGCCGGGAGCCCTCCCTGGCACAGGACTAGGATACAGTCCTGGGGGCCCTCCTAACTTGGTCCTGAACAGGAGGAGGAGGAGGCCCTTATCCCAAGGTCTGGCCCTGATTTTTTTTTTTTTTTTTTTTTTTGGCTCTTTCGCCCAGGCTGGAGTGCAGTGGCATGATCTCGGCTCACTGCAACCTCTGCCTCCCCAGTTCAAGCGATTCTCCTGCCTCAGCCTCCCGAGTAGCTGGGATTATAGGCACGCACCACCACACCTGGCTAATTTTTGTACTTTTAGTGGAGACGGGGTTTCGCCATGTCAGCCAGGCTGGTCTCGAACTCCTGACCTCAGATGATCCACCTGCCTCGGCCTCCCAAAGTGCTGGGACTACAGGCGTGAGCCACTGCGCCTGCCTTGCCCTGCTTTTTGCTGGTTGGCATCACTTCTCCCAGTTCAGAGCTGCCTCTTTGCATGCACAGGTTAGTTTTAGACAAGGTGTTGTGCTTTTAGCCAGAGCCACCCAAGCTGGGGAGAAGGAAAGTGGAGGTGCAAGGCATGAGAGTCTCCTCTGCCTTGCACCTTACTCCACACTGGCTCCCAGGTTTCCTGTACCCCTACCCTCCTGCCATCTACCTACTTCTTACTTACAAGGGTAGGAGGCTGACCAGTGAGCCTTTTCTAGCTCAAAGAGCTGGTTTTCCCAAATTTTCCAGTACAAAGAGCCAGGGTTTTGTCTTCTCCTTAAACAGTTCTCCCCAGAGTCTTCTTGCTTTTAACCCCCTCCTCCCCACTGACCCTACTTATAGACCTTCACCAGGAACTCATCCTGCAGGAAGGGCTAAGGTGATGGCTTCAGGCAGGTGGAACACTGGTACTCCTGGAACGTTTCAGCAGCTGGTTTTGAGAAGTGAGTCATTTTCTAAGCTTGATTCTTATATAAACTACAGTCTAAGATTTCATATCTAGAAAGTACTGTTGTCACTCCTCCATTCTTATCCTTTATCTTCTTTCCCTATTCCCTTCCCTCATTTTTGCAGGCAGAGAAACTGAGGCAGTGGGAAGGAGGTTATTTAGGATTTAGTTTCTAGGCTTTGGGTTCAGAGTCAGAAAGCCCAGGTTTGAATACCAGCTCTGCCATCTACTAGTTTTCAGGAAGTCACTTGACTTCACTGAGCCTATTTCCTCTTCTATGAATTAGTGCTAATACCACAGAATTTTACTGTGATAATTAAGTGAGAAAATACCTATGAGAGTTTGGGACACACAGTAGATGTTCTTTAATGCCTGTTTCCTTCTTTCTGTTTATGATCCTGATCACCCCCGACGTTTGTTCTTGTTGGTTCACAATTCATTTCCCACTCCACCTGGCAGGGGACTCCCTGAGCAGAGCTGCCTCCCCTGAACTTCCCTCCACCTGCCTGGTCCAGAGGAATTAGTGTCCAGACTGATCATCTGTGGACCTTGGCCTTATCGATTTCTCTTCAGGGAATGATAGTCATTCCCCATCATTGCGGGCTGGATTTAGAGAGCCAAGAAAAGCAACCCTAGAGGCAGATGGGACTTGAGGAGGCCTGACCGTCACCTTTCCCCTACATCTGGGATAGTGTCCTGGGGCTAGACAGTGGCCACTGGTCCATAGTCCTGTGGAGAGTGTGCACTCCCCCTTTTTGTCCCTGGTTACAGACCTGAGTTACTCGTTTTTTTGCACCAGAACGACCTTCTCCCTTGGAGGTATGGAGCAGAGGGAGGGGGCGTGCTGATGCCATGAAATCCCAATTGAGTGTATCGACCTGGCTCCAGATGCAACAGGTTCCAAGTTTCCCTGGGTGTCGTTTTACGTGGGCCATCTGCACTTTCAGCGCATTTCCCAAGAGCCTTGCTAGGTGGAGGACTAGCCTGGTCACCCGAGTTACCAGTTCAGGGTGACTCTTCCAGATCCACAGGCAAAAAACCGGAGGCAGAAGATCAGAGTTAGCAGGGTGCTCCGCCTCAGCTCTTTGTGTCTCCAAAGCAGCAAGAGAGTTGGAGGCAGAGTGAGTGGAGGTAAAAACCTTTCAGAACCTCACCACACATCCCACCTTCCTTTGGCCGGGGCAGGAGTGAAGGTTCCCCTGTTTGCTCCTCTGTGAGCTGACAAACTGTGGCAGGGACCCCCGATGGTCTGCTGATAATGACTTATCTTGAGGGTGGTGCTGTGGTGCTTCTGTGTCCAGCTTCTGCATGGAAGAGCATGGTGCAGATGTACTTCCTCCCTGAGCCCCTGGGCTGCCCTGGCCAGAAGGTCTGAGCCCCAGCTTTCCTGTCCTTGTGCCATGGCCTCATTCAGCACGAGCCTAAGGAGGGGCAGGAAGTGGTATCCCCTCCCCTTGGGAGAGTCTTCTGTCCCAGTGGCCCATCATGACATTTGGGGGTATTTCTGGGCAATGTTAAGAAGCCAAGAATCCTCAAAAACAGTAGTTACTGTAAACAGTCGAGTGAGTAAAGCTACAGGAGGGTTGGAATTCTTCATGTTGGAAATGGCTTTTTCACTTGGACCAGGAGTGGCTCCATTCAGAAAAGCCGGGTTTGGAAATCTCTGAATAGTAATTAGACTTTTTGGCAAATGAAATCTGAGAAAACTTTCAGCCACTCAGTTGAAACCATCTTTAGCTGTAATATCACAAAAAGGATCCTAGACTTGTAGGCAGATCTGTTAAAATCCCAGCTCTGCCACTTATAAGTTATGTGTTCGTGGGCAAATCATGTAATCTCTCCAAGCCTTTTTTTTTTTTTTTTTTTTTTGGTGAGACAGCGTTTCGTTCTTCTTGCCAAGCTGGAGTACAGTGGTGCGATCTCGGCTCACTGCAACCTCTGCCTCCGGGTTCAAGTGATTGTCCTGCCTCAGCCTCCTGAGTAGCTGGAATTACAGGCATGCACCACCATGCCTGGCTAATTTTTGTATTTTTAGTAGAGACGGGGTTTCTCCATGTCGGTCAGGCTTGTCTTGAACTCGCGACCTCAGGCGATCCGCCCATCTCGGCCTCCCAAAGTGCTGGGATTACAGGTGTGAGCCACTGCACCCGGCTTAGTCTTGGTTTCTAATACTTACCTTGCCTAGTTGATGTGAAGGGCCTTTAGGAGTTGTGATACAAATAACTATTAAGTCAGGGACAGTTGAGTACTTTTAGAAATATGTTAAAAGATGACTTTAGGATTTTGCTTGGACCTGACTTTGTAATTTGGGGAGCTCTTTTGGAAGTTGTACCCGAGTTGGTGTTTGCATGGTTTATTAACTAGCAGCTTCTCTGCCTAGCAGACTGGATCCTTTGTTCAGGGAGCCCCTGATTGCTTCCTGACACTTTGGGATTCTCTAGTTATTAGTGAGTGGTTTTCTGGAACTTAAGCTGGCTAACTAGGTTGCTCAGCGTCTAGATGGGACAGCCCCGGGCAGGGGCCCCAGAGGTTTGCTATAGAGTGAGATGGGTCCCTAGGAAGCCAGCCTCTGTCCCAGGAGTGGGAGGCCCACCTAGGACAGTGCCAGGGGAAGAATGAGGCTGGGGGAGGGACTGCGGAGAGCCAGAGTGCGTGAGAGCCAGCGCCGGGGCTGGGGGCCCTGTGTTTGCTCTGTGGCTGGCTCTGTTTATATCGCTCGCTATATTTAGCTTCTGAGTCATCAGCGTGGCAGACTAGAGGCTGAGTTCCCCACACACTCTGCACCTGACTGCTCTCTCTTCCAGGAGAAGGGCCTTGTAGTTCCGGAGAGTTCATTCCCTCCCCACCAAGGCCTGCCATGGGATGGAAATTGGCTTTTTTTTTTGGAAAGTGGGTGATGGGAGGAGGGGACTAAGGGAGACACAAAGAAAGAAGGTTAAAGAAAAATGACTGGTTTGCCTTTTGATCCATGTCTGGCAGCCAAGAGGTCATGTTCCATGACCAGAGCACACAATCAGTCCGTGTGTGAAGGGGAGGGTTCCATCCTTCCTCCTTGCCTGGTTTGCCTTGACCTGGTCCTGGACAGGACATGAACAGTCAGCTGAAAAGACCCCAAGTCGAGTGTCAGAACCTGGGGTTATTTTGCATAGCATAATACACACAACAGGCTTGTCCCCCGAACCCCCTCCCTCTCCCTTCTTTAACCAGGGCACACACCATTGTGCCCTTCTGAGCTCTGAAGAAGTTGCCCAGTAGTTTGATGGAGCTGTTCTCAGCTTGAAGGAAACTGAGTAAGGGTCTCAGTAGTTCCTCCCTCCAGGCTGTGGAGGTGCAAAACAAGGGTCTGGGGACATGGATGGTGCAGCACAGCTCTGTCCCCGAACCGTACCCCTCAACCCCCAGTGGCTGGAGCCAGTGTCTTCCAGTTGCGTTAGAGGAAGCCTTGCCATCTTCCACTGAGAGCTGGCTGGCTTCGGACTGCTCTTTTTTCCTTAGAGAAGCAATGGGCGTGGCCATGGTGGCTTCAATGTCCTGTTAACACTGCTGGCTGGGCTGAGGAAGCTCTTGGCAAGGAGTCTTTTTTTTCCTTTTCCGTTTTGCCACGTTGCTCGTTCCTCGGGCCTCTGGGTCAGAAGCAGTCTGAGGCAGTGGGCCCACTGGGTCCAAGGGGTTGCCCTCTGGGTTTCAGAATCCTTGGCTTACCCTGGCAGCCTAGAATCCTGAGCCCCATGGCCTGTGGCTGCTGTGGGCAGTCTCAAAGCAGAAAGTCAGGGATCTCCCAGGGATTTCGTGAGTCTGCCGGGAAGATGGTGCTCCCCAGGCCGGCCCTGTTGCAGAGCATATTGAGAGACGTGCTCTGCAAAGCCAGTGAGTCCCAGGTTTTCCTTGTGCTCCCCAGGGAAGGAGGAGCCTGCTCCTTGCAGCCCCCAGGCCCAGTGCTTCATGTATATTTTTCTTACGTAATCACCACAGCAACCTTGGACTTTTAGACTCCATTGCCACTGTGTTATAGGAAACTGAGGCTCAGAGAAGTGAGGTAACATGTCCAAGTCACACCGTAATTTGCTGAGCTAGGCGTCATACAGATTTGATGGATTCTGGAACCATGGTCCAATCGCCCCATACCTGCTGCCCAGCAATCACATTCCGGAAAACAAGGGTACAAGGAAGCACACATTTGCTGCCCCAACCCGCTCTGCCTCATGTGATACTCAGCTAGGTGCTCTTGCTCTTCTCCCCATTATATTGTAAAACAATTGAGAACCAAGTTTATAATATTTTAATCATCTTTGTATCCACATAACTCTTAGCTCAGTTGGGTGCTTAGTAGCTCAGTTGGGTGCTTGGTAGCTCAGTTAGGTGCTTGGTAGCTCAGTTGGGTGCTTGGTAGCTCAGGTGTTTGGTAGCTCAGTTAGGTGCTTGGTAGCTCAGTTGGGTGCTTGGTAGCTCAGTTGGGTGCTTGGTAGCTCAGTTGGGTGCTTGATAGCTCAGTTGGGTGCTTCATTAAAATGTCCTTATTTCAACAGAAAACATCTTCCTAGCTTCCTTCAAGCAGGAATTTTCCTGCTCTCAATGTTCCTGTTCTTAATTGCAAGGCTCTTTCTTTCAGCCTTGGCCTGAGTAGGTTTAGAGAATGACAGGGAAAAGGGAAGAGGGAGGAAAACTTCACATCGTGGACTGTGCACCTTCCCCTAGAGTATAGACAATTCTGCATTTTGAAGAGATTGAGTGTGGTTTCAGATCACAGTCTGAAGTTATAATTTCAGACCAGTTTTAGCTTTATTTCTGTTTGATCTTCAGTTAGCTCTGCCTCTGAAAGGGTTATTTTTTTCTGGTCCACAGCGTCCTTACTAAATAGTTAATGATCTGGAAACAATGTCTTTAAGCATACTAGGGGAGCAGATCAGTGGTGATTTGCTTTGAAAAAGGTAATGCTATTTTCATAATGTCAATAAACACACTGTAAAATTTTAGTGAAGGAACATAGCTTTGGAGTCAGAAGTCAGGGCCTCAAATTACACCCCTCCCAACTAACTTGGGATGACTTTTCTGAGCCATTGTTTCCGTCGCTCTAAAATGGGTTGATTAATACCTGCTCTTCCTATCGTGAGGATCACATGAGAAGAAAGGAAAGTGCTCTGTTCTGTATCTGAGATATTATAAGTTGCTCTCTGTTTGGTAAATTTGCATTTTGTGAGTTAGGTTCTTTTAGAGCTGCACACGGCTTCGCTTTGCTTCTTCCTCTGATACTTTGGGGTGAATTAGCTCTAGCTGGAGCATCTGGAACACTGGTGACACACAGAGCCCCCAGAGGGTATGAATTGGATCTGAAAAGGGGAGAGGCAGAGGGAGATTCTTATCCAGGGAGCGTAGGGAACACGCTTTGTGCTTAGGGCAGAGGCTGTGTGGGATGAAACAGAGTTTGATTTATGTAATCCAACCTTGTCAGACACCACAGCCAGCTCTTTAGAGAAAAAAAAAAAAAAAAAAAAAAAAGGAGGCCTTTTACTAGTTGGGCCTCTCCCCAGGTGTGAGGCTGATACTATCACATAAAGTACATCTTTAGACCTGGCCAGACATCAGTTGTTCCTGGCCTCAGACAAGTGGGTTATCTTTCAGGGCTGACTCCTCTGTAGTCGGTCCAGCATGCCCTTGTTGAGTGCCTACTGTATGCCTTCCATGTTCCCCATTACACAGGATGAGCAGCTGTGCATTCAGGCATAGGGTGTTGCACACAGTAGGGATTGAAACATTTGTCAGCTGACTGCCTTCATCCCCTGTCCGTGGCAAGAAAATGAGGCTGGGCCAAAGAAGCCGCATGGGGCTCTGATGCCTGCTTGTGCTCTCTTCATTGAAGAGAACACCGTGATCTACCATGTTAGGGCACCTTCCCTGGGGGCATTCACCTCTATTCATTCCCTCCATTCCTTGGCCCTGCCTTCTAAACCATGTGAGTCCGAGGGCTCTAGGGTGAGCTTCCCCTCCTCTGTATCCCAGCCCCGACCCTTGGGTCACCCTGACTGTGTATTCTGGGAACTCCCATTCTGTGAGGGGTTCCCTAGCTGAGTCTAGGAGGGCAGGCCTGGTTCTGGGGATCTGCCCTTGTTGATCTCAGATTGTGCGCTGGGTGCTGTGCCGGGTGCCTGAGGGTCAGAGGCCAAGTACACTCATTCCTGGTTCCCCTCTCTTCCCCTTCTCCTCCACACCCTCTTGTGGAAGATCCCACGTTCTCTGGTGTTTTGGTATCTTTGTGTTCTTCATCCTGTTCAGTGAAGGCCAACTTCCTTCCTCCTCACTGTTTCTCCCACTGGCCTCCCTTCAAGTCTTTTTTCTTTCCTTTCTAGTCAGGCCCTTTTGTTAAACTTTTAGGAAAAATTTTATTTATTGTTGTATTTTGTAATCAGGGCATTCTTTGATTATCTTGGTTTCCTCATGGAAAAGGGTCTTGTGAGGGCTGCCCTGAGGCGGGAGAAGGCCAAAGGGAGCCTGTGTGGTATCTGCTTGTAGCCAGAGAGGGCTCATGGGCCCATGGGTGGTTCCCAGGCCCTACACTCAGCTGACAGAATTCAGTTGTTGGAGCTCTGAGTTGTAATCCTGAAGGTAGTCGTGGATGACAAACTCCTTAGGGTTGGAGAGCACCTTTGTGGTTTCCAAAAGGCTGTGGCCTGGCTGCCACAGAACCACCTGGGCAGGATTGACCTCTGGCTTGGCCAGTGGGGTAAGACATTACTTTGGTGGAAAGAGATCGAAAGGGACTGAAGAAAACACCAACACGTGAAGTGTTTTCTAGCCTGGAGGATCATGAGTGACTTTATTTCCTCCTCTGTAATGTCTTGTATTTTCCAATATTTCTACAATTAACATGTATTGCTTTTATGATTAAAATATACAATAAATGATTTCTGATCTCTAAAATGTCACCAAGGGAGCTTGTTCAGTATACAGATTCCTGGGACCCTTCCTTGAAATTCTGACCCAGTGGGTCTGGGAGAGGCCTGGAGACTCTATACTTACAAGAGCACCTCAGCTGGCTTAGTGACACAGTTGGGTTTAGAAACCATTGATCTAGTACAATACCTGCATTTTCCTTATAAGCCAAGAGAGAACTCATGAGCAGGTTGATGGGAGATCCAACCCGAAAGCCAGGTCCTCTGATTCCTGGTCCCTGGGGATCCATGCACCATAGAGCCTTCCTTACCAATTCATGAGCCTTAAGGACTGTCACACGCAGAGGCATGGAAACTAGTTCCTTCCCAAGGGCCGGCCCATGTATCCTGCCTCCTGCACCTAGGCCTGCCTGGGTCCCCTGCAAGACCTCAGCCTTCCTGTCTGAAAGCACTCTCTGGCCCACAGCTGCTTCTGAGTCCCCCAACGCTCCCAGATGATGGGAGTCTGTGCCTCATCTTCAGAGATCTCAAGTTGCCCAGGGAGTAGGTGGCCTCCATTAGTGGAATTTGGGAGAAAACTGAGGCATACAGAGATGAGAATTGCCTCAGCCCCAAATCATAGAATTCTCATCTGCTTTCCTTGGCCATTGAGCTGTTTTGAGATGATTTAGTAAAGGGGAGGCTAGAGGGTCTGCTTTGGTATAAAGAAAGGTAGTGGCACTCTGAGCACAGAGATAATGGGAAGGGACATAGCTCTAGGGCCAGATGGTCTAGGTTCAGTCCAGTCCCTGCCACTTAAACTAGCTATGTGGTCGCTAAGTAATGGGCATGATAATGTGCCTCAAAATCACCTGGGGAATCTTCTGATGCTGGGTCTGCATTTCCAGGCAGCTCTCTGATGATGCTGAGGCTGCTAGTCCATGGACCACCCTTTGAGAAGCAAGGATGCAGAACACACAGAACAGAGCCTGGCACCTCCCCACCCCCGACTGCCACCCTAACCCCACGTTACTATTATGAGGTGATGATTGTTCTTGCCACCGGTCTTCTCAGACAAGCACCTCAGGAGAACTGGAATTCCAGCAGACTGGCCTCTCCAGGGATGAGTCTGCTCCTGGATTCTCCTCTTGTTCGGCCACATGACCTCTGCACCTGTCTCGGTCAGCAGCTGGGGAGGGGAGGAGAGGGGGTCTTTGGCCCAGCTGCTGCAGGCCGGAGGCTTCGGGTTTGCAGCTGAGTCCATTTTCACGCTGTTTTACTCTAACCAGATTTTGTTAAGCCGGGTGTGTTTCCTCTTTTTACTCATCTTTGTTTACAAAACACGAGGAAGCCATCCATCTCCCCACCCTCTGTCTGCCAGGCCTCTTCTGTGGCACGCCCGATTTCCCTTCCCCTCCGGGCAGGAGCTGCGCCTCCAGCTTGCCGGGTTGTTTTCCAGGCTCTTCCACGGGGGAAGGAGGAATGCTGTTGCCATGATGGACGGGGGCATTCCGTGTTCACCTGGGTTGTCAGGCCCTGAGGCCAGCTGCCTGGATGCCTCTCTTTTTGTGGCCTAGGGCAGCGTGAAGGGGAAGCCAGCAACCTGCATGGTGGCCCTGGGAAAGGTCAGGGAGGCCAGGGCTGGACAGAACCTGGAAGCTCTGGGAGTCCAGGCAACCTGGGCCCCCTTTCCAGCTGTGCCGCTGGCTTCCTCTCTCCTCTTCCCATCTGACCAGGAGTAGTTGCCTGGTGGGGGCTGGTGCTGTGGTTAAAGACAGTTTAAGAGAAGGCTTGGACACCTCATGTAAACTTGCTTGCTGACGGGGCCACTGAAGTAATCCAAGTCCAGCCCGTGCTGGCTCCTTTCTGCACACTAGGTTTTTATTCCCCTGTCCAGTGAGAACCCTGTGGAGAGGCCCCCGCCCAGTCCTCCTGCCCTGGCAGACAAAGAGAGAACAAAGACCGCCTCTTCCAGCACCCCCCAGTTTCCACCCCCCCAGGCCTCTCCTGGGAAATGGTACCTGTGTGGGCAGGGCACCAGCCCCAATCTGGTGAGCCACTGACCCCTGAACTTTGCCCCTAGCTTCCCAGCCTGACAGTAGGACCTGGGATAACCTCCAGAGCATAGTATATATTCTTTGTTTTTGTTTTGTTTTCAAGTATGTTCTTGCTTAATGTTTAATTGGCTCCAGTCAGTAGGAGAGCGCTCCAAGAGGGATTATTTATGGCTTACTGTCAAGAGCATCTATAAAAAGGGCAGCACCGAGCTGGAGATGCTGGGGAGGGAGAGCGGGCGGGCGCACAAGGGTGTGTGTGTGTGTGTGTGTGTGAGTCTGTGTGTGTGCGTGTTTGCACTGGATGAAATCAGATTTTTGCTGCCTCAGCAGTGTGGTTTAAATTGAAGATTAACCCTTTGACCTTCACAGTGTCAAATCACTTGCAGATGGAGGCCCCCCCTTTCCCCTTGTTCTCTGTGTTACTTTGGAGTCGGGGGAGAGAGGGGGGCACTTCTTCTCTTTCTGAAGCCAGTTTGTTGTTCATGCAGCTGAGGTTTGAGGGGCTCGGGAGCCAATCTGATTAAAAGCAGCACTTGGCTAAACTCTGGAAAATCCTGCAAGCAGGGGAAAAAGCTTAATCCTCTTGTGCATAGTGCATATAGAGCCTAGTCTTTTCTTTTTAATGTTAAAACTGCAATTGTTTTTGGAGAACTCAACTCTCTCCTCCACATGGCAGTGTCTCTTTCACCTCCCCCTCCTCCCCGCTGTGAGCTGTACTGATAGGATTAAAGTGCCAGCCGTGAGACTTGGAGATCTGAACTTTTACTGGAAATGAGAGGGAGTCGTCTAAGATTGCGTTTGGGAGTTATGTTGGTCTTTTTTTTTTTTCTCCCTTCAGCACCAGCAGAACCAAAATCGTGTGTGGTGGCAGATCCTCCTCTTCCTGCACAACCTTGCTTTGAATGGAGAAGAGAACAGGAACGGGGCAGGCCCTAGGTGAGGGTGGGCTGCCCTCTTCACATGGGGCACCAGGAACACCGTCTGGAACAGGAAGGACATCGGGCAGGACTGACACTGTGTCTTGTGAAATTGTTTTTTTGTTGTTATTTTGTGTTTTAATTTTTTTTAATTTCTCTCTGAGTGTACATACAACATACTCAAGCGGGACCTTCTTTCTCTGTCAGGCCCTTGACCTGGAATGGGGGCCTTTGTCAAACACTGTTGAAGGAGAGGCTGATGTGTCTGTGATGGTGAGAATTCCCAAGGGCTCTGACAAGTAGATTCTTCGACTGAGGAATCTACCAGTTGTCGAAGATGATCCGTTAGTGATGTTCTCTGGGAAGTGGACTGTGGTTTTTCCAGAGGAACTCAGTTAAGAAATCGAGAGTGGATTAGACTCCCAGTTCCACCAAACCTATGAGCCTTCCACTGTGGATGGGGGCCGTGATCCTGATGGTCACATTGCTTTAACCCAGCAGGGCTTCGGCCAGGGGCTTTCCACTTGAGGATAGCAGCTTCACTAGGCTGGCCGGCCAGCTCCACATCTGACTGGGTTCTTACTTCTCAGCCAGTACCTGCCCCATGGGCTCAAGGATTCCTGGCCAGCTCCTGCCACCTCCAGCAGACCTCAGGGAGGGTTGAGTTTCTCTAAGGACCCCTCAAACATGTCGCAAAATGAACCAAACTTCTGGCTAGGCCTCAAAACTGACTTGGTCCCACTTGGAGGCCCCAGGATTGGTCCTGAGGTACAGAGCCACTGCCACCACTGGCGGCCTGGGACCAGCTGGGTGTCAGCCACGGATGAGCCGAATAGCCAGTCAGCATGTTGCTGCTGGCAGCCTGTGCCTTTGTCAGCTCTTCTTTCAAAAGACCCCACCGACAGACCGCATTCCACCCCCAACATCGGCACTGAGGGACATCGGGGGCAAGTTTGCAGTGGGGCCGGAAAATATGGTGGCCACCCTACCATGAGAGTCAGCCGTAGGGGACCCCAGACCCCTTGGTTTCCTTGGAAACAACATACCTCTTCCCCCTTATCCCCAGTCCTTTTTCATACCTAGTGGGATACAGAAGAAGCCAGGACAGTGGCTTTGCCAGCTAAGTGACTTTTAGAGTAACAGATAACGATTAGAGTGGGGAACCGTCAAAGCTGGGTACACATTTCCTATCTTCCTCCAGCTTCCAGCTAGGCCAGAAGGGCATGCTCTGGAACCCAGCAGGATCACAGCTGCCTGTGCACGTCTTCCCTTCTCTCCCTGCTGCGGCACTTATGGAGAGGATCTAAAGCAGCCGGTGTGGCAGCTCCGATAGCAGGCACAGGGAATCTGTTAACCAGACGCTAGAAACTAAATTATAACTTTTGCATATGTGAGAAAAGACAACATTGGTGCTAACAGTGAAGTAAGGCCCAAAGGAAAGACGGCTTCCCTGGACAAAGAAGACCTCAGGGCTACCCAAGGAAATAGGAGGAGTCTAGAGTAGACTCACAAATCTGAACAAGCCCAAGTCTTCCAGTTCTGAGGAGAGGAGGTCTTCAGTACTATTGAAGGAGACATTGATCTTCTGGATGTACAGTTGTGCAGGTTGTTCACTGCACAAGGGCACCTGCAGCTAATGGAGGCTGGAATTCAGCTTGTGTTCTGCTCACTAAGCTGTGTGCGTGCCCTGGTGTGGGGCTACTTCTCCCAAGAAGAAGGGGTGCCTTTCCTAATTTGCAAAGGTGCCATATGGGCTCACAGCACCCTGGAGGAGAAGGGCCTCAAACTGTGCATGTAAGCCTTTGTTTTGTTCTGCTCAGATATTCTGGATATTACCTCTTCTTGGTCAGAATTCTATTCTCAGGGTGTGTACCATGATTTGTCTGCTAAGAAGACGGGTTCCTGCTTTGCAGAGAAGGAGCCGGGGACCAGCTTGAAGACTGGCTCTGGGACACACTGACCATTGTGAAATTCAGCCTTCCCTGTGGGTCTCCATACCATTTTATGATGTGTATGGGACATACGTTGTTCTCCCCTCTCTGGATCAAGGTGGTGACAGGCAGCCTGCTGCCGTATGCTTCAGTGGCACACACCAAAAAACCGGGATTATTTACAGCAGCCACTATTCACCCCTTTTGGCAGACTCTCCACCTGAGTTCAGTGAGAGAGAAAATGATTTAGATCTTGGTGCTGGGGCAAGGCCATCAGCTTCAGAGACCTTGCCAGGCCCAGGCTGGGTGCCCTGTGGCCTGAGAACTGAGCCCAGACTTTGACAAACCCACCTCAACATCAAGCCTGGGGCAGGTGGAAGGTGGTCTGACTGCACTGTCTCCATCTTATGCAAAGCCAGGAACTCACTCACTGTCTTAAGTGAGCCAGGGCAAAATTTACACCCCTCACGTTTCCCTCTCCCTTCTTCCCCACCAACAAAACCCAGGAGGTAGCTGGCAGAGTAGCTGTCAGGAAGGAGAAAGGTTCTTTCTGGCTGGTTGTTTTTAATTGGCTTAGTGATCTAAACTGGCCCCTTCCTCCTCTGCCTGGTGAGTTGGCCTAAACATTCCTCAAGTCTAGCCTCAGGAGACCTGCCCCTCCCCCCCGACCTCCACCCCCTCAGACTCCATCCCCCACCCCCAGGAGCCTGGCTGTCTCTAGCGAGGGGTGGAGAATCAGATTTAGAGGGAGGGAGAGTCTGACCTGGATCCTGACCTGTAACCAGCTGAAGACGGTGGAGGCTTTGTGGCTTGCTGAGGGTGGGGGTTGGGAGAGGGACTGGAAACCTTCCTCCTCGGGAAAGAAATGCCTGGGAGGAAGGGAAGCCTGATATTCAGGGTCAAAACAGCCCTTCTAATTCACAACCCCAAAGCAGGGGTTTCTAGAAGTTGGTCAACAGATCTGGTGAGGGAAGTCCCCAGGCCAGACGCTGGACTCCTGCAATGAGGGTGGAGGACTCAGCCTGGCCTCTGCCTGGCCTGTTTCAAAGTCTGGGCCACTGGCAGCCTTCTCTTGCTCAATCCGAGGTGGAAAAAGATCACCTCCCAGTGACCTCCCTCAGCCCCCAGGGGAGTAGGTCTGTGTCCAAAGCTATGTGGCAGGCTTGTTTGAAGGACCCAGAGGGGCCCAGCTGACCTGTCTCACTGCTCCTGGCAGCCCAGCCCCATCGGCAGGTGGCCCCTGCCTGGGGGTTATTCGGGATGGTTCAGCCAGGGCCTCCCAGGAAGAGTGCTGTGGAGCCACGGTGACTGTCCTGGACAGCAAGGAGCATGCTACCCCAGTGAGCACTTCTTTTTGAGGGACTTGATGGGGAGGTGGGGTAGGCAGAAGGGACGTGGCAGAAGCGGGAAGACTTTGGTCACCATGGCTCTGCAGGCCTTCTGCAAATCAGTGCTGGCCTGGGCTGGAAACAGCTCTGTGTGTGAAGGTGAGGACTCTTGGAAGCAGGCCATCCTGGCCAGACACCCTAGCAGGAAGGGGCTCACCTGTCACCCTTAGGCAGCCTGAGGGCTGGTGGGGACTTTTGAGTCTTGAGGGGATAGCGGAAAAAGCTGAGCTCATAGGTGCCCAGCCAGCCTCCCAGCTAAAGGTGCTCAGAGCCCCACTGCCCCCTCTCTCTGTGCAGGTGGCCAGTGCCCCTCCCTGCTCTGGGAGCATTGCTAGCCTTCTACCCCATCCCTGGATCCACAGGGGCTATCGAGGAGACCCAGTGAGAATGTAGCATTTTGTTCATCCCCAGGGTAGCTGCCCTGGGGTCTGGGCACTCTGCCTCTGGGAGAGAGGAAGAAGAAAGGGGCCCCATTTTTTAAAAAACTGTACAGAGCCTTTGGCTTTATGTGTTTATGTTCTTCACATGCATATGTGTGTATGTGTGTATATCTTTCCCCCCATCAATTGGTACAATTTTTAATAAAATCATTTAAAGCAAATCTGGTCTTTTATTTTTCAAGGTGTGGTAAAAATGCAAGGAGATCAGTTAGGAAATTAAAGCCTTCTAGCTTTCTCAGCTGCCAGCTTGAGTGACCTGAAGGCGCTCAGCTTTCGCCGTGATTTCCTTTCCCCTCTTGGAGTTGAGAAGAGTGATTCCGACCACCACGCGATAGGCAGCACAGCAGAGGCCCTGTGAGGGGGAAAGATGCAGGTTTTGGACCCGGTTCCCTCCTCCTCCAGCTGAATGATCTTGGGCAAGTTATGTCACCTCTCTGAGCCTTCAGTTCTTCCACGTGTGAAATACGACTGTGCCGGCCTTGCAGGATTAAAGGGAATGTGTCAAAAGGGCCTGTCTGCCACTGGGACCCAGTGAGGGAAAGGACCCCGGCAGCCCCTCCCGCACACACTACCCCACCCCTCCTTTCTATCAGGGTAGCCCCTCAGGAGGCAAGCTAGTTGTAGGGGGACTTCCTGGCTTGCATTTCTTTGTGGATTAACAATGTGTCTGATTCAAAGCGGTGATTTAAAGCTCTTGACAGAGTTCTGAAAATCCTTGGGAAAAACTACTCCTGATCCTATCAGCAGTAAGTTATGAACTGAGGGGCCAACCCGCCCTGCATCTGTTGGGCTGTCCTTGATTTAGGAGGTTGTCAGCTCTCAGATCTAGCCTTGGCCTCCAGTTCCAACCCTCATAGAGGGTTGGAGCTTGGCATGACATTGGATCTTTTGTCCAACCTCTCTGTCTTATGGGTGAGTAAACTGAGGCCCAGAAAGGGGATATAATTTTCTATTTGGTCTCTTTAAATAGCTGAGTCAGTCTTGAGGGGGGGCTCACCCCATCCATCTGTTTCCATTTGGGAATCGCACTGCTCATGCCCAGGTCTTCAAGTAAGCCAAAACTTATCTATTTTTAATGCCAAATAACTGCCTCTTCTTCTGTAAAGTATGGCACTTCCAACCACTCTATATTTGGACAGGGAGGTTTATTTTTACTGGAGCGTGGTATAAGTGGGGCCTGGTGCCATGTCCGGATGTTATTCTACATTTCACTTGCTGGGTTGTAGTTGAGTCCATTAAGCAGTTCCTATGAGGTTCACAGGGGATTAGTAGGTGACTGGTGATAGTGATGTCTTTCACGTCATCGAGGCCTACCTTGGGTAAGGCTGCACTCCGTTGCCCAGGCTAGAAATCTGAGCGCTCACCTTCGTTCCCCTTGTTCCCTCCTTTCTCTCTGTCTGATCCCTCCAGAGGAAGAACAGAGACATTAAAGGCACAGCTGTCCAAGTTTGAACCCAGACTGTGCCGCTCACCAGCTATGTGGCATTGGGAGGCCACATAATCTTTCTGTGCCTCAGTTTCCTCACCTATAAAATGAGATAGTAGTGCCTACCCATAAAGTTATTGTGAGAATTAAATGTGTAAATATGTGTAAGGTGCTTAGAAGAATGCTTGGTACATATTAAGTTTTCAATTTATGTTAGCTATTAATATTAATGATATTATTATTTGTGGGCAGTTGGTCAATAAGCTCTGGCCATTCTTACTTGGAAATGTCTCTTGCAGCCTATCTTCCTTCTGTCTCTGCTGCACCGTCTTAATGTAAGTCCTTTTGCCTGAACAACTGTGGAGCATCTTAACTGTTCTCTCATCAGCCTTGCCCCTTCCACAGCATGGTCTTCTGTGCTGCCAGGGAAACTTCCTAAATGGCAGACACAATCCCATCGCCCCCACTGGAAAACTTGCCCTACCGGATCCTTAGCCTGCCTCTCCAGATATCTCCTTTGTATTAGTATTCTGTACTTGTATTCTGCAAAACAAATTACCCCTACATTTAGCAGTTTAAAACAAAAATGGCCGGGCGCAGTGGCTCACGCCTGTAATCCCAGCACTTTGGGAGGCTAAGGCAGGTGGATCACGAGGTCAGGAGTTCAAGACCAGCCTGGCCAACATAGTGAAACCCCGTTTCTACTAAAAATACAAAAAATTAGCCGGGAGTGGTGGTGGGCACCTGTAATCCCAGCTACTTGGGAGGCTGAGGCAGGAGAATCGCTTGAACCCGGGAGGTGGAGGTTGCAGTGAGCCGAGATCCCGCCACTGCACTCCAGTCCAGGCAACAGTGCAAGACTCCGTCTCAAAAAAAAAAACAAAAACCAAACAAACAAAAATTTATTATCTCACAGTTTCTGTGGGCCAGGAATTTGGGAGTGGCAGCCCAAGGTGGCCGCGTGATAAGGTGCTGGTATTAAGGAGGAGACCCCTGAAGCACCCATTTAATTTTCATGAAGTCAACTGCAGGAGCTCAGCTGAGAGGTGGGGAGAGCGGGAGGGACACATACAGTGATATGTTGATGTGTGGTGATACAGTGCAGCAGCCGGGCAAGGTTGCAGGGCCCGGAGGGTGTGTGAGACGGGAGCACACGCAGCCACCCTTCCCTGGCCTCATCTCACGGCAGCATCTCGCCACACTGAAGATAAGTTTCTCTGGCCCAGCACAGCCCTAAATGCCACCCACGTTTTCCTCTGCTGCTCAGCTGAGGTAACAGGAGTCTCTTCCAGCCTGAAGGCAGAGCTGACTGGCTGGGATGTCCCGTGGAGGGATCATGTCTGCTTGTTGTACTTCATAGGCATTTTAAAGGATTTTCAAGGGAAATTTTCACTTTATGTGATTTGGCTTTACAGGAGGTCTTGGAACTAGTCCCTGTGTACAATGAGACTCCTTTGGACCCCTAAACCCCAAACCATGCTGCCCTTAACGCACTGCTTCCTAGGAGACGCTTCTGCCCCCGTAACTGGGAAGGCTCGGTGTGGAATTAGAATTGGAATTGTCCTAAAGGGAGGGTGAAAGTAAGTGATGTTAGTGATGCCCTGTCTGGCCACTGCTTTTGCTACCATTCACATGTCCCCTGGCTCCACGCTACTCTGCAGGGGGATCTGTCACCAGCATTCGAATGCTCATTCGAGCGCCAACCCTGCTCCTAAGAAGGTGAGGTACACTGAATGAGTCACTGGCACTGAAGCGAGGCGCCACCCTAAGCCCAGTGCGAAGATTGGAAAGAAATAAGCTACATGGTCCCCACCCTCAAAATTATGCCCTACAAGAAATCCAGGTGGTGTGGAAAAGTGGATGAATCACCCGGTGGGGATTAAGGAGACTGGGTTTTCAGGCTGACTGTATCATTAGCTGACGGAATGACTTTGGGCAAGGATGTGACTTCACCTCACTGGTCTTTGGGGTCCTTATCTATCAATGGGGCAGGACCAGACTGCATCTCTGTGACCTGCCCCAGCATTTTATTCAGCAGGTTTTTTGTTTTTTGTTTTTGAGATGGAGTCTCGCTCTGTTGCCCAGGCTGGAGTGCAATGGCACGATCTTGGCTCACTGCAGCCTACGCCTCCTGGGTTCAAGCAATTCTCCTGCCTCAGCCTCCCGAGTAGCTGAGATTACAGGCGCCCACCACCACTCCCGGCTAATTTTTTGTATTTTTAGTAGAGATGGGGTTTCACCATGTTGGCCAGGCTGGTCTCGAACTCCTGGACTCAAGTGATCCACCTGCCTTGGCCTCCCAAAATGCTGGGATTACAGGCGTGAGCCACCATCCCCAGCTTCGCAGTATTTTGTGTTTTGTTTTGTTTTGTTTTGGTCAGGTCTCGAACTCTTTTGAGATTCTGCTGAATTAAGATAGCAATCCTCTCTTAGGGAAAAGGCATATGACATGCTCAGACTCAAGAATTTTTGCATAAGATTTCAGGAAAATTATTGAGTCTCTGAACCTGTCACTTGGTCCCCAGGCTTCAGGATTATGGTTTTCTTTGTAAAGGAAAAAGCAAAAGAACAAGTACTGCAAAAACTTAGAAACCAAAGCAAGCTTTTTCTTCATTGCGCTCCTGACTTTCCTCATACTCCAGGCAGTTACTGCTGTCGCATGTACATTTCACCCTGTGTACACGGTGATGGAGGATGGTGCAATCTCTGGGGGCACGTGTGTTTATTGTACTGCATTCTTGATTTTGGAGATGTACACTTCCTGTCAGCACATTCAGAGACTGAGGCTGTGAAAATGGTCCTGTCCTTTTGGAGGTCACAACTTCAGCCCAGAGAGAGTATTTGTAGCCACAATGGGCTTTGCAGCCTTCTATCTTATCCAGCTGGAAGACGGGCAAGGAACCTGGGGTGCTTTTCCATGAGCTCAGAAAGGGGCTTCAGAGGTTCATGCAAAATGAACTGGTGGGGAGTGGTCAGCCCTTGGAGGGGTAGGAAAACATGGTTGGGGACTGTGGAAGACCCGGGAGTGGACAGGGGCAAAGGCCTGGGAGTTCTGGGCAACCCTGATAAAAGCTGCTTGTTTTGCACCTGAGTGAGCCCAGGGTTCTGCCCCATGATTCCGTCTGTGAAGTGGAGAGGGTTTGGTGCCTGGTGGCAACCTCATTTCTAACACAGCATTATGTTTGCCAAGTACCCTTTAGCCCAATTTCATAGGTACTGAGCCCTTGAGTACCGATTTCATAGGTGCTGAACACACACACACACACACACACACACACACACACACACACTCACACGCTTGAGAGGGCTGGCTACTATTCTAAAAAGCAACCACAAAAAAAATTCATCAGCCCCCGAGTCTGGTAGATCAAAGGCTGGGGTCAGGAGCCTCTTGCCCGAGCACCAGGGCTTGGTACTGCCTCAATATTCTGCAGTTTACGGCCATTCTAGACCCATAATTTCCATGATTCCTCTGTGAAATGTAGAGAAGAACTGATGACACTTCACAGACTGGGGAAACCAAAATACACCTGTAAGACTGGATTTCATACCATTAAGGACCAACAAATTTCCCTTTTACCTCTTACCACCGATGGTCACCATTTACTCAGTACAACTGTCACCATTTTCTTGACTACCAATGGACATTATTGTGTGAGTGGCTTTTTTACATGTCTGGATGGACCGAAGGCCCTTGTGTGGGCAGGCACTGATCTGTCTCATTTACCACTGTAGCCCCGCTATCCAACAAAGAACCTGACACTTGCAAGGAGCTCAGCAATCTTCATGTAAGCAAAGAGTGAAGAATACTAGTGGGAGGAAGTGTGAGTGCTCGTGGCGTGATGTTCAGCAAGGCGTGCCACTCACTGCCGCCCTCACGTCTGAACTCCTGAGCAGTCCCACGGGGCGAGGGCAAAATGAACCTTGTTTCCTTTCCTCCTCCTGCCAAAGTCCGAAAGTCACATTCTGCAGACTTTCAGGAAATTTGACTTGCTCACTTCAGTAGGGTTCAATGCAGCAATTTCTGGGTGGAAGTGGAGTTGGGGGAAGGGCACGCTGGCACTGAGGCAGGTGGGCTCTGAGCAGTGTAGGCTGGTGAGCCAGGCTGAGGGCCACCTCCTTGCTCAGTGCCAGCAGAGCCCACGCTCACCAAATGTCCATGGTTCCGAAGCACCTTGGTGAAGGATGACACCAGTGGGCTCTGGTGCCTGAGGGTGTGGCCAGGGTGGGCTGAATCAGTGGCATGGCAGCTTCCCTCTGGCAGGGTCCTGCCAACTACCAGCCTCCCTGCTCCTGAGGAAGCAGAACCAGGGGAGGTGTGGTCCAGGCTGCCCTGCTATCTCCTGCGGTTCATCCCAGCCATCCAGGAGGAGAAGGGGTGTGTGTGAGGGGAGCAGCAGCACAGAAATAGCCTGCAGTGTTTAGAAGGGAGGACCCCAAGGAAGTGCCCAGGCTAATCGACCAAAAACTCCTGCTGGGACATTGCTCTTGCTTCCAGTTGCTTCGGTCTGCCTCTCATCTCAACTCTGGCTACAGAAATATGTGTGTCCCTTCGCAAGCTCGCTGTTTTATTTTTAAAAGTATTCTGCTCTACTGTGAGCCATGAACAGAAGCTCCCCTTGTGGAACAAAGAGTTAATCTCCCTGCAGTGGCATCCTGTCAGCCCCTCGGAACCTGTGTCAGCGTTCTCCTTCCCGCTCCCCCTGTGGACTGCCTCTGGCTCACTCGCTGCACACAAAGGCTCCTCTGTTTCTGGCCGGGCTGGAGTCACATGCTTTCACTCTTAACCCCGGAGCTTTAAAGCTAAACACCCACCCTCTTTGGCCCCAGATGACCCTGTTTACGTCTGCTGAGCCAATTCCAAACAGCAACAGTAGTGAAAACTTCTGTCGGGAGAGACTTCTCAACTACTGGTGTAGAGAGAACAAATCTTCACTTTGTATAATGCGAGGACTTTAAGAAGTTTTGGGAAATGGCTGAGAGGAAAAAAACACAAGGAAGCCAGCAGCCTGCCCCAACTTCTCTATTTTCTAAAGTATCTCTTACCAGAGACCCCCGGTGGGGCTCGGGATAAAGCTTGCAAGAAACAGAAAATGGTGAGCAGTTTTCATGGCTGAGGGGAAGAACATTCTAGATTTTCCTGATAGCCTACTTTGTTTAACCCTTAAGGAAAGTGACATTTTCTTTTTTAAGTTTAAAAAAAAATTATTTTTCAAAGGGCTATTCTCTTTGCTTCATGTCACTGAGGATGGGAAAGAAATATTCCCTTTCCTGGGTTTGGGGAATGACCTGTGAAACTGTGGAGGCTTCTGGAGAGGAGGGCTGGGCCAATCCATTTCAAAGTTCTGGTTGGGGAAGACTTGTGTTTTTGTTTTTACCCTAAAGTTTCCTTTTTCTTTTCTTCTTCTTCTTCTTCTTCTTTTTTTTTTTTCTCTCTCCCAGTTTATGGGTAGTAGCCCATGTTAGCCGTAAAGGAAGTCAAGTTTCCTTTGATTGTTCTTGCCCTGATCAAAGTGGCAGACAGTGGAAGGGAAAATACCAGAGCCCCAAAATGATGGTAACTCTGGAGTCCCGAGATTAGGTATTTGTGAACAGTACAGATAACAGAATTGGTCAGGTGCCTGCTAGTCTCATGTCCATCCCTGAAGAAAGTAATGGAGTAGTGTAGATTAGAATCAAGCAAGTCAGTTCCACGTCCTCGGGGCTAGTGGAATTCCTTAGGCAGGGGATGACAAATAAGTTTCATCTCTAGCGATAATGAGAAACTGGCAGCCAGCTGTATTGGGAAGGTTTCTGATGCTACATCCAGGCTTAGCCCAAAAGAGTACCATGACCAAAGAGCAATGTCTACTGGGCATGGGAGGAGGAAACAACCTCACATATTTGATGTCCCTTATCTAGCACAATTTCAGAAAGTTAGACTGTCATATATGTGCAAAGATAAGTAGAAAACAGTCAGCCCCAGAAAAGAAATGGTAGACAGAATGAGAGAAGTAACTAGAGACAGTGATGCTTGCTAAACATTGTATTTAGTCCTGTATATTAGGTGAACCATTTGACAAGTTCCAGACAATGAAATATAAGCAGAAATGATGCAGATCACCTCTGGGCTAAGACAGAAAATACCCACGTGCCCTTCTTTACTTTCCTCTTTCCTTGTTCCAGTGATTGAAGAGGCCCCTTGTTCCAATAGCACAACTACAAAATGAAATAGCCTTTTTCATCCTGTGTCCTTAAGTGACTATGTGGAACCATGTCCCTGCCAACCTGGAATGAACATGCAGCAGAGAGAGAAGTCAATGTTTTTTTGTGTCCACTGAAATTTGGGGGTTGCTTTATTACTGCAGCATACCCTGGCCTATCCTGAATAATATAGTAGTCAAAGAGGAACAATTTTTTTTCTCTTTACATTTTGTGTCCATATTAGAGATTACTATTTCAAAAACTGAAAGATAAAACCTTGAAAATCAACTGTGGTATATATATGACTCACCAGTCTGAAAGATGCTATTTGACATAGAGATTACAATTATCCAAAATAGTGGCAATATATGTGAAAGTAATTTGAAAGTATAAACATATTTAAAAATATATATATATATATACATACACATATACATACACACATATGTATATTTTTTTGAGATGGGGTCTTGCTCTGTCACCCAGGCTGGAGTGCAGTGGCGCATTCTTGGCTCACTGCAACTTCTGCTTCCTGGGTTCAAGTGATTCTCCTGCCTCAGCCCCCCAAGTAGCTGGGATTACAGGCGCCTGCTATCATGCCCGGCTAATTTCTGTATTTTTAGAAGATACGGGGTTTTACCATGTTGGCCATGCTGGTCTCGAACTCCTGACCTCAAGTGATCTGCCCGCCTCGGCCTCCCAAAGTGCTGGAATTACAGGTGTGAGCCACCATGTCCAGCCCATAATACATTTTTAACATAATTTCTGGTAGTAGCACTTACGTTACCCATATTACCATCACTGCCTGAGGCCAGGGAGAATGGTGAGAAGGATCAGCTATGAAGAGGAGAAGAAAAGCCTTCAGAGTTATGAAAACAATAATGTTAGGGGACTTGGGCTGGAAAAATCTATATATAAAAGGTAGAAGAGACCTTGGCAATTTAATCATATGTCAAATAATTTCTTAGAGAAAAAGAGCTGATAACCCTCTGATCACAATTAACAAAGTATTTCCATGCCAGGATCCATTCACCAATCTATTCCAAAATGTTTGTGCAAATGGGTCAGTGTATACACTTATTAAACACCAGGCTTGCTGATCAGGTTTTTATTTTCTTTTCAACTATTGTTCTTAATTCCCATCACAAATACTGTATTTGTACTACTGAGCAATTTTGTAATTTATTTTCTGTCCTCTGCTGTTCAGTTTCCATTCCCATGTTTCAGAGCCCTTTGCAGCATTCATTGTGATTATAGCCATTTCGGGTTTTGTCCATTGTTCTCAGATTCTATCAGTCTTTGAATCTTGGATTATTTCTTTAGGAAACATTCCTAGAAGTGCAATTTCTGGGTCACAGTAAGCAACACAAATTGCTATAATACATAAGGCCCCAAACCTCAAAGACTTCACACAATAAAAGTTTATTTCTCACTCACAGAGCTGTTCAATGTTGAGTATTTGGTGGGTGGCCTTTAACATGGTGATTTAGGATCCAGGTTCCATCTAGCTTGTCACTCTGCTGTCTTCAGCGTGTACCTTGAAAAGCCACTATACACAGAGAAAGAGAGGGTGGAGGAGGCACATCTTTACCGTGTCAGCTTGGAAGCAACACACACTGCCTCCATTCATTTTTCATTAGCAAGGGCTGGTGGCATGGTGCCACACCTACGGCAAGGAGAACTGAGGAATATGGTCCCTGTCTGGGCAGCCACTTCCCTGCATCACCTGCACACTATGGAAGGAAGCATGATAAGTGGACTGCTAACCATCTCTGGATACAAGGGTATGAATTTCTCAAAAGCCTTTGATACCTGTCCCTAAATTGTCTTCCAGAAAGTTTTTATCATTTTACACTTTTGTTTACAGTATATGAGAGTCCCACCTAACACAAGGTCACCAAAATTGAATACAGTACAGTCGACCCTTGAACAATGTTGGGATTAGGGGCACTGACCACCCCCACCCCCATTAGTTGAAAATTCATATATATAACTTTTGACTCCTCCAAAACTTAACTACTAATAGCTTACTGTTGACAAAAGCCGTAGTGATAACATAGTCGATTCACACATATTGTGTGTGTTATATGTATTATATTCTGTGTTCTTACAATAAACTAGAGCAAAGAAGATGTTATTAAGAAAATCATAAGGAAGAAAACATATATTTAGTATTCATTATGTGGAAGTGGATCGTCATCAAAATCTTCATTCTCATCATCTTCACATTGAATAGGCTGAGGAGGAGGAAGAGAGGGGTAGGTCTTGCTGTCTTAGGAGTGGCAGAGGCAGTAGAGATGAAGGAGTTCGTAGAAGGGGAGGCACGGGAGGCAGGAGAGGCAGGCACACCTGGTGTAACTTTTATTGAAAAAAATCTGGGCTGAGCACCATGGCTCATGACTGTAATCCCAGCATTTTGGGAGGCCAAGGCAGGAGGATTCCTCGAGCCCAGGAGTTTGAGACTAGCCTGGGCAACATGGTGAAACCTTGTGTCTACAAAAAATATATAAAAATTAGCTGGGCATGGTGGCACGTGCCTGTAGTCCCAGCTACTCGGGAGGCTGAGGTGGGAAATCACCTGAGCCCAGGGAGGTTGAGGCTGCAGTGAGCCATGATCGTGCCACTGAATTCCAGCCTGGGTGACAGAGTGAGACCCTGTCTCAAAAAACAAAAAAACCAAAAAAAAAAAAAAAAAAAAAAAAACAACAAAAAAAAGCATGCACATAAGTGGACTCACGCAGTTCAAACCCTTGTTCAAGGGTCAACTGTATTATCATTTGAAACTTTTTTTGTTTTTTTTTTGAGACAGGTCTCACTCTGTTGCCCAGGCTGCAATGGCACAATCATAGCTCACGGCAGCTTCGACCTCTTGGGTTCAAGCCGTCTTCCCTCCTCAGGGGAGGACGTCTAGCTTATTGAGCTAAACAGAACCTGGATCCTAAATCACCACGTTTCCATCTAGTGCTGGGAATACAGCTGTGAGCCAACATGGCCAGCCTGAAACATTTTTATTTTGCTAATTTTACGAGTGAAAAGGGACTTTCTTTTTCCTTCTTTCTCCTTCCTTCCTTCTTTCCTTCCTTCCTTCCTTCCTTCCTTCCTTCCTTCCTTCCTTCCTTCCCTCCATCCCTCCCTCCCTCCCTCCCTCCCTCTTTCTCTTTCTTTTTTTTTGACACAAGGTATCACTCTGTCGCCCAGGCTGGAGCATAGTGGCACGATCATGGCTCACTGCAGCCTTGACCTCCTGAGCTCCTGGGCTCAAACAGCCCGCCCCCTTCCGCCACCCCTCCACCGCCAAGTATCTGGGACTACAGGCGTGCACCAACACGCTTGCTAATTTTATTTTATTTTTTTTTTGAGATGGAGTCTTGCTCTTTCTCCCAGGCTGGAGTGCAGCGGCGCGATCTCGGCTCACTGCAAGCTCCGCCTCCCGGGTTCACGCCATTCTCCTGCCTCAGCCTCCCGAGCACAGTAGCTGGGACTACAGGCGCCAGCCACTATGTCTGGCTAATTTTTTTTTTTTTTTTTTTTTTTTTTGTATTTTTAGTAGAGACGGGCTTTCACCGTGTGTTAGCCAGGATGGTCTCTATCTCCTGACCTCGTGATCCGCTCGCCTCGGCCTCCCAAAGTGCTGGGATTACAGGCGTGAGCCACTGTGCCCTGCGCTAATTTTTTATTTTTTATTTTTTATTTTGTAGAGACCAGCTATGTTGCTCAAACTGGTCTAGAACTCCTGGGCTCAAGCGATCCTCCCACCTCTACCTCCCCATTCGCTGGGATTACAGCCATGAGCTACAATGTCCACCCAGAATGAGACATTTCATTGTTTAACTTTCACTTTCTTATTTTCTAAATTAGTAAGAAATATTTAAATACTTAATTGCCATTGTTTCTTCTGCGAGTTGTCTCTTCCTTAGTATTTGGCTGTTTTTAACTTTTGGAATTAGTATTTTATTGTCTACGAGAATTCTTTATAAACTGCTATTTGTCTTACAATTTCACTTCGAGTCACAAATTTTTTTCAATGCAGCCAAATCAAGCCTTCCTTTGTGACTTCTGTTGCATTTATGCTTATATAACTTTTCATATAAAAATGTTCAAGAAGGCTGGACGCAGTGGAATGCACTTGTGGTCCCAGCTACTTGAGAAGCTTAGTCAGGAGGATCACCTGAGCCCAGGAGTTTAAGGCTGTAGCACACCATGATCATGCCTGTGAATAGCCACTGCACTCTGGTCTGGGCAGCATGGCAAGACCCTGTCTTGACTATATATATATATATATATTTTTTTTTTCAAGTCTTTACCTATACATTCTTCTCGTTTCTTTCTTTTTAAATTGCTTCCTTTCAAAAATAATAATTATTTAGCCTAACTAGCACGTGTGAGGTAAGGAGCTACCTTAAGTTCTTCTTCCCCAACAGGTAGCCGGCTCCACGCACTGACCGCAGCTCTGAGGCTGACACTTCCCTGAAGACCCAGAGTGTGGATCGTCAGTCAGGACTTCCATCTTGCTCCCGCAGCCCTTCTGCATGAGTGAAGTCAAGTGAGCGTGAGGCCGTTCACCACTCTCCTGGTCTTTTCCATTTCTCACTTGGTGCTCCCCTCAGTAGCAGCACATGCCTCTAAGCCCCTGTGTATTCATTCTGCCAAGAAAGTCCCAGTGCTGTAGTGCCACGCGATTGGCCGAGATGGCTAAGATACCCCAACTCACTCAATTCCCTCCTTCTCCTATCACTAGACTGCAGGGGAACCATTTTCATTCCAATGGTGTTATTTTCCTGCCCCGTGTACCTCTTTCCCTTTCAGCTTTTACCCAGGATCTTGCCAGTCTTTCTTACTGGAAATTCCCGTCCTCAACCCCCTCCCCTTTGGGAGGTAGGAAGTCATTTTTGCTGACTCATTTGTCCTCTGCCCTTCTGCTGCCCCACGTTGCTTCCCCCTTTCTCCAGAGCCACTGGAGTCTTCTCCACAAGGTTTACTTTGCGGCCTTTATGGAAACCAGCCCCTCTACTCTTTTGGGATTTGGAGTTTCAGAGCGAGTTCCTGTTGGCTCCGGGCCCACTGTTCACCTGGGCTTCTGGCTTGCTTACGGTCCTACCTATTTATCAGAGGTGACAGCCTGCTGGCAGTCCTCAGAGCCCTCGCTTGCTCTCGGCACCTCCCCTGCCTGGGCTCCCACTTTGGTGGCATTTGAGGAGCCCTTCAGCCCCCACTGCACTGTGGGAGCCCCTTTCTGGGCTGGCCAAGGCCGGAGCCCACTCCCTCAGCTTGCAGGGAGGTGTGGAGGGAGAGGCACGAGTGGGAACCGGGGCTGCGTGCGGCCTTGTGGGCCAGCTGGAGTTCCAGGTGGGCGTGGGCTTGGTGGGCCCCGCACTCGGAGCAGCCAGCCAGCCCTGCTGGCCCCGGGCAATGGGGGACTTAGCACCCAGGCCAGCGGCTGCGGAGGGTGTACTCGGTCCCCCAGCAGTGCCGGCCCACCGGTGCTGTGCTCGATTTCTCGCTGGGCCTTAGCTGCCTTCCCGCGGGGCAGGGCTCGGGACCTGCAGCCCGCCATGCCTGAGCCTCCCACCCCCTCCGTAGGCTCCTGTGCGGCCCGAGCCTCCCCGACGAATGCCGCCCCCTTCTCCACGGCGCCCAGTCCCATCGACCACCCAAGGGCTGAGGAATGCGAGCGCACGGCGCAGGACTGGTAGGCAGCTCCACCTGCAGCCCCATTGCGGGATCCACTAGGTGAAACCAGCTGGGCTCCTGAGTCTGGTGGGGACGTGGAGAGTCTTTATATCTAGCTCAGGGATTGTAAACACACCAATCAGCACCCTGTGTTTAGCTCAAGGTTTGTGAGTGCACCAATCGACACTCTGTATCTAGCTGCTCTGGTGGGGCCTTGGAGAACCTGTGTGTGGAAACTCTGTACCTAACTAATCTAATGGGGACGTGGAGAACCTTTGTATCTAGCTCAGGGATTGTAAACGCACCAATCAGCGCCCTGACGAAACAGGCCACTCGGCTCTACCAATCAGCAGGATGTGGGTGGGGCCAGATAAGAGAATAAAAGCAGGCTGCCCAAGCCAGCATTGGCAACCCGCTCGGGTCCCCTTCCAGGCTGATAGAAGCTGTGTTCTTTCGGTCTTTGCAATAAATCTTGCTATTGCTCACTCTTTGGGTCCACGCTGCGTCTATGAGCTATAAGCTATAACACTCACCGCGAAGATCTGCAGCTTCACTCCTGAGACCACGAGCCCACCGGGAGGAACAAACAACTCCAGACGCGCTGCCTTAAGAGGTATAACACTCACCGCGAAGGTCTGCAGCTTCACTCCTAAGCCAGCGAGACCACAAACCCACCAGAAGGAAAAAACTCGGAACACGTGTGAACATCAGAAGGGACAGACTTCAGACGCGCTACCTTAAGAGCTGTAACACTCACCGCGAGGGTCCGCGGCTTCATTCTTGAAGTCAGTGAAACTAAGAACCCACCAATTCCGGACACATTTAGACTTGTTTCTCAGGTCGGGGGTGGCGCACGGTTGATTTCTGGCTGCCTTTAGTGCTGATTGCGAAAGCGAAGGCTTGAGACCAGGCGTGGTGGCTCACACCTGTAATCCCAAAACACTGAGAGGCCAAGGTGGGAGGATTGCTTGAATCCAGGAGCTGGAGCCCAGCCTAGGCAACATCATGAGGCCCCGTTGCTGGAAAAAAAAAAAAAAAAAAAAAAAAGGGAAGAGTTGGAGCCCTGGGCTTGTCCCTGGGCCTGGTGGGCTCTCTAGTGGGTGGAAACAGCAGGCAAGTCTTCTTTATTCTCAAGTCCTGCGGATCTTTTTTTTTTTTTTTGAGACGGAGTCTCGCTCTGTCCCCCAGGTTGGAGTGCAGTGGCGCCATCTTGGCTCACTGGAAGCTCCGCCTCCCAGGTTCACGCTATTCTCCTGCCTCAGCCTCCCGTGTAGCTGGGATTACAGGCACCCGCCACCACGCCCGGCTAATTTTTTGTATTTTTAGTAGAGACGGGGTTTCACCGTGTTAGCCAAGATGGTCTCGATCTCCTGACAGTGATCTGCCCGCCTCGGCCTCCCAAAGTGCTGGGATTACAGGCGTGGGCCACCGCGCCCAGCCTATCACTTTTAATAGAGAAGGAAAGAGGGGCGGAGGAGCGGATGGAGGAGTGATGTTAATGGGACATGCGCACTTCCCTAGCACTGCACTAGGGTGTCAGGGTACAGTTGATGCCTTGGGAGAACTGGAAACTCCTGATTTGGGAGAGTGATGGTATTGGCTGGGAGTGATTGTCATACATTCTGAACTCTGATGCCCGTTCTGAGACCCCTGGGATGCCAGGCTCTTCCCAGGGAATAGCGTTGACAGCTAAGCTGCTTCAACAGAAAGGCCACAGAGGCGACACATTCCCGTTTGTCCCCGGCCACTAGAAAGTGTTTCCAGGAGAAGCGGGTTATGAACAACCCATCACCTTCTTTCAGATGGGGTATTGTGGGAGCCCTAATGAGAGGTGCTAATGTTCTTCCAGCCCCAGGAGCTCTCTTTATCCCTGTCTCCCTCCGGGATCCTCCGAACAGTCTGCCTCCACAGGTGGCATTGGTAGGGAGGCCCCAAGCCAGGTGGTTAGCCGACTTCCGACCCACCTTGTGCCTCGGATCCCCCACCGCTCCGCTACGGCTTGATTTCAGGATAAGCCTCAGGAATGGACCTTTTGGGTGAGGGGGAGAGGAAAGAGACCGATTTCCTCGAGAGAGGTGGGGCAGGGGAGCAGCTGAGAGAAAGCTGCGCCGTCTGGAAAGGAAGCCAGAAAGGAAGACAGAGTCTCTTTGAGCTTTTCCCACCAAGCTCACAGGAAAATTGCAAAAACATCATTGGACTGGATCAGGATGCGAAGGGAGCAGCCAGGAAGGCGCGGCCTCTTTGAAGGCTCCCGCTCCGCGCGAGGCGTGGCTCCCGGAGGGGTACACCAGCTGGAGTGAGGAACAGGGCTCAACGCCCGCCCGCCCGACAGCCACAAGGGAACGGGTTGCGTTTTGTTTTGTTCCCAGTGGTCCCCAGGGCCGAAGGGGAATATAAGGAGATGCTGTTGAGCTGGCTAGAGGGGACGGGAGGCTCGAAGCGAGGCACGCAGTCAGGCACTCCTGACGAGAAGAAGCAAGACTTACACAAGGGCAAAGGCCTCCTACTGGAGAGATGAGACTAGTGAGGCCTGGGGACAGCTCCGAGGGCTGGGGAAGGTCAGTGTTGGCTTCAGGCGGGGGTATAACTAGACCTGGCTACTTATCTTGTGGGGCTCAGTGCAAAGTGAAAATACGGGCCCCTTATTAAATTATGAAGCGTTTGCTGGGTGTGGTGGCACGTGCCTGTAATCCCAGCATTTTGGGAGGCTGAGGTAGGAGGATCATTTAAGCCCAGGAGTTCAAGACCAGCCTGGGCAACATAGTGAGAGCCTGTCTCTACAAAAAATAAAAAATTAGGTCAGGCACAGTGGCACATGCTTGTAGTCCCAGCTACTCAGGAGGCCGAGGTGGGAGGATCACTTGATCCCAGGAAGCAGAGGTTGCAGTGAGCCAAAATTGCATCACTGCACTCCAGCCTGGGTGACAGAACAAGACCCTGTCTCAAAAAAATAAAATAAAAAATTAGTGGGCGTGGTGGTGCATGCCTGTGAGTTCCAGCTGCTAGGGAGGCTGAGGTGGGAGGATAGCCTGAACCCAGGAGGTGGAGGCTGCAGTGAGCCAAGAACATGCCACAGCACTCCAGCCTGGGTGACAGAGCAAGACCCTGTCTCAAAAAAGACATATATATATTGCGGCAACAGAGTTTTAAACCAAATGCAAGGCCCTTCTAAGCATTGGGCCCTGTGCTACTGACTACCCAGGTCAAGGTGTGAGGTTACCCAGTATGAAGGGTCTCCAACCTACTTCATTAAAGGCCACCAAAAGGAAGAGTCCAGATGAAGGCCAGGGGAGAAAAAAAAATCAGACTCCTTGAGGAGTCTTTTGGTTTTAAAAAATATTGGGGAAAAATAGAGTCTCCATTAACAGCATGTTTTTAACTTTTAAACAGACCTTCACATCTCTGGAACCATATAACAAAGGTGACAATTTTATGAGCCAAGTTATGCATGGCACATTTTATGTGCCTAAACGACCTAAGTGATTTTTGTAGGTCCTTCAAGGACAATAAAAAAGTATTGTAGAGGAAAAGATTTGTATATATTTATATTTCGCCACCAAATGTCAATATTTCTTTTATAAAAATTCATCCCTCCTACCATGCCTCTTATCTGTTCAAAATGTTTGGACATTTCACTTCCCTAGTCTAGGCCAGTTTTTAATTTTAATTTTTTTAACTTTTTAAATTTTTGAGACAGGGTCTCGCTCTGTTGCCCAGGCTGGAGTGCAGCGGCGCAATCTCGGCTCATTGCAACCTTTGCCTCCCAGGCTCAAGCGACCATCCCACCTCAGCCTCTCGAGTAGCTGGGTCTACAGGCATGCACCACCATTAGCCCAGCTAATTTTTTAAATTTTTGTAAATACAGGGGTCTCCTTATATTGTCCAGGCTGGTCTTGAACTCCTGAGCTCAAGTGATCCTCCAGCCTCGGCCTCCCAAAATGTTGGGATTACAGGAGTGAGCCACCATGCCTGGCTCCAGGCCAGTTTTGTTTGTCACCTGACACTGTGTCCTCTTTCAGTTTGGAGACCACAACTCCGCAGGGTTGTTGGGTTAGTGTCCTTTGGTGGGCCACACATTTCCCCAGCCCCCCAAGCCCCAACCCACCCCACTCAGTTAGCCAGTTGGTATTATACATGTATTAGAACTTTCTCTGAGAACAGAGCTCACAAAAAAGTAAAGATCTGAGAGCTTCTGGAGGGGGACAAGGGAAACTCAGGGCAGGTGCAGAAGCTGGTGCCGGGGTAAGGGCCCCAGCTGCCATTCCTCTGCTCTCCCGTGTTTCCAGTGCCCCCTCACCCCTGTGTCAGCTTCCTCCCCGGGGAAGTGGGGTTGGGTGGGGATTACCACTGCCTACTGGGATGGGCGCCGGCTTCATCTGCAGGGATTATCAGGCCTGGTGGAGCTGGCTCCAGCAGCCACAGCCCTCAGGGCCTGACCTCCCCTGCTCTCCACCTGTGACCTCAGAGAGCAGGGGCTGTCACTCTGGGTATGTGGCCTGGTGTTTTCTCTCCTCTGTGGGGTTTTTTGGACCTCTCAGTATCTCTCTCAGAGAGATACTGACCATCCCCTAAAATTTGGAGACTGCCCAGTGGTGTGATTTGTCTTCCAGCAGTCAAGCCAAAGAAACCTTTGCTCAGCAAGACTGGGTCCATGGAGCTCCTTAGCGTTGGAGGAGCCATCAGCTCCAGATGGAGCCGTTACCTTGCCCTGAGGACGTTATGCCACAGCCCATCGCCCAGGGGAGAGGGACCCAGAGAGCCTGGGAGGAGCAGTAAACCCAAAAAGCAAGAAATGCCCTTTCCCCCAGGCAAGCCCCGCTTGCAAACCCTGACTCGAACAACTTCTTAGCAGGGACGCAGTGAGCCCTCAGGTGGTCCCTGCCACCCGGCCAATCCCCCTGCAGGGTGGAGCTGCCGAGCCAGAGCAGAGCCCAGGCCCACAAAGGTTTCTGAGAAACAGGGGAAGAAAGACCCTGTCCTCCATCTGGACACCAGAAATGAGGCTTGCTTCACCTGTTCTTCCTGCTGACCAACACCAGCCTGGCTCAGCAGCCTCCCTCTGTCCTGGAGTGGTGGGAGTGCCGGGGGCAGGGGCGTCACAGCTGCATCCCCCAGCCCAACCCTCAGCCTCCCCCTACCCCACCCCCGCTCTGCACCCAGTCTGTGGGGCCACAGAGCAGCCTCAGAGGCAGCCTGGGACAGGAAGAGGCCTGACCAGGGACAATCCCCTGGGGAGAACCAAAAGGGCCTAGGGACTGAGTGCCTGACAAGCGGCCCTGCCACACTGGCAGTGAAGGCGGTGGCAGGGAGCACAGCCGCGGTGGCAGCCGGCGCCCAGGGCAGGCCTCGTGCCCTTGTGGCCAGGGTGACTGAATCTGCCAGCTGTGGGGCCCATTCGTGCCAAGTCTGCCCTGGCTCCGTCTGGTCGTAATCGATGCTGGCGCCAGGCCAGGCCCCCTGCCAGCTCCGGTCACACTCGGCTAACGCGAGAGGCCCAGCCCATTAACTCCTTGCCAAGGCCCATTGTCTGGGTCCTTGCCCGGTGGTTTATTTACTCCAGGGCTGGCCGGGCCAGGGCTGGGAGGCGACAGCGGGGTGGACTGCGGGTGGGGCAGTGGGGTGGGGGGTGGGGAGGGTTGGGGAGGCTTAGGCCTGAGGAGGGGGCTGAGAGCAGGAGTGGGGCAGGCAGGACGGTGGTTTCCAGAGCCCAAGGGCAGGGCATGCTGTGAGGGTTTTTTGTGTTTTGTGTTTTTTTTTTGCTACATCAAAGATTCCTTGTATAGGCAGATGTACCTCCAGAGGCCCACCCAGTACCTTAGGGGTGAGAGAGGGCACTGGAGACACAAGACCTTAACTCCCCAGACAGCCGCCTTCAAAGCCCCTTAAATAATTTTTTTACATGACCTACCCTCTTGTATTTAAGTTGGCATTTGAAATTTTCCATCAGAAATTTAAATAGTTCCAAAGGATATCCTTTTTAGCATTTTATGAATATTTTTTCACTTTCTATATGCCTTTATTATATTTTATAGTCAAAAAATTCAAAGAAAAATGAATATTGATATTTTCAAATACAAATTGTATCTTTCTTTTAAATGTCCAATGGAATCTAAATGCCAGAGCAATTCTGTGTCCAACATTATCCATTAAAAAAAATAGGGGAACAAACGCTAATTAAACAGCTTAGAAGTTTACATTATTTCGTTCTCTCCAAGAACTTGTATTTCCATTTCACTCCTGTTACAGATTTTATGCTAATGTAAGGGTTTTTTTTTGTTTGTTTGTTTGTTTTTTTTTTGAGGCAGGGTTTTGCTCTGTTGCCCAGGCTGGAGTGCAGTGGTGTGATCCTGATTCACTGCAGCCTCAATCTCCTGGGCTCAGGTGATTCCCCCACCTCGGCCTTCTGAGTAGCTGGAACTACAGGCCTGCACCACCATGCCCTGCTAATTTTTGTATTTTTTGTAGAGACACAGTTTCACCATATTGCCCAGGCTGGTCTCCAATTCCTAGGCTCAAATGATCCGCCCACCTCGGCCTCCCAAAGTGTTGAGATTATAGGTGTGAGCCACAGCACCCAGCCTGTATTTATTTTTTATGCTTGAAAATCTTTTATTGGCTAGGCATGGTGGTTCATGACTGTAATCCCAGTACTTTGGGGAGGCTGAGGCAGGAGGATGGCTTGAGCCCAGGAGGTCAAGGCTGCAGTGAGCCATGATTGCACCACTGCACTCTAGCCTGACTAACAAAGGGAGAAGTTGTCTCAAAAAAAAAAAAAAAAAAAAGAAAGAAAGAAAAATCTTTGATTGATTATTGTATTAAATAAAATTTAAAGATTAAAACTTCTGGCCGGGACTGGTGGCTCACACCTGTAATCCCAACACTTTGGGAAGCCGAGGGGCAGATCACGAGGTCAAGAGGTCAAGACCATCCTGGCCAACATGGTGAAACCCTGTCTCTACTAAAAATACAAAAATTAGCTAGGCGTGATGGCACACACCTGTAGTCCCAGCTACTTGGGAGGCTGAGGCAGGAGAATCGCTTGAACCCGGGAGGTGGAGGTTGCAGAGAGCTGAAATTGCGCCTCTGCACTCCAGCCTGGGTAACAGAGCAAGACTCCTTCTCAAAAAAAAAAAAAAAAAAAAAAATTCCTCTGTTCCCAAAGCTGAGCATTAATTTTTTGGTTATGAGTTTAGTGTTAGAATAGTTTATATCCAATTGATCAGAGCAATGTAAATAATTACGAAATTTGATAAACAACTATTAAACATAAAAGGTAAATTTTTATTGGAAATGCATCTCTTAATAAAATAGTTGGGGTTGGGACAGGTTTTCTTCCCAATTAGTGTATGTATATGTGGATGACTTATTGCTAGACTCACACAAGGTTCAACATGAAGTTTACTCCCATGTTTAGTCTTTTGTAGGTTTAAACATTGAGAAACACTGTCCACATAAATAAATAAATGGAAGCCGATGAGTTTGTTATGAGGATGCCATTCAATTCTTTGAACTTCTTCCAAGTTATATGCCTAATAACATTATTATCAAAATGTTTTTTTATGATCCGCTGGCAATTTGATTAGTGCCTCTTTCAATTTTGCTGAAAGCAGAGCTGGAAACCACTTGACTTGCAGAAAGACTTGCTCCTCTGTCACTTGACCCCCAGGAGTCACTTTGTTTGATGCCTTGGAGATTTCTACCCCTAGGGCAGTGCCCCAGAGTGGGGGGTCACATGGGTGAGAGGGGCAGCTTTCTCTTGTAAAGCTGTCTTCCCCAGCAAATGGGAAAGGGGATGCCTTGTCTTGGATGCCTTTTTAGGAATATCGCTTTTAGGAAAAAGAGCATAGAAAAACTGAGGATCAGAAAATCGATTCTCCTCAAACTATCTTGATTCACAAACCCCTTTGGGCACCCCTGGGGGTATGTCACAATTTTATGAGTAAGAGACTGGAAATGTACCTGGGGGCCAGAACGTAAGTTTTGACTCCTCTGCTAGGAGTGAGCTCAAAAATGGATATGATTCAAATACATAGATGCCTGTGGCCAATATTCCGGATCTTCACAGTCCTCGGAATGCCCTGGCAGGGCTAAACTCCTTTTAGTCCAGTCCTCCTCAAGCTCAGACCTGCAACCTCTTCATTCTTACTGTGTATTGAGGGTTCCCTGAACTGAAGGAAGAAAGTGTCTGGAGGGTGGGAGAGACCGTGTGTGGCAGAGTTAGAAACATCAGTCTATCTCAGGGTCCTAGACAAGTGATCTCCACATAATCAGCAACAGATGGTCAGGCAGCACCTCCAAATATTTGTATCCTTATCAATCATATTTATGTGTGACTGCCAATCCATATGTCATGTGTATTAAGCTTTATTTTAGGTTTTTTTATTTTTTTGAGACGGAGTCTTGCTCTGTCACCCAGGCTGGGGTGTAGTGGCGCGATCTCGGCTCACTGCAACCTCTGCCTCCCGGGTTCAAGCGATGCTCATGCCTCAGCCTCCCAAGTAGCTGGGACTACAGGCACGCACCACCATGCCTGGATAATTTTTGGTAGAGACAGGATTTCACCACATTGGCCAGGCTGGTCTCGAACTCCTGACCTCAAATGATCCACCCACCTCAGCCTCCCAAAGTGCTGGGATTACAGGTGTGAGCCACCGTGCCCGGCCTGTATTCCCTATTCTTAATAGATTATCTTGTAAACCTTCTTTGTAGCCCATTTCTCTAGACTCAACAGCTTTCATTCCAGGTTGTTTTTAAAGCCCCAGTGGATGTGTGAAAGGGTGGTAATGGATGGCACTGAACCTCTGTTCTGGCCTTGGCAAAGGCATGTGCTCTGCCAGTGTTTACTAAGATTATGTGCCAGACACTGTGCTGGGTCCTAAGAATGTAAAAAGACACAATCTTTTGTTGTATCACAATGTAAGTGTAGTTAATACTACTGAACTGGACACAACAATGGTGAAGGTGGTAGATCTTATGTGTTTTTGACCAGAATTTTTTTTTTTTGAAGACACCATCTCTGCCCTTAAGGAGGTTGTGGCATAGTGGAGGAAACAGAGAATCCACTAATTCATTTACCTGGGAACTTTTAATTAATAGAGTGCCAATCATATTCTAGGCTGGTGCAGGTGCTGAGGATAAGCCTATAAGCAAACCAGGCACAATTAGTCTCTTATGGAGCTTACTGTCCATGGCCAGCAGGAAATGTGCACCTGCAGTGCCCAGTACAGAAACCACTAGCCACATGTAGTTGTTTACAATTAAATTAATTATGATTAAATACAATTTAACATAGTCTCTGCAGCCACAGTTGAAGTGCTCAGTAGCCACAGGCAGCTGGTGCCACTATAGAGGACAGCACAGCTAGAGAAGGTTTCCATCACTGCAGACAGCTCTTAGCGTGGTCAGTGTGCAGATGGATGAGCCAGATCGTCAAGTAGGGGGCCCTGCCAGTCTCTCCAGTGCCTTTGTGCCAGTTTCAAAAGGTTTTCTCTCTGGGCAGGTGCAACTTCTTGCCAAGGACGAGGCTTGTGGAGCAGGATATGGTTCTGGGCCTAGGAGAAGTCAAGGTGTAGAGAACAGGAGATGCAGATCACCACATGCTCACCAAGTCCCTGGAGTAAAGGACTCCAGACTCTGGAGTTGTCTGATCTCATCTCCCACGACACACTCCCATAGTGCACCACGTGCCCTGCTCATGCTGTTCTCTCAGCCTTCTTCCTTTTCCCATCTCTGTGCCTCCCAAATTCCCTTCAAGGCCCAGGTGAAATTCCACCCTTTTCCTCCTCAAAGCCTTCCCTGAACTGTTTATGAGGCTGATTAACATTTACTGAGCATAGCATTTGTACTACAGTATTTGTGCTATTGGTGGGAGCGTGGTGAGGCTGCAAGATGAAACAGGCCCTTAGACTTTCAATGTGGGTGGTTCTAACTCCCTGTCCTAAATTTGGGCCTTCACAGCCAAGTATATGCATCGTCAGTGCACATCCCCCAGGTGAAGACAGGCTCTAGAACTCTGCACACTTCCTCTTCCCACCCCGCGACTTCTGGCAAGTACTGCCTTACGTATCTTTGTCCCCACTTTTTTCCTCACTAAAAGATACCCAAAAAGGATTCTTTGAAGGTTTCTTGCCTCAATGATCCAACATGAGAAGTGGTGAGACCAACCCTTACCAGCTGACAATGACTTAATCATCTTCAGAGATTCTCAAAAGAAGCTGGAATGTAAATAGCCGCTCAGCTGGTATTGTTCTCAAAGAAGACTTAGATGTAGACAGTTCTCACTCTTCATATGCGTCAGAAAATCCGCTTCCTCTGGGTGAGTTTCAGAAGGGGTAAATGTTGTTGCTCAAATTCCAAAGTGATGAAGATGTGTCAACAAGATGCTTCCTGTGGAATCTCTGGCCAGCTGCCTCTTCAGCCCTGTAGACCCCCTTCTGAGCCCGGGCCCTGCCTGGAGTTAGGCTGCCATTTCCTCTCCTGTTTGCACAGATGGGGCCTTGGGCAGTCAGCCTGAGGAACTGTCCCTGTGCTAATGCTGGGGGCGCAACCCAATGAGAAGAGGACTGGCTTTGAAGTTGGGCCTGGGTTCAAATCCTGATTCTGCTACAGTCAGCCAAGTGACCCTGGGCAAATAACTGAAGACTTCTGAGCCATTGCCATGTTTGTAAAATGGATGGTAATACCTGCATCACAAGATTGTTGAGGGACCTAAATGATAATAAATCTCTAATGTATGGTTTAGGGCTAAGAGCCTGGCCCTGCCACTTACAAGCTGTGGAGTGTCAGGCAAGTTACTTAGATGTTCTATGTGTCTGTCACCTCCTCCCTAAGGGTTGAAAATAGTACAGGCCAATTTCTAGGGCCATTGTGAGGATTACTGAATGCCTGACTCATGATGAATGTTCAGTGAATATTGGCCTCCAGCAACTGGGGTAAGCAAGGTAGTTATTATAATCCCCACCCAGAGGGCCAGGGAGAGTCGCACATTTGCTGTGGGTGAAGCCTGGATGAGAACCCTGCGTCCTAGTCCTGGGCTGCAAATCAAGCCTCTGGCCACAGCCTCCTTCTGGCTGGCTCCCTGGGCCCACTTCCAGGCCCATGGAGCTGCTGAATAGGGGACAGCCCATCCCAGGAGCCAGGCTGCTGGCTTCACTGCCTTCCAGAGGGCCTGGGAAGCCTCTTCATGCCAGTCTGTGGCTTTGTCACTTGCCCCTGATGGAGTCTGCCCTCTCTGTGGGCAGTTTCCTCTCCCTACTCATGGCTGATGTTCACTTCCACGCCCAAAGGAGTGTCATTCTGCCCACTTGGCTGCTCAGGATCAGAGTGGCATGGGACAGTGCATGGAGCATTTTGGAGCCAGGGAGGAGGAAGAGGGCAGGCCTTGGCTATGCCTCTCAGCGATGCTGACAGCAGGAGGGTGGTTAATACAAAGCCAGGGCTTAGCTACAAGTCGGGAGGGCTGAGGAGACAGGAGCTAGAAGAAGTCAGGGAAAGAAGGAGACAGAGGCCAGGATTTGCACAGCTAAGAGAGACCTCCTCTCCTCTCTATTTTATAGATAAGGAAAATCATGACCATTTTGCCCAATGTTACGTCATGGTTTGTAGGAAAGATTTGGATGAGAATCTAGTCTCCGGAGTGCCTGCTCGACTTTCCTTCCAATACCCAAAGCTGCCCTCTCCTCCCACCCCGAACACTCAGTGTCTGGCAAGGCCCCTCCAACGCCAATATCACTGCCTCACTGTGGTCCATGGCCCGTGGGCCCTGGCTGGAGGAGGAGCTGGCGTGAGCAGGGGTACCCACTTGCCCAAGAGAGACCTTCAGGAGAGCCCATCATGCCCTGTGGCCTTGTGTCCCTAGACACCTCCAGAAGCCTGACACTGTTGTTCATCCTTCACCCCCAAGACTTTCACCCCCATGTAGCTCTATTCCCCTAATCTGACACAATCCCCCAGATCCTTTCACTCTGCTCTCGGGAACTTATGGTTTGTCATCAGCAAAATCTCCCCATCCACTCGACTTTCCCTTTGAACATTCCTTTCACCATCCTGTTCTACTGCAAACCTGCCTGACCCCCACACACAGCTTCCTTGCAGCCACCTCCTGTCTTGGCTCTGTTTTCTTCTTCCACATCAGTATGCCTGGAGGCAGCGAGTTGTCCTCCCTGCTTTCATGGCCACCTGTAGGTTTCTCCCCCTTCCTCCTCAGCCTAAGTCTGCATCTCCTTTGCAGCTATGCCATCAGACCAGACCATCCACCATCCCTTCTAGTATTTACCATACTCTAGGCCACTCCTGCTCATTCACAGATTTTAGTACCTGGCCCACGGTCTTCCTCTCCACCACCACTCCTCCATGCTTTTCCTAGACCTTAACATTAATTCATTCTTTTGTCCAGCACATGTTTCTGAGCACCTAATCTGTGCCAGGTATGTTCTTAGAAAAGAGTTTATAAGTGTAGACCAGAGAGAAAATGTCCCTGCCCTCAGATGCTTACATTCTGATGGCAGCAAGGATAATTAACCAATGAACCAGTCCTACGTAAAATAATGTTAGACAGAGGGGCTATGAAAGGAAAAGGCAGATGAAGGGGTAGTGGCAGGATGGGGAGCTGTTTAAGAGATGGTGGACAAGGAAGGTCATCCATGTAGATGTCCACCCAGCACCTCCCACTCTTGGTCTTTGGCCTCCTCACTCTCCACCTCTCGTTCTGCTGCCTGGGCCTCCCACTCCCATGGCCAGGGTTTTGCCTCAGCACTTCTGAACCCCCTGCTCCCTGACCACCCCTTCCTCGGCTCTCAGCTTATCTACTCTATTACCTCCATTCAATGATGTGTCCCCTTTGGGAACTCCCTGCCTTTGAACTTGTCCTTTTTCACTGCCTTCAACCCCCTTCTCCAGCTCAATTCTGTAGGCCTTGACAAGAATCACCCATTTGTGGAAGCCCTCTCCTTTCTTGCTCTTTTCCCTTCATTTGGAATCTCCTGACACAGCCTCCACCCTGCTTAAACCCAACACCCTGCACCTGCACTGAGTAGCTGAGCATTGCCGGGGAAACTCACAGTCATACTGAATAGCCGCACTTGACGCTTCTGACCACAAACTTCAAGTGGGCGCTCAGCTTGCCCAGTAATCTTACTATATTTCTCTACTAAATTCACTGCGCCACTCTCCAGATAAGTGTTTCACATCTTCTCCAACCCTCAACACCTTCCCTTAGTTTCTCGCTGTTAGTTAAAGATCTTGCTTCTTATTTTGCTGAGAAACTAAATGTCATCTGCTGGAACGTACGTGCCTCTCACCATCAGATCTCCCAAGGTGCCTGCATCTATGCCCGCTGCTACCTTTCTTCCTCACAATGGATGCATGCATGGATAGATGGATGGATGGATGGATGGACGGAAGGATAGATGGACAGACGGACAGATGGATGGATGGATGGATGGGTGGACAGACGGACGGACGGACAGACGGATGGATGGACAGACAGATGGACAGATGGATAGATGGATGGACAGATGGAGGGATGGCCTCCTCTTGCATCCCTGGCCAATCCCTTCATTTTGTGCACCATATCCCTTCACTTACTCAAGACTGCCTGAAATCACCTTTCTCCCTCCTGCACTATCCAGCTCCTTCTCTCTGCCAGACCATTCCCTTCGGCACATAACTGCGCTATGATCTCTCTCACTTTCAAAACAAACTCTTCCTTGACCCTACACCCTCTTCAGCTTCTGCTCCACTTCCTCCTCCCTTTTACGCACCCCTCCTTGAAGTGGTTGTCCCTGCTGGCTACTTCTCCGAATCTTCACCTCCATTCCCTCTTAGCCTACACCAGCCAAGTTTTTGTTTCTGTCACTCCATTGAAACTGCCCTTGTCCAAGTCACCAGTGACCTCCTACTGGCGCATCCAAAAGGTCTGTCTCCTGGTCTCACCTCCTCAATTTCTCAGCAGCGTTTGCACAGTAGGGCACTCGCTCCTCCTTGCAACGCTGTCTTTCTTTGGAGTCCAGGACTCCACACTGGTCTGGCTTCCTCCTACCCGGATGGCAGCTCTTTCTCTGGCTCCTTCGCTGGCTCCTCCTCTTCTTGATCTCTAAATGTGAGCATGGTGTGGGGACTTTTTTCTTATTTACAGTCTCTCCCGGTTAGATGGTTAGATTCCATCTAGGCCTGTGCCTTTAAATGTCCTCTAGAGGTTGGGATCTTTGAGAGGCAACATGGAAGCGAGTAGAGAAGCTTGCCGGGGTGTGAACCCCTGCTCTGCCCCTGGTGAGCATGCCCCTGGTGTGATGTTGTTGCTGTTAAATTCTCCATGTAAGATCAGATCTTACATGGGGCCTGAGACAAAGGCTTAAGCATGAGTAGTTTATTTGGGAACATGATCCCAGGGAGCAGGGGTGAGGGGGAGGAGGAATGAAACAGAGAAAGGGGGGAGTCAATATGGGAGTGTGTTAACATCTCTCTGAGTGAACACCACTCAGTCTTTCTGTGAAGCTTTATGAAACGTACTTCAGAACTCACTGGAAGAAGGGGGACAGTTATCCATTGGCTCCTCTCGAGTCATCCCATGGAATGTTAGCTCCCCTTCACTTCTGGGCGGCTCATGTGTTAATGCCAAGCAGGTTCCATGGGTGTCCCCCCATCATGGTGTTGGGCGAGAGGCATGTGGAGAGGCCCTGCCAGGCGACATTTACACGGCACTGGTCAAGACCTGTGCAAAACTGGTCACTGGGGCAATGGCTGGAACAAGAGGTGAGGCCGCGGGCATCTGAAATGGCACACAGGATACGCCCCCTATGGACAGGGATAGCTACAGCTCTCGCCTCATAGGTTACTGAGAAGACTAAATGATTTAATGTATGTGTTTGGAGGAGTGCCCAGCTCTTAGCAGTGACCATCTACATGGTGGTAACCCTGCCCTGACATCCCGTCTGCCTAGTGGACACCTCGGAGGCCTGTCATGTTCAAAACAGAACTCGTATGCCCCGTCCCTCCGCTTGTCCAACTATTCCTCCAGTCTTTTCACTGCAGTTAAATGGCCAGGATTCATCTCTCTCTCCCACCCCTCACAACCAATTATCAAACTCTAGCTTCAAAAAATACCCCAGTCTGGCCTTTTCATTAATCCTCATCACAAAGTGACCCACCCAGGCCAAGTCACTATTGCTCCTTGCCTGGCCGACTGCACTAGCTTCCCAACCATCTCCTGCCCCCACTCTCCCCTCCCTACAGTTTGTTCTCCCACAACAGCCTGAGTGAGAATGTTACTGCTGATTAAATCACCCTCTAACAGCTTCCTATTATCCTTTTTATAATTTTTTAAAATCCTTTTTTAAAAAATAACAAGGCTGGGCATAGTGGCTCACGCTTATAATCCTAGCACTTTGAGAGGCCAAGGCAGGAGGATCACTCAAGCCTAGGAGTTTGAGGCTAGCTTGGACAATATAGTGAGACCCCTGTCTCTACAAAAAAAAAAAAAACACCTTAAAAATTAGCTGGGTATGGTGGTGCATGCACCTATAGTCCCAGTTACTTAGGAGGCTGAGGTAGGAGGATCACTTGAGCCTGGGAGGTCGAGGCTGCAGTGAGCTGTGATTGTGTCACGTCACTGCACTCCAGCCTAGGCGACAGAACAAGATCCTGTCTCAAAATAAATAAATGAATAAATAAATAAATCAGCTTTATTGAGATGTAATTCACATATCATATAATTCACCCACTGAAAGTATACAATTCAATGGGCTTTTTTTTTTTTTTGTATATTTGCAGGGTTGTGCAACCATCACCACAATCAATTTTAGAACATTGTAATCATCCTTCAGAAGAAACCCAGCACCCATTATTAGTCACTCCCCATTTCCTCCCAATCTCCCCAGCCCCAGCCAACCACGAATCTGCTTTCTGTCTCTCTGGGTTTGTCTATTTTGGATATTTTGTAGAAATGGAAAAATGCAATATGTGGTTTTTCTGACCAGTTTCTTTTTCTCATTATTCTTAAGATAAACCCCAAACTCCCTGCCATGGCCTTCCAGGCTCCCCATGGTCCAGCACCCCCCCGACTCCCAGCTTTGCTGACTGCCTTCCCTGTCCCAATTCCTCCAAGGTCACTCACTGTCTTGAGCAGGCCCCTCTCCTCTCCTTCCCCTGAGGATCTTGACCCTTGCTTGTCCCTTTGCTGGAACTTTTCTTCCCAGATCTATGAATTGGATTCTGCCCAAACGTTACCTCCTCAGAGAAGATTGTCCTCTTCTCCACCCTCCTCCACCTCTCCCTCTGTCTCTTCCCCTGACTATTGGAAATGCATATGTATTTGCTGGATATGGTGGTCTGCACTTTCATATGCCACCTGCTATGTTCTGAATGCTTGTGTCCCCCACAATTCACATGTTGAAATCTTCATCCCTGAGGTGATGCTGTTTGGGAGGTGATTAGGTCATGGGGGTGGAGCCCGCACAAGGGCATTAGTGCCCTTACAAAAGAAGCACTGATAAAAATGAAGACACTCAGTCCCCAGCGACACCCTTCCACCAGGTGAGGACAGTGAGAGGTGCTGTCTATGAGCCAGGAAACAGGCTCTCACCAGACACCGAATCTGATGGCACCTCAATCTTGGATTTCCCACCCTCCAGAACTGTAAGAAATAAAGTTCTGTTGTTTCTAAGCCACACAGTCTATGGTATTCTGCAATAGCAGCCTGAAGGGACCGAGAAACAACCTCACACCCACATGCACCAACTAAACTCTCTTCCCTCAGGTTCTCCTAATAGATTATCTTCCTAGAGTCTCGTGCTCCCCCAGGAGAAAAAAACCATTTATCAGCTGTAAGGCTTACTGCTCCAAACACAAATCAAACATCATGGCCTGAAGAAACTCAATCCCCCTCATAAGCAAAGCTGCAGGCAGTGGCTGCAGCTCTGTGTGCTCCAGGCATCTGGGCTTCACCTTCTTCCTACCTCTCTTCTTTAGAGGCCTCATATTGCCTCCTTCCTTTCTCTTTAAAAATATTAGCTTATCCCAATACTTTGGGAGGTAGAGGCAGGAGGATTGCTTGAGGCCGGGAGTTAGAGAACTCCCCCCACACCCCGGGGCAACATAGCGAGACACTGTCTTCACAAAAAGTGAAAAATTAGTCGGGTGTGGTAGCACATATCTGTAGTCTCAGCTAATCAGGAGGCTGAGGCAGGAGGATCACTTGAGCCCAGGAGTTTGAGGCTGCAGAGAGCTATGATCACGCCATTGCACTCCAGCGTGGGTGACAGAGTGAGACCTTGGCTCTAATAAATAAGTAAATAAACAAATAAATAAATAAATATCAGCCTGATAGGGAAAACAGGAAACAGGCCTTTTCATACATTGCTGGTGGGGATGAAAGCAGTGCAACCTCTGTGGAGGACAATTTGCAATCTCTCTCTCAATTACAAACCCTTGAACCCATCCTACAGATGTACCTGCCCCCCTCTGAAAGGACATACATGGCACAGTCTGAGAGCAAAAGATTGAGGACCAGCCACCCAGTACTATCAATAGAAACCTGGTTTAGAACAAGGAACACTTTGCGGCTGTAAGAAAAAAATGGGGAACCTTCTCTGTGTGGATATGGGACAATCTCCAGGATGTATGAGCAAGAAAAACCATGCTTGCAGTAAACAACCTTTGGAATAATGAAGAGGAAAACTAAGAACATGTATTTACCTAAGTAAATCCTGCAAGGATATAACATTTTTTATATCAGAAATTGGGAACTGTTAGGGAAAAATTAGGAGGAAAACTTCTTACTGAGCCACTGATGTCATTTTTATATTTAAACCATATGACTGTTACATATTAAAATATAAAATTTTAAAATATATGAAACAAATGAAAATCCTATTTGGAGGAGTTCTCATTTCTGAAGATTTTAAAATCTTTCTTCCAAGAAACTGGAAGTGTTCAGTAGTCAGGGTTGGATGTAGATGGTGTCCTCCCTAAGATGTCAGCTGACAGGTGGCCTCTCGGCTCTCCCAGGACAGGGGCCTTGTTTTATTCATCTCCGTGTTCCCAACACTGTCACAATGGATGACACACAGCAGGCACTCACTAAATGTCTGTGGAATGAAATACTAAATAAATGCATTAATAGAAAGATTCCCACCTCAATAACAGAGTTATTTCAGTCTTGGTGAAGGGTCCATGCTGATATAAAATTGTCAAAATGGATGACTTGGAGCAAGGAGGAAAACAGCAATGTTGTTTAAGTCCCAGATCAGAAAGTGGCACTCCACATGGGTGCTGCCGCTCTCCCAACGGCAGATTTCCTGTACTTTTCTTGATAACGTGGGGTCTGGATAACAATAATGAGTAAATGCCAAACATAGTGTCATCACAGTGATGAAGCCACAAATAAGCCATGGTGGGCAGATCACCTGCCATGCGCCCTCTCCTCCGGAGCGCAAAGCTAATCTTTCATAGGGCTTTGCCTCCACACACCTGAGGGCAAACTGTAAATTGGCAGTGACTCCCAGCCAGAGCTCTGCGCCTGTGGCCCTGTGGCACTGCTGCGAATGGGCCAAGCACAGTCTGAGTACACAGTGGACTCCTGGCAGTGGCCCTGGGTGGTTGGCATCAGTTATACCCCGAAAGGAGCATCAAGCTGTGTGGGAGCCAAGACTGAAGCCTGTTGGGTGCCGGGCCGGCACGCTCCCTCACCTCCTCCAAACCCTGGCTGCCACCCTGCAGCTGGTCTCCGCCTGAGGTAGAGGAGTGTGGCGCAAACGGTGGCTTCTGCTGGGCCCTGCCTCTCCCTCCTCCCACACCTGACTCAGGGGCTCCTGTAGATGGGTGTCTCTGTTTCCCCTCAGGCCTCCTTTGCTCAATCGCCCTCTCTCTTCCTGCTCTGGTATGGGGAGTTGTCTCTTAGTGGGGAGTGGGGCTTTTCTGCAGACAGGACGCCACCAAAGCCCTGAGCCCCAGGCTACACAGCCTCCCAGGGAGAGTGTTGAACTGAAACATTGCCCAGAGCTGGATCTGAGAGAAGCCAGAGCCCTGGGCCCTGTGAGGCTCAAGCCTGTCAGATTCCTGCATCTCCCTCCCTCTTCCCAGACCCTGGCTCTGGACCCAGTGAGCAGCCCTCCGCCATGACCCTGTGTGCCATCCACCTGTCCCCAGGGGATGTGAGCACTTGCCCGGTAGCCCGGGGCTGGGGACATGGGCAAGCTGTTAGGATGGGTTCAGCCTCTGCTCCAGGCTAATGCTCCTGAAGGTGTGTCCCAGCCAGGAAGCTGCTGGCACTTTTTGTCTCATTGTCTCAGTGTAAGCAGTATTCGGAGGTGTCCCTGGAACACCTGGTTCAGAGGGCAGCTGGGTATTTGCCCAGGCTCTGTGGCAACCTGCCCTCTTCTGGGATAGCCAGAGGGCTGACCCTGCCAGAGTTGTAGCACCGTGGCTTCAAGGCTGTCTTGACCAGCAGAGGCCTGGCCCTGCCACATCTCACTTCCTCCTGTTCCTCCCGGTCCTTCCCAGTCACCTCTTACCCTCCACTCACCCTCTCTTTCTGGAGCCCTGCATCCTACCCCAGGGGAATGCCCAGCCCACACCCAGGCCAGTCAGCTTCTTCCAGAAGGCAGCAGAGCTGGAGCAAGCCCAGGACTGGGGGGCCTCATGGCTGATTTCCCTTCTCAGAAACCTCTCTGACCTCCCAAACTGGAATCTCTGCCTTTGGCTTGCAAGCCAGGAATCACATATGGGTCACTCAACCAGAGCACTCTTGTGGTATGTCCAGGTCAGAGGGCAGCAAGGCCCTCTCATGCCATCCCCAGCAGCTGGACAGAGGGCGAGGAGCCTCTCCTGGCGCCTCAGGCCCTGAGCCTCTCAGGTTCCCTCGAAGGGAGGGGCTCTGCAGAGCCAGCTGCAGCTGTGGGAAACCACACACCACAGCCTGCAGGTGCAAGGGGCCTGGGGGAAGGGGAGAGGATTAACTGTTTCTTGGGAGCAGGCCTTCTCCATCCAATCTATTCCCAAATGGTGGCTCCCCCAGGATGCGGGGTAACATGCTCAGCAGGGGTGTGGGGTGGGAAGCTGGCCGTGGAAGAGTCACAGGGCTCGTGATCCAGGGATCCCAGAGACAAACACCTGCCTGAGAGGCCCTGAAGCCCACAGAGAGAGGCCAAGATACTCTCACTGACTCTGGGTGGCTTCAGAGGCCACTGAGAAACCCTGGGCACCGTGTCCCACTTCATGTCTAGTTGCCACTCTCTGGAGCAATTTCCTCCAAGTCATGGGACCTGCCCAGGGGAGGCAGAAGGGAGCTTCATTCTTGGGCTGTGCAACTCACCCCACCTGGGGTCTGCCCACTGAGGACCCTCAGAGTGATGCCAAGAGGAGCACCGGGCCGGCCTCAGTGGGGGCTGAGCAGGCGGTTCCTTCCCCCTCAGCCTGGGCCTCTGCGTGGTAACCGTGAGTGTGAGTGAGTAAACCCCAGCTCACCAAGGCTGGGACGCTGCTCTGGGGTTGTTAAAGGGGCTGGAAGCCATTCAAGGGGAAAGTTTCACAGTTTCCCAGAATGGCTCCTTTCTGCCATGCTGTCCCCAGAGGCTAGTGGGATGTTCATGCTGCCCATGTGCCTGCCTGTCACAGGTCCAGGTTGGTCTGATCTCTCATCTTGCCAGTTACCTGCGTCTTGGTGGAGCACCCACCGAGAACAGTGTCCTGGCAAGAGGCCCAGGGGGACCCAGCCCCTGCGGGAAGAGGCCAGCCTTGCCTTTGTGTGAGTCCTGCTTCACCCCCAACTTTCTTCTCACTCTTCCCATTCTTCTACGAGAATAAGTAACTCATTCCCTTACACTTGATTTTCCCTAAATGTGAGAAAGGTGACGCCGTCTAGGAGAAAAGTGACTGAGTTCACTCCGCACACATGGGCACCCACTGCTTGTCAGGCTTGGAAGGTAGACACACATTCTTTCCCTGGAGGAGCTCACAGGCTGGCAGGGCAGACATTCACACTCTATTCAGAGGCAGGGCTCTGCAAGGGAAGGTAGCAAGTTGGTTAGGGGCAGAGGAGGGGCCGATGATGACAGAATGTCTGCAGAGCTCACAAATGTTCTATGAAGCACACAGTGCCGGCTGTTTGGAACGAAGCAGAAAGGGGTAAGGCAAAGTGCTCAGGATCAAACTGGGGAGATAGGAATGAGTCACAGTAAGTTGTCTTGACGTCCCCGCGGGGCAGTAGGGGACGGTTTCAAAGGGCTTTCAGAATTCAGGGCAGGGTCTTTTCCCACTTGGGTAATCAGGGAAGCCTTCTAGAAGGAGGTGGTATTTGAACTGTGGGGAATGTCAGGAGGCTGCACGAGGGAACCTGGACCTGAGTTGTGGGGACGTTGGTGCCAAAGCAGAAACTGAAGGCTGCCTCCTCCTGGACGAACTACCCAGGGGAAAATTAAACTTACTGGAAGAGTGAAAGATTCCCCCAAGACACTCAAGTGAGGGAGTGGTGTCTACTGCTTCTCCTCTGCCTGCACTTCCTTAGGAGGGCAGGGCTGATTTCTCCTCCCCGTACCCATCAACTTCTGACCTTATACATCTGCCCCACCCTGCCTTTCCATCCTCAGCTCCCACTTCCTTTCCCTAGGAACTGCCCATTACAATCTCTGCTATGACTTTTTAAAAAGCCCATTCGGTCTTTGTCCCCCTTTCCTGGCTCAGAGCTTTAAAAACCTTTGGGATCTCCTGAGTGACAGGAACGCCTTTTGTCATTTGTAATGAGCATTTCCATCATACCTCAGGTTATGATAAGAAGGCAACTCAAGGTGGGCCCTTAATTTTAAGGGAGAGACTGGCCATGCCAGAAAGACCAAGCATGTGATCAGAGTGTGGAAATTTCATCCCTACTCCCATCCCTACTGCACCGCCAACCTCTGGGGCGAGAGGGAAGGACTAGAGATTGAGTTCGTCATGTGGTTAATGATTTCATCAATGGTGCCTGTGGAGTAAAGCCCCATATAAAACTCGACACTGAAACTGCGAGGAGCTTCCTGGTTGGTGAACACACCAATGTGCTGGGAGAGGGACATACCACATTCCACAAGGAGAGGGCATGGAAGCTCTGCACACACACCGCCCCCACCCAACACCTTGCCCTACATAGCTCTTCCCTTTGGCTGTTCTGAGTCTATATGATAATAAAACTAATTGTAGGTATAGCATGCTCAGTGAGTTCTGTGAGCCATTCTAGCCAACTACTGAACCCTAAGTTTGGGTGGTGAGAACTCAAATGTGTAGTCAAGTCAGACAGAAGTGCCAGTAGCCTGTGGACCCTGCGTGCGCCTGAGTTCTGAAGTAAGGGTAGTCTTGGGGACTTTGACATTTAACTTGTGGAGTCTGACACTGTAAAAAAACCAAACTCGGTTTTTCCTACTATGCTCTCTCAACACGTTCCTGACACCACATGGGGGGGCAGGGGTCTCTCCCCGCCACCAAGCAAGCTATCATTTCCGCAGCAGACACTAGTGGGGCATCCTCCAGTTCAACTCTGACTCTACCTGCCGACAGTGTCAGATCACACAGGTTGAGAACTCAGTCCCCTCTCCTCACTTCTGATGCCAAGTGCAAGCCCTGGGTTGTTTCGCCGCTGCTCTGTCTGACCAGCTAATTGGGGTTCACTAAAGCAGCTCACAGAACTCAGGGACAACTTACTTACATGTGTTAGCTTATTATAAGGATAGTCCACAAGATATACATGAAAAGATGCATAGGGTGAGCTATGGAGGAGGGGTGGAGCTTCTTTAACCTCCATGGGTGCTCCACCCTCCAGGAATCCCCACGTGTTCAGCTATCAAGAAATCCTCTGAACCCTGCCCTTTTGGGTTTTTATGGACGCTTCATTACATAAGCCTGATTGACTAAACCATTGGCCACTGGTGATCAACTTAAACTTCAGCCCCTTTTCCCTCCCTGGAGGTTGAAGGGTGGGGCTGAAAGTCCCAATCCTCTAACCCTGTCTTGATCTTTCTGGCGGCCAGCTCCCATCTTGAAGCTACCTAGGTGCTTAGCGTGCAAAAAGACACTTAAAACTTAGGAGATTCCAAGGATTTTAGGAGTTGTATGTCAGGAATGAAGACCTAATTAATACCTGTTTCACAATATCACAGGCACTAACTGCAGGTAGTCAGTGTCAGAATTGACACTGAATCCAATTGCAGGATGCCCCGTTGGTGTCAGAGAATAGTTGTCAGAACATACAAAGAGGACTCTTCCCTAAGATTCACATCACACTCCTTCTCCTGCCTGAAATGGCACTCTGCTCCCCGCAGTAACTAGTCCACTAGTCTGTTTTTCTAAATTCTTTCTTCCCTTCAAAGTCCACCTCCTTCACAGCTTGGTACTAGTGATGCTGTCCTGTAGCCCTTTCTTGCATGTATAACTCCGCACCTCCCACTAGGTAGCATCTGCTTTTGAAGAGAGAGACCTGGGGAAGGCTTGCCCTGGACAAAGGAGTTGCCCGCTAAATGCTCATCGGTGGATAGAAGGGGAAGGCTGCATTGAAGTGAGGAAGGCTGCTGGCCTGGCGAGCATTCCTCAAGAAGAAGCCTCGGCTTCAGGCCTCTCCCCCTCCCTCCTTCCTCTGTTGGCTGTGAGAAGCAGTGTCTTGGGATGGGCCGGGTTTCGGGGCGCTGGATCTGCAGTTCCAGCATCATTGCCCTGACAGTAAATACAAAATTTTGGCATCTTCTCTGCTGCGATTGCCAGGGCTCACCCAGGCCAACACCCGCCCCCTCCCCACACACCACACTCCACACACACACCACACACCCCCACACTCCACACACACATCCCCACCCTCCCCACACACCACACACTCCCCACTCCAGACACACACACCACACCCCCCATACCACACACGCACCATCACCCCACACCCCCTACACACATCCACACACACTACCTCCTTACACACACACACCCACACCGCACCACACACCCCCACACACCACACCCCCCACACACCACATACACCACTGCCCATGCATACCACACCCCCTCACACGCGCACACACACCATGCACACACAAACCCCCCCCACACTACACACTCCTCACACACACACAACCCCCCACACATGCCACATGACACCTCCCCACACACCACACACAACCACACAGACGCACACACCACACCCCACACCACACACACCACCGCCCCCGCACACCACAATCCCCCACACACCACACACTCCTCACACACACCACACCCCCCACACACACCACTCCCCCACACACCACACACCCTCACAACTTCCTCACACTCCCCCTACACACACACACACACACACACACACACACACACACACACAAGGGCTAGACCATGCCTAGCCTATGTCTGCCTCATTTTGGGCCGCAGTTGAAAACCACTAAACATGGCCATAGTCTGGCCTTGTTACTCCTCTCTCCCTTGCTGTTTGGCAAAGGGCCAGTAGAGAACAGTGTGTTCCCCCTTGCACACTTTCTCACCCACCTTCCACCTCACACACTCCACCTTTCCCTGAAGCTGCCTCCAAAAGCCTAGGTTTATGTCTCCTTCAACAGCTCTGACAGAGTCTGGTTGACCCAAGCCATGTGGGTAATTGGTGGGGGCAGACAGCCATGCTACCCATCCCCTCAACACCCTGGAAGATGAGCAGGCAGCAGACAGGTGGGGGCTACACTGGGCTCCTCCTCCCAGGCAGGCCCATGTGAGAGGTTTCACAAAGTGACCTAGAGGCACTTAGGAAGCCCAGGGCCTTCTTCCACATCACTGCCCACGGGGAACTGCTCTGAGTTGCTAGGCCTAGATCTGGCTTCAGAAAAAGCATGGCTCCTGCGTGATCTTTGGGCCTCCACCTTCACTCCTTCTTCCAGCCCCCACCTCCTCTGAAGGCCTCTCTCAGCATATGCTGGGTCTTAGAAGGAGAGAATATTAGCCATTTATACCCTCAGGGAAATTTAAATGGCCATGTTAAGTTTTAGCTGTAACTGGAATGAAAGGCCTGGTCCCCAGTTACAGGAATTGTAAGGAGCAGCTTCAGTGGAAAAGAGGGTTGGGAGGATGGGATGTGTCTTTCCTGGTATTACTGTGACCCACTCCCCATGTTCTGCTTGTCAAGCAATCTGGAAGAATTCTTGCTCTTCCCCACCAAGTGTTGGGCAATCTTCTAGAATACTACCTCTTAAGATATTCTGAGTCCAAATCTCCCAAGATTTTCTCCCAAATCTCTTTATGGTGAGGATCTGGGGAAAACAAAATCCCATCCTATTTCAAGTTCTGAATAGAATACAATTCCATTTTATCTTGCCCTCAATTGGATTCTCATCCTAATTTCTTTCCCAGCTATACTAGCCCCCAAACAGTCATTACAGCAATCCCAAAGTTACCTGACAGCATTGGAGTCTCACATTTAAAACTGGAAGGGACTTTACAGCTCAATCCCAACTCCCCAAGTTACAGAGGAAGAAACTCAAGTCCGGCAAAAAGTGACTTGTCCAAGGTCCCACGCCAATGAGTGGCAGAATTCAGATTAGAACTCAGCACTTCGGCTGCCACTCCAGTGCTGTTTCTGTAAGGCCACAACCACTTCACATCCCCACTCAATTTAGAGTTTGAGGCCTGGAGTTTAGGTACTATTTTTGGAGACATTGTTGGAAGTTCCAGGATGAGGTATTTATGAAGATTCAGTTCTCATTTCCCTCTCCAAAGCTCTTGGCTGGGTAACATGGCTCATGTCTGTAATCTCAGCACTTTGGGAGGCTGAGACAGGAGGGTCACTTGAGACCAGGAGTTTGAGACCAGCCTGGGCAACATGGTGAGACCCCAGTCTCTATAAAATAATAATAATAATAATAATAATATAAAGCTCTTGTTTTGTGTTATATTGCCCTAGTCAACTGCAACCTGGTCTGGGGTAGGAGGAGGCAGGGGGCCAGGGGGTGAGGAGGGCTGCTGAGCTGTGTGATGTCTCTGCTGGGCTCCCAGCCTGGCTGATGGGGGTTTATCCACCCCGACCTGGGAGCAGGTGTGGGCCCTCTGTCCCCAGAACTTCTTGAAGAACAGTTTGTTCTGCAGGGTGCAGCCAGGGTAGGGGGAGAGTTGCAGATACCAGTACAGCCCTGGAGCCCGTTGCAGCTGCTTCCTGTTGTCAGAGGGCTCCTCCACCAAGGGGCTGAGTTCCTTGACACCTCCACGCCCCTGCCTAGTTCTCCGTGTGGTATCCTGCCTCAGTAGGCCAGCAACTTCCCACGGATACCAAGGAAGGCTGTGTTCAAGTAGCAAGAGCTCAGAGTGAGGAAGTGCCCTGTGGCCAGGCACATTTCCAGCCTCGTGGCTGACCACCCCTGGTGCAAACAGGGTCCTGTCCTCACGTATGCAGGTTGATTTCTGCCTTGTCTTCCTTTCCCTGTCTGAAAGATCTTTCCCATCCTGTCTGCAGAGTCAAGTTCTCCCCATCATTCTCGGTTCCATCTCTTCCCCGAAGCTTTGTCTGCAGTGACTCCCTCCCCACCCCCGCTTCACTGGCCATACTGGACTGTCCAGCATGAGAGTGTGGGCCCTCATTTCACACTGCCTTGTCTTGTGGTTTGACATTTCACCTAGGTTTGTTTTGTCTCCTCTTCAAGACTTGAAGACAGGATGATTTGGGTCCTTAACCACTGCCTCCTACTTCAAACGAGATCCCTTACAGAGCTGAGCTCAGAGCCGACCCTGTGTGTAAGGGCATAATAAATCCTGGCTGAATGTCCCGTCTCAGTGTCTCTGTCTTGGTTCCTGCCTGAATTTCAGTCAGCTGAGCCACAGTTCACCCCAGACCCTGTAGCATCTTGGGAGGAGACATTTGGGCTCCTCTGCCTGGTAGTCACGTTGCCTCACTGCAGGAAGTGACCCAGGCCTTGCCGTCTCCCAGCTTGTGGGCCTTCTTGCCTCCAGGTTCCCCTCTGACTAATCATGAGAGTGCTATGGGGCTGACTGGAAGCGACCACTCCTGTCCCAGAAGGGACTTCCCCAGCCTGAATGCTTGCAGGTGGACGGCAAGGGAAGGGGGATAGTGCTGGTAATATGCAAGGTGGTGCCCTCGTCCAGTTCCAGGGACACAGCTCATAGAACACTCCCAAAAGGGGCTGTTCAGCCTGTCTCCATTCTTGCAGCTCTCTTCACCCCAAGCCTCAGGCCGGGCCTGGCTCGTTGTCCCTGGGGGGTCTGAAAGGGGCTGGAGTGGGGGTGGAGTGAGCAGCAACCCGGGACTCTCAGCTCAGCGCTTTTCCCCCCATTGTGAAATGGCCTTGGATAAGGGCCAAGCAGGAAGCTGCCTCCTATAGCTCCGTGGCCTGGCGCCTGGGGTGTGAGGACGGCCCCAGGCCCTTCCCTTCCCAAGGGAGGGCTGAAGCTGACACACGGAGTCCACCTGCATGGAGACACTGAGCTGCCCTTGGCTAAGTCATGAGGGGCCTATGCCCTCCCTCCTGCTCTCTGTGCCAGCTAGTTTGTGGCAGGCAGAGGGGTGTGTGGAAAGTGCATGGGCCTGGGGCTCAGGGCTCGGGGCTTCCAGTCTCACCTTTGGCATTACCAAGCTTTGTGATCTTGGTCAAGTCATTTTCCCTCTTTGGACCTCACTCAGTTTCTATTCACTTGTGAATAACTAGCAGGTAAAGGGTTGGACTAAAAAGGTCTTGGAGGCCTCTTCCAGCTCAATATTGTGACTCACTGAAGTCAATGATTCATTGATGTTATTACTGGGACTTGGCTCTGATCAGATGGGAGTTTCTTCATTGTGTCTGTCTAGGATTCCCTGTGTAAATCTGCATCTGTGGGTCTGTCACAGAGGTGGAGTGGGCTTCCCCGAACAATCAAGGATGAATGATGACACAGAGGCCAAGAGATGAACAGCATCTGTCGCTTTGGGGAGTCGAGACACCTGTTGGGTAATTTGTGCAGAACTCTGGCTATATAATTTCCTGTCCTTGACTTTCAGACAGGAAACTTTAAATTGGGGACCCCTAATCATCCTGAATAAGGGAGCCCCTCCCCCACCCACTAAACCCATGAAAGTGTGGGGAGGAGGAGGGCAGGAATAGGTGCTCATGCCCCAGACTTCCAGCCTGGCTGGGAATAACTACGCTTGCAATAACTATGCTTGCCTTTCCTGGCCTCAGTTTCCCCTCTTACAATATGGGGTATGCTGGCCCCCTTCTTGAGGTTCAGCAAGGAAGGAAATCCTAGATGAGAAGGGGAGAACCTCTTAAAGTTCACACACATTTCTTGAGTGCCACCACCTGATTCTGTACAAGGATGGCCTTCCAGGCATGTGGGGCCAGGGGCTGCCCATGGAGTGTAGCCTAGAGGGTACTGGCAATTCCTTTGTATCTCCCCAAAGCCCCTATACCAGAAATCCCACCATTAGAGTCTGTTCTTTGTTTAACATCACCTAAGTTTCCTCCACAAATGGAGGGCGTGTGACATACTAACCATTTGTCCTGAACATGTTCGTGTGATTTAGCTACCAGATGGGTTGCCTCCACACAGCTAGCTGAGCTTAGTGAGAGACTGGGATTTTGATGGGGAGGGAGGGAGGGGTGTTTTGCACGACCGAATATTTCTACTCAGGGTACTGCTTGAGAAGGAGAGGAAAAGAACAATGAAACCTAGCTTTTCTGCCATGCTTTCTCACGTATAAGCTTTTATATTCACATTGTCACACTGAACTCACCACAGCAGTGTGAGGAAGATCTTCCCATTTTACAGCTGAGGAAATGGAGGCTCATAGAGATTAAGATGACTTTCCTTCAGAGATACAGCCAAGAAATGCCAAGTTGGACCTGGAATCCAAAGACAGGATTAAGGAGACAGGATTCTGCATGGGAGTGGGAGGGGGACAGGGGCTTGGGATAGGAACCCACACCCAGAGGGAGGGAAAGATGAGGAGTGGAGAGAGAGTCCCAGTTTGTTCCACTCTGCCTAGAGCTGGTCTCTTTTCTGCCTTCCCTCCCTTCTTGTCACCTCTTTGGACAGCTGAAAGACAGCTGAAAGCTCAGCACTCCTGAGCTGCCCGCAGGCTACACTCATTTGCAAGTGCTTCTTCGCACAGAGGTGGCAGGCTCCTCAGCTAGAACAACGCTCACCTCACAGGACTATTGGGGGCTCAAAAGTGGATACATGTAAGCACCTAGAAATGAACCTGGCACTTAGTAACTTCTCAATAAATATAAGCAAGCTATTATCTGAGAAAAAAATAGTCTCTTCTCTAGTGGAGAAGTCAGTCAGCTTCTTGCACCTAGAACAGTGCCAAACACTGCTTGTTTAGCCTTGTTCAGTGAATGGATGAATGATAATCTTTCTGTAACACGGAAAGTTCTAGCCTCCACAGAAGTAATTTTGAAAAATAATGACCACGATCTTGGATATTCTTAGGGTTGATCTAAGGTAAACGACAGGGCAAGATCTGGGAGTGGCTGAGGCGGTCGCCCATGGCTGCGCTCGTCTGGTGAGGCCAGGGCGTCCCCTACTGGCCCAAGACGAGTCACAGGCAGGTCGAGGCCACTCCTCATCTCTGCGATGGCGCGTGGAGGGAGGGCGTGGTGGCGTTGCTGCGAGCGAGGGGAAGGCCAGTGTTAATCACTGACACTTGTGGGCTCCGGAAACTTCCCTAGGGCCCCCAGAAGGGGCTGGGGGGAGAAAAGCAGCAGTTCTAAGAATTTTGGAAGTAGAAGTGACATTAGCAATCTAGCCTAAGTCCTGAACATAACAGTGAAAATACTTTAAAAAATACATCAACTGGGTGTTTACTATGAGCCCTTTACGTGGATTATGTCCTTGAAAGCCGACAACAACCCTCTGAGGCAGGTTCCCTGTGGAGGATAGGGCGCAAGCAAGTACCTCGTGCAGGGCCTCACAGCAAGTTGGGGAGCAGGGTGAGCCTGGGGTCTCTGACTCACAGTCCAGGGCACCTGTGCTGTCTCTCTAGGACACTGGGGCTTGGGATTTAAATCCAGGACTTCATCCTGGGGTGGGGATGGAGAGAGTTCCTGGAGCCCTGAGTTGGCTGAGCAGATACAATGAACACTTGTTGACCAACTGACTGCAGAAAAGAATAAAGGAATTGGGAACTGCCAGTGTTGGAGTGGATTCAGTCCAGGGAGTGTGTTGACGTGTGGCTTCAGGGTGTTTACTCTCTCCGGGCACCCAGGCTTCTAGGACACACTCTCATCTCCCTCCGGCCACTCCTCTGGCCTTCTCTAGGATGGCTCCACCAGAGCTAACCACCTCCCGCTGACGTGGGAGGTCTCCCAGCCTTAGGTTCTAAAATTTGTCATCCCAAAGCCAGACCTGCCCAGTGCCATTCCTCGATGTGTTTAGATGATACCCTCCTTCCTTCATCCAGAACTGACCCTTAAATCAGCACACTGGAGCTACGGTGAGGCAGCTCAGAGCCCAAGGTATAGTTCCCCTCAGACTGAAACTGAAAAGTTAAACTAGCCCAGAGGCCAGTCCTCCGTAAGGTGCACAGTGTCTTGTTGCAATCTGCTCCTGTAGAATGAATCCACCTTGACGAGGAGGACGTAGAACAGCCCACTCCCAACTAAGGGACTGCAGTGTAATAATGCATCCCTTAGCTCATTTACTCCTCCCCTTGACATGAGGTAGGCACTTTTATGACTTCCCCATTTTACAGATGAGGACACTGAGGCACAGAGAGACTTAAGCAATTTTGGAATATGCAAAAAAGATTAGTGGAAACAAATACATTAAAGAAAAAGATAAACTCAAAAACAACAATAACAAAAAACAAAACAAAATAAAAAATAGTGGATGTTTCCAATGAAAAATTATACATTGATTAGAACACAGCCTTCTGGATTAGCTGATTTCTAGCCTTTTATTTCCTTTGCGCTATTTTACAACTCTGTAGGTTGTAGAGACTCAATGGCAATGCAGAGGATTCTTGTCTATGGATGTACAAATGCTTCTGTTCAGTGAAGGGACAACCCTGGGTCCCTCCTGTGCAAAATCCAATTTTACTTCCATTTACAAATTCATTCCAGAATTCCTGATGTTTACTGGATTCCCCTTTGAATGGATTGTAACATACATCTGGTTTCCTTATTAATAATAGGTTAAACATAATACAAAATTTTTTTGAGACAGCATCTCACTGTTTCCCTGACTGGAGTGCAGTGGCACAATCATGGCTTATTGCAGCCTTGACTACCCCAGCTAGGAACCCCATCCAGGAACTAGCGACTGTGTTTTTAAGCATTATACTTTCCAGGCACTGCAAAGTGTAATTGCATTAGAGTAACTGCAGCTGCAAATTAATCAACCCTAACCTGAACAAGATCCTTGACCCTAATTCAAACCCTAACCAAATTCCTGACCCTAATTCAAAACCAACTCTAATTAAACACCTAATAAATTAAAGTGTGCTCTGTCTGAGGAAAAAACACATTACCCCTGCATTTTGGGAGAGACAATCTCAGGTTGTACAAACAAGCATACTTATTCAGGTCCCTTAGGTCGGCTAGGCCCTGAGGAGCAGGGGTACTTTTCTCTGCCCGTCTTCCCATGGGGAAGTGGCCAAAGCTGGTACGGTGTTTTGTGCCCAGGGCCTTCGTTTTGCTCTTGGTGCTGCCTAGGCCTTTGATGAAGCCCCCATGATGTGGGAAAGGATTTGGGAACCATTTTCATGTCATGGTTCTCCTAGAACTGTGAAAGGGAGAGGAAAAACTGAGAGGGAGCAGGAAGGTGTGTGGCCTGCATGACTTAGAGACAGTGACCCAGCGCCATGCCTCACATACATACTGCTCTGCTCCAAGGCCAAAAGCCATTAATCTCTATTATGCATTTAAATTACAATTTGATGAATGATATGTTACCCTAATCACACATAATTGCAAGTTAGGATTTGGGGTGCTGGAAAACATCAAAATTTAACCATGTTATATTGACATAAACTCTCAATTTCATTGTACCCCTGAGCTACCTTTATTCCTGATTGATCACATACAATACCATTTTTCTCACTGATGAATTTATTTTCAGATATAGTCTTATAAATCAATGAACTTTATCATTGCTTTTACTGTTTTAATTTTTTTAATCTCAAAAATTTAAATTTAGCAACATTATTTTACTTCATAGTACTTCCTTTTATGATCCCTTTTATTTATGGCAAATGATACTGGTTTTCCACTTATGATCATGATATTAAATACACAAGTAGAAAGTGAGTCAATTTAAAGAAAAATATTAACTAACAGTACAGGTGGTATTAAGATAATGGCAGAAATCAGGATGGTGATGTTGAAATGATGGAAGGTGTGTGGTCTATAAGTAATAACACTATTTGATACTATACTGTTTATTGGGCATTTACTATGTGCTAGGCCCAATGTTATCAATGATAGCGCTGTCCAGTAGAATTTGTGATGATGGAAATGCTCTACATCTGTACTATCCAAGCCACATATTGCTACTGAATCCTTGAAATGTGGCTAGTGTGATTGAGGAATTAAAATTTTAAAATTAATTTAAACATCTATATTTACCATATTAGAGCAAGCCTAAGGCTCTTACATATAGTATTTTATACAATCTTCATAATCTCAATGAAGTAAGCATTATTTTGTTACTTTGCTAGTGAAGAGACTTAGGCCTTGAGAGGTTGCCTGAGGCCACATAATCAATAAGTAGCAGACGTAGGATCTGAACCCCGATCACTTTGACTTCTGAATAGGTGCTCTTGGTCATTTCCCACAGAAAAACAAAGCCCAAAGAATATTCCATCAGTAGTTGAATTGCACTGGATCCAGTGCAATGCACGCATTCCATGTACTAGGACATAGACATCTCTGGGGGATCATCCAGCCTGCCACCGAGATTTTTGCAGAAGTCCAGATGCTAGTGTGATTGCAATCAGATTAAACTTTCAAGATAGCTAACAGGACTCATGCAGGTGTAGATGTGAAAATTAAAAGAAAAAGAACAGCTGGTGGCAGCGGCTCATGCCTATAGACCCAAGTACTTAGGAGGCTGAGGCTGGAGGATAGCTTGAGCCTGAGAGGTGGACGCTGCAGTGAGCCGAGATTGCACCACTGCACTCTAGCCTGGGTGACAGAGTGAGACCCTGCCTCAAAAAGAAAAAGGAATCTGGGATGATTCATGGTTGTTTTTATTTGAGTAACTGGTCAGACGGTGGTGCCATTTAATAAATAGCAAAGATGTGGGAAGTAAAAAGTTTTGATTTGGTCACGTAATATCTGAGATGCTCATTACACATCCAGGTGGAACTACCAAGTGGACAGCTGAATATGCAAGTTTGGAGCTCAATACAGAGGTAAAAGCTATAATTAAAAATTGGGGAGTCATCTTCGCACACCTCAAGACTAGCAAAGATTAGAACAGTCTGGTGAAAACCCCTCCTATAGGGCCGCCAACACAAGACCACTTTGTGATGGCACCATATGAATAACCTCTAGCATGCGTGTCCAACCTTTTGGCTTCCCTGGGCCACATTGAAAGAATCGTCCTGGGCCATATGTAAAACACACTAACACTAATGATAGCTGATGAGATAAAATTTTTTTAAAAAGGGCCCATGCATAATTTTCATGATATCTGCCAATACAGATGAGCAAAAACATCCTCACATTCAAATGACTGGACACCCATGCAAGAGCCCTGGGCCTTGGTATTACTAGCTCAGAAGTCAAAGTCCTGGTTGAGAGCACCAGATTGACCCACGTTAGGTCATATGCTTGAGCCCAGGTGCTGAGGGCAGTTGAGAGAGTGACCCTCTGACCCTTCTATTTATTTATTTATTGCCTCTCACCAAAACCCACACAACAGGGGATTGCAAACAGGTTCAAATGCTGGAGAACCAAAAGCCAATACAGGTTGGCTACACAAGGTCATCAGCCTAGGGCAGGAAGTGGGCAACGGGCGCTGGCCATTTGGAAGAAAATGTGAAATCAGAGAGTGAACATATTTAAGCCATTAAGTTTGAATCTCCTAACTGGGCTCCTCATTTCCTGCCCTGTCTCTCTACAGTGCATTCTCCACAACACAGACAGGGGGATCTTTAAAAAATATAAATCAGATTTTCAGTGTTCTGTTGAAAACTTCCTTAACGAGTCTTCTCTTTGTATCTAGAACAAAATCCAGGCTTACTATGGTCACGGGCCCTACATAATCTGGTCCCCAGCTACCTCTCCATACTCCTTTACTCCTTGCTCCACAAGCCCTCCTCACCCCCACCCGCACCTGCCAGTCTTACAGACACAGGGCAACTTGTTTCCCCTTTGAAGGTTTTGCTCTAGCCGTTCCCTGTGTCTGAAACACTGTGTCCCTAGATCTTTGGATGGCTGGTCCTTTCAGCTTTCAACTCAAAGTTCTCCTTTTCGACGAGAACTCCCCTGACCCCAACCCAGGCAGTCCCCTTCCCACTCTCATTATACAGCCCTGCTTAGGCTGTCTCACGGAATTCATTATCTGAAGCTGTACTACTTACTTGTTTGCTTCATTGTTTATTTCCTCCCTGCCCCTTTAACCCAACTTCCAGGAAACCAGGAACTTAGCTTTTCTTATCCTGCTGCATCCCCAACCTCTACAACCGTGCCTGGCACAGACTGAGAGGCACTCAGCGAAAACCTCTTGTGTGGTGGAATGCTTGACTTTATAGAGGGCCCAGGGTTCAAGTTGGCTAGTGGCAGAGAGGGCTTACAACCTAGTTCTCCTGACTAATCAGAGGTAGAACTAAAGACTGGGCTCCAGCCCCTCATTTTTTTTTTTTTTTTTTTTTTTTTTGAGACGGAGTCTCGCTCTGTCTTCCAGGCTGGAGTGCAGTGGCGCGATCTCAGCTCACTGCAAGCTCTGCCTCCTGGGTTCACGCCATTCTCCTGCCTCAGCCTCCCGAGTAGCTAGGATTACAGGTGCCCGCCACCACGCCCGGCTAACTTTTTTGTATTTTTAGTAGAGACAGCGTTTCACCGTGTTAGCCAGGATGGTCTCAATCTCCTGACCTCGTGATCCACCCGCCTCGGCCTCCCAAAGTGCCGGGATTACAGGCGTGAGCCACCACGCCCGGCCCAGCCCTTCTGGCTAGAGCTGCAGGTCAGCGTTTAGGGAGAGTTTAAAGGATCTCTACAGGAACTTATAATGACAATAATGAAAAGAACAATAGCTGATACCTACTGAACACGCTCTATGTGCCAGGCACTGTTCTACGTATTTAATCTGAGTTTCATTTACGCTTCACGACCACACTGCGCGGTAGATACTATCATTACCCTTACTTTATGGATAAGGAAACTGAGTCACTGAGTTGTTAGGTTACCTGCCCAGCATACAGCTGAATATAAATCGTACGCTGCTATCAAAACTTTCTTTTGCTCTCACTCCGTCACACTGGCTGGGGTGAGACGATTTCTCGCATGTGACGACCCAGGACAGCCCCAGCGCCTCCGGGTCACAGGCCCCCGGACGTCCCAGGGCGCGGGCGCTAGGCGGGCGGGGAGGGGGGAGGGCGCAGGCCGGGATTGGTGGAAGAGAAGAGATTGGTGGAAGACAATGGAAGTCTAGTAGCGGAAGTCCCGCCCAGCCTAGGCCGAACTTCCGGCTCTCACTGCTAGGGGCTTAAGCGGAGGGAGTCGAGCCAGCGTCGCCGCGATGGTGTTGTTGGAGAGCGAGCAGGTATGGCTAGGCCTGGCCGGCCGAGGGAAGGGGGCGGCTCAGGCGTTACTCGAGACCTGTGCCTCCTGCAGGAGGACCAGGGCCTTGACGCGGCAGGACGAGGATTTGGGGCTGGCTAACGGGGCTGGGCCTGTTGTTTTCCAGTTCCTGACGGAGCTGACCAGACTTTTCCAGAAGTGCCGGACGTCGGGCAGCGTCTATATCACCTTGAAGAAGTGTAAGCAGCGGGAGGGGAGCCGGGCGATGCTCCCTGGGTTCCCGGTGTCTGGGAGCCACCGGAGTCTGTCTGCCGCGGACCGCCGCCTTCCTCTACCTTTCCCCACCCTGTACTGAGCACATTCGGGGCTTCGGGCCCGGAAAATAGTAGGGATTGTAGCTGGCTCAGTCCCCAGCACTGAGCCGCCTAGGTTGCTTCTGGTAACAATGGGCCCCAAGCAGCCCAGGGCTCTTTGTCAGGGATCCCAGACGCCGCCACTTTGAGTGGAATTTAACGTGCTTCGATATTACATGTTTCCGTCGTGGAAATAATAGTTTCTCCAGGGTTTCGCCAGACCGTGATAGCAGATGAGGTGTTTAACAAAACTAGAGCAGCGGGGCTGGGTTAGGTCATCACTTACCCCACTCCTCTGTTTTAACTGTTTGTCTGCCGCTCAGCCACGTACGCGGCCGTGTTCACCAGGATGCATTTTTTCCTTCAGATGACGGTCGAACCAAACCCATTCCAAAGAAGGGTACTGTGGAGGGCTTTGAGCCCGCAGACAACAAGTGTCTGTTAAGAGCTACCGATGGGAAGAAGAAGATCAGCACTGTGGTGAGCTTAATTTCTAAGGCTGTCTTTTGAAATGTAAAGACTTGAACTTAACAGAGGATGGGGCGTTTCTGAACCAGGCTTTTATTTGTTTTTCCCTTTTGCCCTGTGTGGCTATTTTTGAGACCAGGACCTTCCTATACTTTAGTAGTGGAAACCTCAAGAATAAAATAAGAAGGTAGAGGTCAGACAGTCGTTAGTTCTGCTAAAGCTCTTGTGGAAATGAAAGTAGCATATTGGTCCTTATTCGTAGTACTGTAAGGAGCAGCTGGCATAAATATTTGATTCCTTAGCCCCTTACTGTGCTGGGCCTTCAATAAGCAGTTTCTTGGTACCAGGTGATGCTATTATTTCCTTATCTTTGTGGTTCACATGGCGAATGTGCAGCTAGATGTTAGGTTTGACACTTGAGAAAATATACATTTAGTCAAGAGCCCTAGTCTTTCAGTGGAGGTTGAATAAGGCAAAGGAAGAGGCTCCTTGAATTGAGTGAATACTACTTTATTCTGCTGTGGCAGAAATCACATTAGTGTAGGATACTGACTGCATGAAAATGTAGACTATACTTAGTTGGAAGTCTTGAGTTATCTTGAGAGGACTTCTACAGTAAAACAAGCTTATGTGGTTTTACAGATTAAGTTAGATATCATGAAATAACAAAAACCTAAGGACAAGTTATCTTGAGAGGACTTCTACAGTAAAACAAGCTTATGTGGTTTTACAGATTAAGTTAGATATCATGAAATAACAAAAACCTAAGGAGTGTTCTTCAGAGGTAGAATTTATTTTGTGGTAGCTCGCATTGTGCTTAAATATGCTTGAATTAATGGAAGGCAGGTTTAAAAATAAGATGGGGAGGGAGTAGTTTAAATATATCTTCTATTAATGTATAAAAAATTAATACTGAGAAGTCCTCTGACTTTTCTCAGAACCCAGGGAGAAAACCCAATGCCACCTTTCTAAGGGATTTCAAGAGGTGAGAAACAAAGCTTTTTTTTTTTTTTTCCCCAAAAGGAGCCTACTGCCTTTCACCTCTTGGTGCAATTCTCATGTGGAAAAAGATGCAGAGCTCCTTTTCTTGTTCTCTAGGCAGAGGAAAGTAGAGTAGAAAAATAACCATTCGTGTATTATGAACCCTGAAGTTGGGGAGAAGTATTTTAAAGATAAGGATATTGTCTTCCGGAGGCTTTTGAGATACTATCTGGGGTGGAGAAGAGGATGCTTATATGGATAATAGGTATGACCTCTTTTTTCCTTCTTTTTCAGGTGAGCTCCAAGGAAGTGAATAAGTTTCAGATGGTGAGTTTTGGGTGTTCCTTATGTTTCCCTTCTCAGGGCAAGAGTCAGTATGATAGTGAACACTGGGTAAGATTGATACTTGGGTTCACTGCTCTCCGGAGATAAGTTTTACCAGTATGTTTCAAGTAAAAGCTGCCAGGGTGTGAATTTCAATGCTAATACCGTCTTCCTTTCTAGTTTTTTTAAGTTAGATTTTGTCTTAGGCTGTAGATATATGCTACCTATACTATAGTTGAACAAGAAGTTGCCTGCAATTTTCCCTTGGAAAAAAACGTAAAAAATGTGTGCAACTGTCTGTGGGTGTTGCAGAAGCTGCTATAATGTGAAAGAGTGTTTTATGCTTATACCATTTTCCGGTACAAGTGTCCAATGGTGCTATATTCTTTCCTGATTTTTGGCTACCCTAAATCCATTATGCAGATAGGGCTGGTGTTCTGCCAGTTTGCACATCTTCCCACTAAGGTATGCTCTGTTGTATCTTTCAGGCTTATTCAAACCTCCTTAGAGCTAACATGGATGGGCTGAAGAAGAGAGACAAAAAGAACAAAACTAAGAAGACCAAAGCAGCAGCAGCAGCAGCAGCAGCAGCACCTGCCGCAGCAGCAACAGCACCAACAACAGCAGCAACAACAGCAGCAACAGCAGCACAGTAAAGGGCATACATTTCCTGCTTTCACCAATTAACCACTGAATTGCTATTTTTTCCTTTTGGCCAGATAGCTAGGTTTCTGGTTCCCCCACAGTAGGTGTTTTCACATAAGATTAGGGTCCTTTTGGAAAGAATAGTTGCAGTGTTTATAGGATAGTTGTGGTAAGAATCTAGTTTATTTTGCATTTGGCTAATTGGTCTGTGCTGCATGGTTATATACTCCTGGATTATAGATTAAAAGTCTCTGTAGACATCTCTGTGAAGAGCAAGCTATCATTAAACATGTCTGTTTATCAGCACTGTCTCTTTATTCCTTTCCCAACCCATTTTAATAGTTCTGGCAATAACTACTAAATCTAGAATGATGTGATTAATGAATAGGCTTTAGCTCTATAATATCTTCTAGGTTATTAGAATTGAAACCTGACAGTTTTATAAAAAGTCATGTTATCTCATGAGCTGCTTCCCACCTGGCTGTATAATTTTATCATCATGGTTCCCCAGTTTCGATGAGTTCTCACAGTCAAATGAGAGTTTGTTTAACCACCTTAGGAGAAACATACTACAAAGTCATCAAGAATAAAGGTTCCAAAGTAATTATGATTTTTGGTTTCTTTATGCCCTTTGGTTTGGATATTTTCATGTGCTTAGTCATTACAGCCAAGGGAAGAAAAGGCTATTTACCTTATGTTCCAGCTCCCTAAAACCTTTAGTGTTAATAGATTTACAATTAAAAAGCAGCAGGTATATGAAAGCATTTATTATATCCCAAAAGATAAATTTATAATATATTACACATGAAAAACTAACAAAGCTCAACTTTGTAGGACAGCTTCTTAGAAAAAAATTTTTTTTTTCTTTTTTTTTTTAAGACAGGGTCTTGCTCTGTTGTCCCAGACTGGAGTGCAGTGGCGCAGTCACAGCTCACTGCAGCCTCAACCTCCTGAGGCTCAGATGATCCATCTCAGCCTCTGGAGTAGCTGGGACTACAGGCATGTGCCACCATGCCCAACTAATTTTTTTAGTTTTTATAGAGATGGGGTCTTGCTTTGTTGCTCAGGCTGGTCTCAAACTCCTGGTTTCAAGCAGTCTTCCTGCCTTGGCTTCCCAAAGTGCTGGGATTAAAGGTGTGAGCCACTGCACCCAGCCTCTTCTTAGAATTTAATTTTAAATTATGATGAATGTACAACATTCCATTATTCCAGTATAAGCCTCTGTCTGTTTGAATGAGGTTAACGACAGTTCTTTAGGGTTAAAATAAGATTCTGTAGTAGTCATCTCTATAGCTGTACAGAAATAGCACAGACACCCTGCAAAAGAAAAGAAAAGATATAAGGACAGACTCAGTTTAATGAGTGAAGAACAGAGCTAATAAATTTTTATAACACCTGTAGGAGCTTTATTTAAGCAAAAACAAGATGGAAGGCTAGTCATTAAAAAATTATATAGGTTTTATACAAGGTGTGACTGACAGGGGTCTGCAGTATAAGGTCCTAGTAAGGAGATAACCATTCACCTCATAGGCTTCCTTGTTGCCTTTTAAGTGTATGATAACATGAATGATTGATTGATTGATTGGCATTATGACATAAGGACATACAGCAAAGTAGTCATGGTTATTTTCTTTGATTTAAACATACTTAGAAAGTGAATTACCTGGGTGAACAAAATTGTAATTGGGACAGCTACTCCTAGGACCCCTGTGTTTTGTTATTGATGAGATCATGACTGTGATTCACAGTCCAAGCAAGATTTATTGGTTGTCAGCTGCAATTCTAAGAACAGCTTACCAGGCGTCAAACCTCAACAAGACAACAAAATAATGTCACTCTGAAACCCCCCGCCCTGAATTTTAACCATGTGAACCCTGCTATGCCCAAGTGATAACTTACTTTTTTTCTACTTTGATGTTATAAATTTCATCACAGACTAATTTGAGGTATCTTTGCTTTGGCAGGCGTGACAGCAGCTGCTTCACAGTTGTGTTAAATGCCTGTTCATCAGCATCCCACTAGGAAAAAAATAGATAAGACTTAACAACAGGTCTCTAGGGTTTACTAGCTGGTTTTTTCTGGGTCACTAATGAAATTCCAGTGTCATTTCCCTCTTCAAGTATACCAGGAGAATCAGTAATAGGGAGATAGCAGAACCAGTTAGGAGACTGCTGGGGTTCCTCTGAAGCACCAGTTTTCCTTAAAACAAGACTCCCTAATTAGAGCCTGATTAACAATGCTGCAGCCCTAGTGTGCTGATGTGACTTTAGAGCAGTTATTTCTGCCTACCGTTTACTTTTTTTTTTTTTTTTTTTGAGATGGAGTTTCGGTCTTGTTGCCCAGGCTGGAGTGCAGTGGCACAATCTCGGCTCACTGCAACCTCCACCTCCTGGGTTCAAGTAATTCTTCTGCCTCAGCCTCCCAAGTAGCTGGGATTACAGGCGCCTGCCACTACGCCCGGCTAATTTTTTGTATTTTTAGTAGAGATGGGGTTTCACCATGTTGGCCAGGCTGGTCTCAAACCCCAGACCTCAGGTGATCCACCCACGTCGGCCTCCCAAAGTGCTGGGATTACAGGCGTGAGCCACTGCACCCGGCCTCTGTTTACTTTTTGTACAACGGTGATAGCAGCTCTTAAGTATATCCATTTGACTGGATCATAAATCAGTACACTGCCAGTGAGATAGTGGTATATGCTTATTTGTAAGAGAACAAAAAATGATATATAAAATACTAGTTCTAGGGCTAAGTTCACTATTAATCTAATTTAATTTGTGACTAAACACTCTGGATAGACAAAAAAGTATTCTTTGATATGACATGTTGCAAAAGTCACCTGTAGCTATGACTATAGTTGAGTGTTCTTAATAGCAAAGATAACTATTCAAATTTTTAAAGTTCTTATTTAGGCTATTTGATGATAAAGGGATGTACCTGTAAAAATATATATATATTTATAAAGGACCTAATTAATTTTTACAAAAGGATTTTGTTTTGTATAGTACTAATCTGCAAATGAGCTTCCCTAGCTGGAATGGAGGTTTGAGAGATAGTATAGTATAGTGGTTAAGAACACCGATTCTGCTAGTCTGCTTAGGTTCAAATCCTGGTTCTACTACTTACTAGCTGGGTGACTGTGGGTAAGATATTTAACCTCTCTACTTCCGTACTCTGTAAAGGGATAATAACAGTATCTACATTTTGGGGTGGTAATGATTAAATGAGTTACTACTTGTAAAATGCTTACAACAAGGCCTGCCAGACCCTGACACATAGTAAAAGCAGTATATGTGTTTTTTTGTTTTTGTTTTTTGTTTTTAATAAAATAAGTATCTGAAAAATAAAGTCACTAGAAAAGTATGAGTCCTTCAACATAGGATTTAGGAACATATATGTTACATAAAAGGAAAAATGTTACTAAATTCCTGCAGCTGCCAGAAAAATACTATCACTAATGAATGCCGTCTTCAGTATTTTGGCAAACTAATAGCAAAGATTTGGGATCTTAAAGGCCACAGTGCAGAAGAGTTCATATTGCTTACCTCTAATGATAAAAACTGTAATATTGTTTCTTTGGGTAGATCCACCTGTGAATACACACAAATGTACATCAACTCTCAGCAGCACAATACTGCCTTGTGACCATAGTGTCACGTGAAATGCAGCAGTATGAATAGGGTTTGCAGAGTCTGAGATGCTATTGTGCTGTAAAAGGGCTTAATGAACTGTGCAGTGATAAGATCTTAGCCCTGGAGAATTAATAAGCAGTGGAAACTGTACTCCCTGTCCCTCTACACCACACCCGAAAGGTCTGACGCTGCTACATGTATTCGGTGTAAGCTTAGCAAGGCAAAGGCCTGATATATGTAGGAAAATGACTTTTGTTTTCATTTTCCTCTATCTTAAAGAGGAACAAAGAGGAGAAACAAAAAACCTTAAATTCTCCCCCTAGTTCTTAATAGTTTTAAATTGCGTGTAGTTCACATCACAATAAGGCCTGCATCCAAATTCTGCTGACACTGAGCAAAAAAGCTCTGAACCCTGAGGCAACTACTTTGACAGTATGGACAGAAGCCACCTTCAAAATACTAAAGAAAGCCACTTACAGCCAGAATTTCAATTTCACTGCTTTTCTGATGTAAGTTGGCAAGGGAGGTCTGAAGTCGAGTTTGTACCTAAATAGTAAGAAAATGGAATTCAGAACATGTTAAACCAAGCCATCTTTCTTGCCATCTTATTTCCTATCCCAGGATACAATCACAGGGTTACATACCAAAGCCTAGAAAGGATTCCAAATGGTGTCTAAAGGTTTGCCCTTGGCTGGGTACGATGGCTCATGCCCGTAATCCCAGCACTTTGGGAGGCCAAGGCTGGGGGATCACCTGAGGTCAGGAGTTTGAGACCAGCTTGGCCAACATGGTGAAACCCCGTCTCTACTGAAAATAGAAAAATTAGCAGGGCATGGTGGCCGGCGCTTATAATACTAGCTATTCGGGAGGCTGAGGCAGGAGAATCGCTTGAACATGGGAGGCAGAGGTTGTGGTGAGCTGATGTTGCACCACTGCACTCCAGCCTGGGTGACAGAGTGAGACTCTGTCTCAAAAAAAAAAAAGAAGATTTGCTCTTAATCCACTCAGAAAGGGGTGTCTAGCAATATGATCTCAGGGGAAATGAGGTTTTTATAACTTATCTTGACCATTTGTTTAATAATCCTTGTCAATTATCTCTTCATAATTTTGAAATGATTCCTTATAAAGGCGTAGCGCAGTGAAACAGTGCACACAGAGACAGAGAGATGATAGTATGAAGCTAAATTGGGAAAAAGGGAGAGGTGGCAGCAATGAGGACATGGTGTGAGAACTGAAACTTGGTAGGTGATGAAGGCAGTAGGAAGACGGGAAAAATAGGTTTCCACCCAAATCCTGAGAAACAGCTAGAAGAGCTTACAAAAATAAAGTACCTGATTTTTGTATTTCAGTCTGATTACATTTCTAAAATTGACTGCTCTCTTTTAACACTCACTCTTTTGCATATGTCCACAGCATACTCTAACATTCATATTCTATAAATTTAACTCAGTGTTCTACTGTAGTTATTTTATTTTGAGACAAAGTCTTGCTCTGTTGCCCAGGCTGTAGTGTAGTGCCATGATCTTGGCTCACTGCAATCTCTGCCTCCCCAGTTCAAGCAATTCTCCTGTCTCAGCCTCCCGAGTGGCTGGGATTACAGGCGTTTGCCACCACGCTTGGCTAATTTTTGTATTTTTAGTAGAGACAGGGTTTCACCATGTTGGCCAGGGTGGTCTCGAACTCCTGACCTCAAGTGATCCGCCCTCCTCGGCCTCCCAAAGTGCTGGGATTACAGGCATAAGCCACCGCACCTGGCCTATATTTATTTGCTTTTATTATTCTCTATATAATGCATATGCTTCTAAGTTATAAACTCTTTTGAGGACTGGGGCCATGTTAATGTTTTCTACATTTTACACAGCCCTTAGCACACCAGTAGGCATATAGCAAATGCCGAAACCATGTATGGAATGAGAAGCCTGCCTTAAGTCTTGTCATCGGCCTCTTCTACTTTGCTATTTAGAGCACAAACAAACCTCAACTACCTTTAGAGCCAGATTAGATAGTTTTCATTTAGATGCAGTCACTCTGACAACAGCTGCCTTGAGGTGCCCACAGTGCACAATGGCCCCTCTCTGAAGGACAGATGGGAATCCTGGAGCCAGAAGCCACCCAGTTAGGCAAGTTGGAAGAAAAATTTTTTTCTTGGAAAAAATATTTCCAAGAAATTCCATGTTTATCTTATTTTCCTTTCCTGTTGTTGTTTTTCTCTTCTGTAACTCATATTAGAAAGCCAAAGAAACCCTGACCCAGTGTACCTGAGTTTCATAGCGCCTCCTAGTGCTGGCTGACAGCTTCTCCGGGGCTAGCACACTCACAATGGGAACCACTGTTGCTCCATGGATTTCAAACAAACCTGAGACCAAGAGAGTTTCAGAATTTATGGCCTTATCTGGTCCCACTTTCTACAACATACTACAGAGAGATGGCAGAGTTTATTAGTAGACATCCTGTCGTGATTCTAAGGGCTAGATCACGACTGGGCTGTGTTTTCTATCCCTACAACCATCTGCACCGGATAGGTGAGGAGCCCAGAACCCCAACACCCAGCAGTTTTGATGCTTCTCTCCTCAGGCAGGGGTTGGGGGGTGGTGGAAGGGGCAGGGAGGCAACAGGAGTCATCAAAACCTCAGGGGCCTAAGAAAATCAAGCTGAATATCACCAAACCTGCATACTTCTTTAAATTCCTGCAAGAATTGGAAATCTGATGGCAACACAAAGTTAGTGCTAACAGAAGAGAATGGGAAAGACTCAATTCTGTTAAAAGCCAAATATGTCTTCTCATGGCCTTAATTGGAACACTTCTTTAAAAAAGAAGTAAGGTTGCTAGAGGTGATGAAAGCAAAGGCATAACTATCACCACTGTGCCCTCTTGGCTTTCACGAAAACAAAATGTGTATAGTGTCCTTCTTCAAGGGATTTCAAAATACTTCCTTCAATCCTCTGTATGAGGAAAATCTCCAGGAAAATTATACACATTTCACTTGTACAATAAATTGAGTAAAAGGAAGATTAAATCACTTGTAAAAATAAGAGATAGAGTAGAAGAGTCAGCTAAATTCCAGTTGTTTTATCCTTTTCTAGGATGTGGATTTCAAAGCATAGGGATGCATCCCATGTGGTACAATTTATTGCGTATATGTTATTTTAAAAATAGATTTCCAGTGTCACAAGCAGTTAGCTACAGTAATAAGTGCTTAGAGCAAACATATAAGCATCATTATGTTCAGATTATAATTAGTAATTATACCTGAAGCATTAGAAAATGACCCCTTCAGATTTTGCACTGCAAGATTATCGGAAGCTTCTCTAAAAACAAGCAAACAAAAACAATTAAAGAACAGTCAATAAGGCACAAGCAACACATAACTTACAGTGAACTACATGTATAGTGAGCCACTTTTCCATTAAATATAAAAACATCTTCTTGGTTATTGGTGGAAAAACAAAAACAAAAAATTTGCATTTAGTTATGCTTTGGTCAAGAGCAAGTAAAAATTATAAAGGATGTCTTTTTAAGTTAACAAATGCCTAAGGAAAACATTCTGATTTATTCAGCTGGGCGTGAAATCCTGGATCCACACAATAAGCTGATTTCAATGAAATATAATGGGTGTTCTTTCCGCCCCCCTCATAATACAAGGAAACATGAATAACAGCAGCCCCACCTTCATTATGGCAGTAGCCTTGGCAACCACCCACAGGAGAACATTTGGTAAATAAAGATATTCTTTAAAAAGCCGTGAATGGATGTTCTTTCAAATGCTGTGAATTAATTTATAGCCTTTGAGAGAGACAACAGCACTCTATCTTGGGAAAACAGGGAAATAATCATTTGCTGGAGGAAAAACTTTGAACCTTTCCCTGCTAAAACTAAATCCCATGTAGCCTTTTAAGTGTCTTGGTAATGTTCCCCCATACTCACTACTTGGCTATTTCTTGGTTTCTCTTCTAAACCTCTGTCTTTGATTTAGATCTATAATTCCAATACTGGTGATTTCCAGAACATTATGTTCCCTCAGAAACACCTAATGGTGAATTTATTAAGGCTAGGTGCAAATAAGAAGGGGTGGGGGCATGAGAAGAACAGAGCAAGGTTTGTTTTCTGTAAGCCAGGATTTCCCAATCTTGGTACTACTGAAATTTTAGGCCAGAAAATTCTCTGTTGGGGGGTAGTAGTCCTGTACCCTTTAGGATGTTTTCACAGTATCCCTGGCCTCTCCTAGATACCAGTAAAACTCCCCAGTTGTGACAACCAAAAATGTCTCCATACATTGCCAGATGTGCCCTGGGAAGCAAAATCATTGTTGGTTGAGAATTGCTGATGTAAGCCAGAAAAATTACCGTGTGGTATTTTCTGATAATGAGCATACATATAAGAATTTCTTGAGGCGGGAGAGTTGCTTGAGTCCAGGAGTTGGAGACCAGCCTGGGCAACATAGGGAGATCCTGTCTCTACAAATAATTTAAAAAAATTAGCTGGACAAGGTGGTACATGACTACGGTCCCAGCTACTCAGGAGGCCAAGAAGGAAGGATCACCTGAGCCTGGGAGGTTAAGGCTATAGTGAGTCATGTATACACCACTGCACTTCAGCCTCGGCAAAAGTGAGACTCTATCTCAAAAAAAAAAAAAGGAGTTGCAAATATATAGAAAAGCTTAACAAAGTAATTTAAGATCCCTTGTAATCCCACTAACCAAAACTACAATTAAAAATTTGGTACGTTCTTCTAGACATTTTTTTATGTATAGGTTGTATATTTTGTTTAAAACAAAATGGGATTATATATTCGTTGTTGTTGTTGTTCTTTTTGTTTTTTTTTTTGAGACAGAGTCTCGCTCTGTCACCCAGGCTGGAGTGCAGTCCACGATCTCCACTCACTGCAAGCTCCACCTCCCGGGTTCACGCCATTCTCCTGCCTCAGCCTCCCGAGTAGCTGGGACTACAGGTGCCCGCCACCATGCCCCGCTAATTTTTTTGTATCTTTAGTAGAGACGGGGTTTCACCGTGTTAGCCAGGATGATCTCGATCTCCTGACCTCATGATCCCCCCTTCTCGGCCTCCCAAAGTGCTGGGATTACAGGCGTGAGCCACCACGCCCGGCCACAAAATGGGATTATATTAAACATCCTATTTATGGACATCTTTCCATGTCAATGAACTCAGCTTTAGTAGAATCATCATTTTTAAAGGCTGCACAATATTTCACCAAATTATCATAATTCAAACAATCTTCTACCAATGTATATTTTGAAATGAGGTTCTCCAAGTGTGGTCTAGAGAATCTTGAAGGTCCCTCATATCCTTTCAAGGGGTCTTGCAAGGTCAAAACTATTTTCATAATAATCTTAAAATATTAATTGCCTTTTCACTCTCATCCTCTCATAAATGTGCAACCGAGTTTTCCAGAGACTATATGATTTGTGGTATCACAACAGATTGAATACATAAACAGACAGGAGAATCATTTCTTCTACTAAAGTGTTAAAATAGATTACAAAAATGTAAAACAGTGTACTAAAAGATGTGCAAATATTTTAAACAATGCCATTTTCCTTACTAAGTTAATTTTCTTTTGGAAAACAGTTGTTTTTCAATAGAAATATGTTACGTTAGCATGTAATGGGGTTATTGTTATTTTTAAATGAATAAACATATTTAAAATGTTTATGTTTTAATATTTATAGATATAACTCACATAAACAAAAGTTCTTTGGGATCCTGAAATAATTTTTAAGGGTGTAAAGGGGTTCTAAGACCAAAAAGTTTGAGAACTGCTGTTATAAATGAGCCTTGATAGACATCTTTAAAATAATTTTTATTATAAATTCCTGAAAGTGGAATTGCTGGGTCAATTTAAAAAAAATGTTTAGTTTTAAGGCTTTTAATTTACTTTGTCAAATTCCTACCCATATGGTTGATACTCCCATCATGAGGAAGTGAGATCTTTTCCCAGAACGTTACATCTTTCAAAGTACACGGACAAAATATTATTGAAATTCACTGATTAGCAGACTGAATAAGATAATGACAGATAGATTTTGGCTCCTGAGGCTTTTCAAAATGATAAAGTATTCTTGGAAATGGTATGAAGAACAAATGTTGAATGTAAGCTATGATTAGTCTCATACAAGATGGTCATACAATTAAACTCCTGATTGAGTTATTCAGAAGCAACAGAATGGTTCATTAAAAGTAATCCTGACCTATCTTTGTTTCTCAAAAGGATCAAATTGATTTCTTTCTTTTTGTTTTTCTTAGACAGGGTCTTTCTCTTCACCCAGGCTGGAGTGCAGTGGTATGAACATGGCTCACTGCAGCCTTGACCTCCTGGGCTCAAGCAATCCTCCCACCTCAGCTCCTGAGTAGCTGGGACCATAGGAATGCACCACCATGCCCAGCTAATCAAAAAAATTTTTTTTTTAGAAATGGGGTCTTGGTATGTTGCCCAGGCTGGTCTTGCATTCCTGGCCTCAAGTGATTCCCCAAACTTGGCCTCCCAAAGTGCTGGGATTACAGGTGTGAGCCACAGCACCTGGCTCAAATTGACTTTTAAAATAAATTTACGTAGTTTCCATATAGGTAACTGAAGTCACTTTTCTCGGCTTTTGTTTCCTAAGTTACCTGCCATTCCTTTCATCAGTGACTTTAGTCCTCAGTTTCTGCAGTACATGGTCCACAAGTTCAGTCTCCAGCACACGCTTCTCTGTCTGCCTTTCCTTCTCGAAAGACTTAACCTTAAAAAGAATGAAACGGATCTATCATTTGGAGGTTTCTGAACCCAGAAGACTAGCTCAGAGCACCACAGTAAGACTACTAAATCAATAGTTTGGGTCAGTGGTTCTTAACCAGGGTCAATTTTGCTCCCCAGGGGACATTTAGCAATGTCTGGTGACATTTTTGGATGGTGCAACTGGCATGTAGTAGGTAGCGGTCAGAGATGCTGTTAATGCACAGGACAGCCCCCTACAACAGAGAATTATTTGGCCCAAAATGTGAACAGCGCTGCTGTTGAGAAACCCTGGTCTGGACTAGTTTATCACAGATGATAGAATTTTTTTTTTTTAAGGCCAAGATGAATGGGCTCTCATTTCATGTGATTCTTTAACATCTTCCCCTTTAAATCTGGTCAGCCACCAAGGTTTCTCAGATCTCAGCTTCATCTACCACTCCTCCCTCTCCTTTCTAAACCCAAGTCCTGTCATCCCACTTTTATGGCATCTGTCCCTTCATCTTCACTCCCCTGGCCAGCACCCAACCTTGGCCTAGGCTAGTTTGATATTCTTTATACTGCTATCACTGTCCTCGGTTTCTCCCTCACTCTATTCCATGCTACACATCCCTGCAGATTAATTTTTCTCAAACACAACTTTGATGTCTCCTTCTGTTCAAAACATTCGGGGCCTCCCCAATAACTGCTAAATAAAAAAACCAGATTCCTTGGTTGGCATTTGGGCTCTCCATGATGTAGCTATAACCATTTTCTGCTTCTGATCCATCTGTCTCACCCAAAATAGACTATTCAGGGTTGTACCAGAATGGTTCTCTGCTGGCCTGCCTCTATCTTTGGGACAACTACTAAAAGAACTACCATCACCTTTGCAGTTCCCTCTTCCTAAAAGGCCCTTCCAGGACCACGAATTCTTGAGGGTAGGATAAATCCCAGCACCTTCCTGAAGACTTCACTGCTGCCTCTTATGTAAATCTCCCAGCCTGAGGGACCCTTGGAGAACTTTATCTGTAGGACTCTCATGGCATTTAGCAAATCTCATGGCATTTGGCATTTAGTAGAGACCTCGTCTCTACTAAAAATACAAAAATTAGCCAGTCATGGTGGTGCGTGCCTGTAGTCCCAGCTACTCGGGAGGCTGAGGTGGGAGGATCACTTGATCCTGGGAGACAGGTTCCAGTAAGCTGAGATCGCGCCACTGCACTCCAACATAGGTGAGTGAGACCCTGTCTCAAAAAAAAAAACAAAAAAAAGCCAGGATTCTCAGAGTAAAAAAAAAAAAAGGAGGCTGGGCGCAGTGGCTCACGCCTCTAATCCCAGCACTTTGGGGAGCCGAGGTGGGTGGATCATGAGGTCAGGAGCTCGAGACCAGCCTGACCAACATGGTGAAACCCTGTCTCTACTAAAAATACAAAAATTAGCTGGGTGTGGTGGTGTGTGCCTATAAACCCAGCTACTCAGGAGGCTGAGGTAGGAGAACTTGGGAGGTGGAGGTTGCAGCAAGTGGAGATTGCACCACTGCACTCCAGCCTGCGTGACAGAGCAAGAATCCATCTCAAAAAAAAAAAAAAAAAAAAAAAGGAAAACTCAACCTAGTGACTGTGTATAAGAAACTCACTTTAAATATAAAGATAGATAAGTTAGCCAGGTGCAGTGGCACACGCCTGTATCCCAGCTGGAGGCTGAGGTGAGAAGATTGCTTGAGCCCAGGCGTTCAAGGCCAGCCTGGGCAACATGATGAGACCCCCATCTCTTAAAAAAAAAAGACAGGTTAAAAATAAAAGGATGGAGAAAGGTAGTGACGTAAACACTAACCAAAAGATTTCAGAACAAGAAATATTACCAGGGATAAGGAATATTTTATAATGATGAAGACAATTCATCAAGAAGATATAAAATCCTAAACATGTATAATAACAAAGCTTCAAATTTTTTTCTGTAAAGGGCCAGATAGGAAATGTTTTAAGCTTTGAGGGCCATACATAGTTGGAGTCACACACTCTCCTTTGTTTGTTGTTGTTTTTTAACAAAGAATGTAAAAATTTCTAGTTCACAGACATATAAAAGCAGGCTATGGGCTGAATTTGGTCCAAGGTGTAGTTTGTCAATACCTCATCTAAAGTTCTACCTGAAGAAACTAAAAAAAGAATAAACTAAATCCAAAATAAGCAGAAGGAAGAAAATAGTAATGGATAAGAGTGGAGATGAATAAAATAGAAAACACATGAACAAATAAAAACTGAGAAAAATCAATGACACCAAAAGCTGGTCCTTGGAAAGACAAAACTGATCAATCTCTAGCCAGGCTGATTAGACAAAAAAGAGGGAGGACACAAATTACCCATATCAGGTCTGAAGGAGGGAGCATCACTGCAGATCCTAGAGACAGTGAAACAATAACAGGGGAATATCTGAAAACTCAGACGAAATGGAAAAGTTCCGGGAAAGATATAAACTACCAAAGCTGCCTCTAGAAGAAAGAGGTAACCAGAATAGCTCTATATATAGAAATATTTGAGATTGGACTTCTAATACTAATTGTATACAGTATCTTACAGAAAACAGAAGAGGAGAGAACACTCTCCAACTCATTTCATCAGGCCAACATTACCCTGATATCGAAACCAAAAAAAAATTAGAAGAGAAAAATATTTTTAAGAAAGTTTTTTTCCCTTTAAAAATAATTAGAAATAAAGGTTATGAGGTGGTATATTTATGAACACTTTTAGTTGAATACAAAAAAGTAAAATTGGTTACAAAGCAATGAGAGGATATGCCTATCAGCAGATACAACTTTACTTATTCTTATTTTCTTAGCTGGAAAAAGAGAACAAGAGGAGAAAAGTAGGAAAAAACCACAGCCAGTTTTTTTGTTTGTTTTGCTTTTTAAAGCTTTAATGAAGGTGGACTCTCTTCCTTATTTTATACACATTTTCTTCAGCAAGAAACCCAACAACGGCCGGGCGCGGTGGCTGACCCCTGTAATCCCAGCACTTTGGGAGGCCGAGGCGGGCAGATCACGAGGTCAGGAGACCATCCTGGCCAACATGGTGAAACCCCGTCTCCACTAAAAATACAAAAAATTAGCCGAGCGTGGTGGCGGGCACCTGCAGTCCCAGCTACCGGGGAGGCTGAGGCAGGAAAATGGCGAGAACCCGGGAGGCGGAGCTTGCAGTGAGCCGAGATTGCGTCATTGCACTCCAGCCTGGGAGACAGCGAGACTCCGTCTCAAAAAAAAAAAAGAAACCCAACAATGGAAAGGGAGAGTAGAGGGAACGGATTTCCAGTCACCTACACGGCCCGGGCCTCAGTGTGAAGGCAGGTGCTCCACAGGTAACACCTAACTATTGAATTGTAAAAAATCTCTGACGTCTTTACCTTGACATGGCTTCCTTCTTTATCCGAGACAAGGGCCACATAGGTGATTTCATGATGTCTGCAGTACTCTTGTAATTCCTCTTGGGACTGAAACAAACAAACATAGTAAAGAAAATAAACACAGAGCACCTGGAACAGCTTCAAGTAATTAAGGAGAATGAAAATACTGTTTCCAATTATATTCTCAATGTGAATTACTAAAATGCTGACTTCAGGGGGATATAAATATTAAGCAAGAAGCCGCATAGAATTCAAGGGAGGAACAAGGCCTCTCTTGCCTCCCTTCCCTTCATGATTGTTTAAAGGGCCATGAATAATCAATCAATAGTAAGAGGTTTTCAAAAGCTTCAAGACTTAATAAAAGATGCCCAAAATTATACAACACAACATACACACACACACACACACACACACACACACACACGCTGAAAAAGCCTCTGAGGAAAATGAAGGAAACAAAGGAAATAAGGGAAGGTGAAAAGCAGAACTGAAGAAGCAAACCAGGAGGGGGCAGAGAAGCCTGTGGGGTGTCACTGTGCAGGACTGAGGTCACTGGCCACGAGGCTTGGATTTTACTGCAGGACAGAACACTTCTCTAATGATTTATGAAACATGTGAACAAGTAGAAGAGGACACTGTTCTGTCAAATGATTAAAAATTGTTGCTCAGCACACTTCTGATGTGAATTTTGATACAACACACACACACGAGTAAACAGCAGCAGCTTCAGAAGCCTCCTGGCAGGTGATGTAAACAGAGCAGGTGGGAGGGTGGTGGGTCTGTGTCCCTGGTCATCGCCATGCTCTGGGGCACCTTTAGTGTGGGCGAATGTGGGTACAACCTGGATGATCTCCTGGGAGTGCACCCCTTCTATGGTCTGCTTACGCCCCCATTCCAAAGGGCAGGCATGTGTCCTGGGTGCCACTTTCCACACCTCCACACCCACGGCAAGTGTCAGGCCTGCATGCTGTGGGAGGTCTCAGGATACAGAGCCCAAAACACACTAAGCACTGAGTGCCTTCAGAAGTGTGGCAGGCTGGAGTACAGCCCCGCAAAGATGTCCATATCCTCATTCCTAGAACCTGTGAGTGATCAACCAGGATTATCTGGGTGGGCCCCACGTAATCACAGGGTGCATGTATGAGGGAGCTGGACAGACAAGAGTTAGAGACAGATGTAAGAACAGAAGCACAGGTCAGCAAGGAAGGAGGCGCTTCATTGCTGAGTGTGATGATGGAGGAAGAGGCCATGAGCCAAGGAATGCAGGAGGCCTCTAGGAGCCAGAAAAGGGAAGGACACAGATTCTCCCCTAGAGCTTCCCAGAGGAGCCAGCCCTGTTGAATTTAACCCAGTGAAAGTGCTTTTGGATTTCTGACTTCCAGAAATGTAAGATAATAAATATGTGTTTAAGCCAGTAAGTTTGTGGTAATTGGTTACTGCAGCAATCAGAAACTAACACAGGAGGCAACTCGAATTACAGAGATAAACAGAGTTTGACAGTCTATAGGTGCAGAGGATATTTGCCATGAAAGCCATAGCAATTTGCACTTCACTCACAGGTGCTTTTTGTCCCATTACCTGTGACCAGTCGTACATGATTTCTGCTGTGATGCCTGCTGTCCAGAGTTTCTGGGTTAGGTTGATGGCCCTGGACATAGACATCTGGCCAACACTTACAACCAGGAGGTCACAAGAGCTTATTGTAACCTGGATCAGAAACAGACCGGTTACAGTTAGAGGAGCAAGACTGCAGGCATGGAAGTGAAACCAGCATCAGGAGGGGAGGCAGCACTCTTGGGAAGATGGGCATTCTTGAAATCCTGCATAGAAACACAGCGTGCCAAAGACTTTGCTTCAAAACACATTGTAAAAAAAAAAAAAAAAGACACACTCAAACAACTTTTTCTTTTTTTTTCTGAGACAGAGTCTCACTCTGTCACCCAGGCTGGAGTACAGTGGCACGATCTCCGCTCACTGTAACCTCCGCCTCCTGTGTTTAAGCCATTCTCCTGCCTCAGCCTCCAGAGTAGCTGGATTACAGGCGTGCACCACCATGCCCGGCTAAAATAAATAAATAAATAAATAAATAAATATATATACATATATATATTTGGTCTTTTTAGTAGGGATGTTGTTCTGCTTGTTGGCCAGGCTGGTCTCGAACTTCTGGCCTCAAGTGATCCACCTGCCTTGGCCTTATTGGGATATAGCTGGAATTACAGGCATGAGCCACCATGCTCGGCCACAGTAAAAAAAAAAAAAATGTTATGTTAGTCTTTCAAGACAGAAATTATTTCAACTACCCTGAGCCATCTGGAAAATACCATTTTTCTCTAGGAAAACTAATCTTGCCTGAAATACAAGGGGGAAAAAAAGCTATTTCTAGCTTTGTAGACCACAGCAGGATTTCTTTTCTTTTCTTTTTTCTTTTTTTTTTTTTGACAGGGTCTGGCTCTGTTGCCCAAGCTGGAGTGGAAGTGGCATGATTTCACCTCACTGCAACCTCCCCCTCCTGGGTTCAAACGATTCTCCCACCTCAGCCTCCTGAGTAGCTGGAACTACAGGTGCATGGCTAATTAACCACACCCAGCTAATTTTTGTATTTTTTTGGTAGAGATGGGGTTTTGCTATGTTGCCCAGGCTAGTCTTGAACTCCTGGGCTCAACGATCTGCCTGCCTCGACCTTCCAAAGTGCTGGGATTATAGGCATGAGCCACCATGCCTGGCCTGAACAAGAAGTTTTGTTAAGAGCCTGTTAACAACTATAACATCTCACATTTATATGGTACGTTACAGATAAGGAAAATGAGTCTAGGGAAGGATGAATTAATTGTCTAAGGCAGAAGTCTTCAACCTTTTTGGCACCAGGGACTGGTTTCATGGAAGAAAATTTTTCATGGATGGTGCGGGGGTTGGGAGGGGATGCTTTTGGAATGAAACTATTCCATCTCGGATCATCAGGCATTAGTTAGATTCTCCTAAGGAGCGTGCAGTCTAGATCCCTTCCATGTGCAGTCCACAACAAGGTTCATGCTCCTATAGAATCTAATGCCACCGCTGATCTGACAGGAGGTGGAGCTCAGGTGGTAATGCTTGCTTGCCCACTGCTCACCTCCTGCTGTGCGGCCCGGTTCGTAACAGGCCCTGGATGGGTACCAGTCCACTGCCTGGGGGTTAGGGACCCCTGGTCTAAGGTCGTCCAGCTAGAGAACAGATGATAAGGACTGAAATGCAGGGATTGACATCAAGTCTTAGGCTTGTCTATCATATTAAAGGTAAGTTTCAAAACCCTACGTCTATAGCTTTCACATCAGAAGCCCCATGTAAATGACTGCAAAAGGCAAATCATACTTTTAGAAATGAAAGACACCTCGAAGTATGCTGGGAAGCCAAGCCAGAACTTACAGATTCCTCCATGTTGAGGACAGCAGCAGATATCTTGTCTATAGCTATGCTGACCCCAATGGCAGTGGGAACTGGCCCCAGAGCTTGTGGCCCTCTAAACTGGGGAATCTGTGGAGAGACACAAACAGTTATGGTTATGAAATAGGAAAGAAACTGTGATTACGGGGAAAACAATGATTAAAGAGTGAGCACTCTGTCAGCAGCTCATCATCAAAGAGTTCAACAAAAAGAAATGTGTGTGTGTAGTAAAATAGAGAAGCAAGCACACATGCAAATTTAGAAAAAATATTAACAAATGTTTCATCTAACTCTGCACTGTTCAATATGGCAGCCACTAGTCACAAGTGACTACTGAGTATTTGAAATATGGCTAATCCAAATTGACACATGCTGTACATGTAAAACACATACTGGCTGCAAAGACTTTGAAAAAAATGTAAAATCCTTGTTAATAATTTTTAGAAGTTTGAGTACATGTTGAAATAATATTTTGGATATACTAAGTTAAATAAGATATATTATAAAATTAATACCACTTGTCTCCTTTTACTTAATGTTACTAAATAATTTAAAATTACAGGTCAGGTGTGGTGGCTCACACCCGCAATCCCAGTGCTTTGAAAGGCCAAGGCAGGAGGATTGCTTGCAGCCAGGAGTGTGAGATCAGCCTGGACAAAAATGTCCCATAACCTCAAGGACATTTGTGTCACTGGGGTCATAGAAGGAGAGAAAAAAGAGTGTGAGACTGAAAAAAAAAATCAAAGAATGCCTGAAAAAATCCTCCAAATTCGCAAAAGACATAAACCTATAGATTTAAGAAGCTAAGCAAACCCTAAACAGGATAAATCCAAAGAAACTCATGCCAAGACACATCATGATTTAATTTGAAACTAAAGACAAAGAAAATAATCTTTAAAGCATCAAGTCAGAAATAACTTTCCTATAGGGGAAAAGTAACTCAAATAACAGCAAATTTCTCATCACAAACCAGAAATTTGGGGTAAATACAATAGACCTTCTTCTCCCCTTGAGTTTTATAATTATATTTAACAGTAAAGTAAAAAATTTAACACTGTTTGATGTGGATCTCAATGTATTAGAAGAAATATTTAAGACAATTATATTATAAATGGGGCATGAGGTAAAGAGACATACAGGGAGATAAAGTTTCTACATTTCATTTGAATTGATAAGATGTTGATACCCATAAATCTCTGTGGTGATGGAATAGTTCTGTACCTTGATTATGGTGGTTGTTGAGGGAAAGTACACGTGATAAAATGGAGAAGAATGATGCACATACATTATACAAATGTCAATTTTCTGGTTTTGATATTTTACTGTACTTATGCAAGGGGTGGTGTGGTGGCTCACACCTATAATCCCAGCACTCTGAGAGGCTGAGGTGGGTGGATTGCTTGAGCTCAGGAGTTTGAGACCAGCCTGGGCAACATGGCAAAACCCTGTCTCTACTGAAAATACAAAAAATTAGCTGGGTGTGGTGGTGCATGCCTGTAGTCTCAGCTACTCGGGAGGCTAAGGTGAGAGAATCATTTGAGCCCAGGGAGGTCGAGGCTGCTGTGAGCCAAGATTGCGCCATTGCACTCCAGCCTGGGTGACAGAGCAAGGCCCTGTCTCCAAAATACATATATATATATATATATATATATATATATATATATATATATATATATATATAGAAACAGAGTAAAGGGTACATGAGCCCTCTCAGTACTATCTTTGCAACTATCTTGCAAAATAATATAATTGTTTTAAGCTTAAACAACTACAAATGTGGTTCACATTATATTTCTATTCCTAGATGAAACATATATTAATAGAAGTATCCAATGATATTACTGGTTCAAATTTTTGGTGTTAGTTTGAAAATTTCAAAATAACAAGTTTAGAAGAAATAAAATTAAGTCAGAGCAAATAAATAAAGGGCAAGCCCTCACCAGCAGGTCATATCTGCCTCCAGCTGCGAGGATTTCAGGTACAGCCCTTTGCCTTCGTTTGATGAAAGCCACAAACTGGAAGATGATTCCATTGTGCTGCTGCACCTTGTAAACCAAGCCCAAATTGATCAAGACCTATAAAGAGAGATGCCACACAAATGTGTCAAGGGTTTGAAATTTAGAATGTGGAATATAATGCTGAAAATGGTGTTTCCCATCAATAGCATCAGAACAATCTATTTAGCATAAACAAAATATTCAGTAAGATCTAGCTCAAAGTCTGTTTAACCATAGCCTGACAAGTAAAATAAATTCTCTTCTCTTTAAGAATAACCACCTCTCTGAGGCTAACATAGTAAGAACTGCTTCATGATAGGAACAGTGGCACTTGCAAAGAAATCCTGATTTAAGCCAAAATTATTACTAAATATCAAATGCTCCAAAACACAGAAAGCAGTTTTTCTGGAAAAATAAAACACTAACTAGCATTAGTGAAATGAAACACATTTCCTCCCTGTGCTATTAGTAATGCTACACATTTGTACTGCCAGTATCAAACTGTTGCCAAACCTGTAACTTGATGCCGAGTTTCTTCAACAGTCCAACAACCTCCTCTAGGTCTTTTAAGCCATACTTCACCAACTGTGCAATACCTGTTTTCTGTTTTATTAATGAATTTATTGTTGGCATAAGATCTTGCAAATCTCCCTTCTGTTCAATAAACTTGTAGAGTCGACACAGCTGGAAAGCAAAGGGGCACAGTCAGCTGCCCATCCACAGCAGGGGAAGACTCCCTTTGCACCGACTGTGTGCACCTGCAGGAGCAGGAGCACATGGGATGCTACGATTATCTTTGTGGTCAAAGATTATTTTAGGCTTTGCCACAATCCTGACTAAGGATTATCCTTTTCCAACAACTTGAAAGCACCTTGCAGGAATGCTTTAGACACATACTCATGGTTCACTTTTATTCAGATACATTTACTCACACTTAATGCTGACCCCAGCAAAGCAGACCCTGGCACTAGCAGAGCTTCCATTATCTATTTTCAGGCCAGTATTTTTCCTCTTTACCTTTCTTATTCTCATGAATTCCTGTTACTGCAGGCATAGACATGGGGGGACAATAAGGCAAAGTCTGACTTGTTTTAATACAGAATTAGCTAGAAATTCCCTTCCTTGGCTTGAATCATTCCTATTTGCAACCTTGAGATGTCTTCTCCTGTGGGCAGCCTCCTGATCCTCCCTTCCCTCTCCTCCCACCTGGATGCCAGATCCTGGCTGTCACCAGCTGTACTCATAGACTGCCCCAGAAGAGGTCAGTGGCTAGAGATGATTGATCTCACAGTCCCTGGTACTCAGCTGGAGTAAGAGGAAACAACCATAGTCATAAAGCCAGAAAGAAAACTCCCAGGAGCTAAAGTAGAAATTATTAAGAAACAAAATTATAGCCATTTTAAGACTGTAGGCAAGTACAACCTAGTTCATCCATAAATTGGCACATGAAACCTAAGGGCTAAATGAAGGCTCAGATTGACATAGCTTAATCTTAGAGTTAATCATAAATCACTTAAATTTTTAAAAAACCCAAAAAATGTTAAAACCTCCTATAATCTTGATATGGTTTGGCTGTGTCCCTACTCAAATCTCATCTTGAATTGTAGCTCCTACAATTCCCATGTGTCATGGGAGGGATCCAGTGGGAGGTAACTGAATCATGTGGGCGGGTCCTTCCCATGATAGTCTCATGATAGTGAATAAGTCTCACAAGATCTGATGGTTTTATAAAGAGGAGTTTCCCTGCACAAGTTCTCTCTCTTTGCCTGCTGCCAACCATGTAAGACATGACTTGTTCCTCTTTGCTTTCCACCATGATTGTGAGGCCTCCTCAGCCACAGAGAACTGTGAGTTCATTAAACCTCTTTCCTTTATAAATTACGCAGTTTCGTGTATGTCTTTATTAGCAGCACGAGAACAAACTAATACAGTAAATTGGTACCGGTAGAGTTGGGCTGTAAAGATACCCAAAAATGTGGAAGTGACTTTGGAACTGGGTAACAGGCAGAGGTTGGAACAGTTTGGAGGGCTCAGAAGAAGACAGGAAAATGGGGGAAAGTTTGGAACTTCCTAGAGACTTGTTGAATGGCTTTGACCAAAATGCTGATAATGATGTGGTCAATGAAATCCAGGCTGAGGTGGTCTCAGATGGAGATGAGGAACTTGTTGGGAACTGAAGTAAAGGTGATTCTTGCTATGTTTTAGCAAAGAGACTGGCAGAATTTTGCCCCTGCCCTAGAGATTTGTGAAACTTTGAACTTGAGGGAGATGATTTTGGGTACCTGGCAGAATAAATTTCTAAGCAACAAAGCATCAAGAGGTGACTTGGGTGCTGTTAAGACCATTCAGTTTTAAAAGGAAAACAGAGCATAAAAATTCAGAAAATTTGCAGCCTGACAATGAGACAGGAAAGAAAACCCCATTCTCTGAGGAAAAATTCAAGCCAGCGGCAGAAATTTGCATAAGTAACAAGGAGCCAAGTGTTAATCACCAAAACAATGGGGAAAATGTCTCCAGGGCATGTCAGAGGTCTTCATGGCAGGCCCTCCCATCACAGGCCTGGAGGCCTAGGAGGAAAAAATGGTTTCGTGGGCTGGCCCCAGGGCCCCCCTCCTCTATGTAGCTTAGGGACTTGGTGCCCTGTGTCTAAGCTGCTCCACCCATGGCTAAAGGGGGCCAAGGTATGTACAGCTCAGGCTGTTGCTTCAGAGGGTTCAAGCCCCAAGCTTTGGCAGCTTCCATGTGCTGTTGAGCCTGCAGATGCACGGAAAACAAGAATTGAGGTTTGGGAACCTCCGCCTAGATTACAGAGGATGTATGGAAACGCCTGGATGCCCAGGCAGAAGTTTGCTGCAGGGGTGGGGCTCTTATGGAGAACCTCTGCTAGGGCAGTGCAGAAGGGAAATGTGGGTTTGCAGCCCCCATACAGAGTCCCTACTAAATGCTAGTCCATGGAAGCATCCAGGAGGGAGGCTGTACCCTGCAAAGCCACAGGTGGGGAGCTGCCCAAGGCCATGGGAGCCTACCCCTGGCATCAGCATCACCTGGGTGTGAGACATGGAGTCAAAGGAGATCATTTTGGAGCTTTCAGATTTGACTGCCCTGCTGGATTCTAGACTTGCATGGGGCCTTTAGCCCCTTTGTTTTGGCCAATTTCTCCCATTTGGAATGGGTGTATTTATCCAATGCCTGTACTCTCATTGTATCCAGGAAGTAACTCACTTGTTTTTGATTTTACAGGCTCATAGGCGGAAGGGACTTGCCTTGTTTCAGATGAGACTTTGGACTGTGGACTTTTGAGTTAATGCTGAAATGAGTTAAGACTGTGGGGGACTGTCAGGAAGGCATGATTGGTTTTGAGATGTGAGGACATGAAATTTGGGAGGGGCCATGGGTAGAATGATATGGTTTAGCTGTGTCCCCATGCAAATTTCATCTTGAACTGTAGCTCCCACAATTCCCCTGTGTCATGGGAGGGACCCAGTGGGAGGTAATTGAATCGTGGGGGCGGGTCCTTCCCATGCTGGTCTTGTGATAATGAATAAGTCTCACGAGATCTGATGGTTTTATAAAGAGGAGTTCCTCTGCACAAGTTCTCTCTCTTTGCCTTCTGCCATCCATATAAGATGTGACTTGCTCCTCCTTGCCTTCTGCCATCCATATAAGACGTGACTTGCTCCTCCGTGCCTTCTGCCATGATTGTGAGGCCTCCCCAGCCATGTGGAACTGTGAATCCATTAAACCTCTTTCCTTTATAAATTACCCACTCTCGGATATATCTTTATTAGCAGTGTGACAGCAGACTAATAGAGGGATTAAAGATAAAAATTTTGGCTGGATGCAATGGCTCACGCCTGCTATCCCGCTATAAAAAAGAAAAAAAAATTAAGTGGGAGGCTGAGGCAGAAAGATCTCTTGAGCCCAAGAGCTTGAGGTTACAGTGAACTATGATTGTGCCACTGTAATCTAGCCTGCGTGACAGTGCAAGACCCTGTCTCAAAAAAATAAAAAGAAAAAAATTTAAATTTAAAATCATGTATTCGATTTAAAATATTTTTTTAAGAAAATAAAAATGATTTCTTCTCTATAAATTTGAACATTAAATTACCCCAATAATAAACTACCAGAAGCACTGAAGTCAATATCTCCAGATTTTGGTCCTCACCCTATCATCAACTAACTCCATGTGACTCAGGACAAATCACAACATCTCTTTGGGCCTCAGGTGTCTCATTTGTGAAATAAGAGGACTGGGTCAGATATGTGAAACTCTTTGGCAATATTTCTACTCCCCTTCCTAATACCCTTAGAGTCCATTTTAAAATAATCAAAGTACCAAATGCCTTTATTAGATACTATTTTTCTGTTTTTAACTGAATCAGACACGTCTAATTAACACTTAGCATCATCGAATAACCAGTGGTTAGAGATTTAACAGAAAGAAAAGAAGTTGACATGTGAACAACCAATGTGGCTATTACGTCCGAATGTATATTTATAAGACTTTCTTAAAAAAAAAAAAAGATGTTCTGAAATGTGACTTTAGTCCAAATAACCTTTTGGGTTGGAAACTTGGGTATAGAATCATTGAACTGAGCAGTCTTGTGCAGATTCTCTGTGCTATTTACACATGGGACTATTTCTGCACATAGGTGTGTGCTGTGTACATGTTTAGATTATATGTAAATACTGTATATTGTCCTTCATATTTGGATATTTAGCTGTTGTGTTACTTTGCATATCATTACTATCTCCCCCAATATTAAATATTTAAGATTTAACCTGGCTCAATTTTCAGAACTCCTAGTGCTATGCATCTGGTTTACTTTCCCTACCCGCAAAGGGGTGATTTCTTTGAACTCTGGTTTCCGTGTGCCCTCTGAAAGCTGTTTTACAGAGTTGAGGGCAGATACATGCTGTGCATATCCCCTTATGGCTTTTTAAAGGCCAATATGAACCAAGAAGCTGAATGCAGTCTATGGACTCTTCTTTATATCCCTGCCATTGTGCCTGCCACACTGTAGGTGTCCGAAAGATTGAGTGACTCTTCCTGCCCTGTGTACAATCATATTTTAATCTATCCCATATGTGAATTTTGCTGATCAATGCAAGATCATATAATTGAGTGTCAGACAAGGGCCTAGACAGGTTCCGGGAAATTAAAAAAAAACTTTCCTTATTTAAATATTCAGGAAAATGTACAAAATCCCTGTTGTATTCTGTTGTTCAGCTACTCAATTAAGTGTGGGTTACTGTACCAAAGATCTGGGATCAATCTGATGCCTACAGAGAGAATATGACCAAACTGTTTATTCCATAAGATTTCCCTTATTGATGATGGGATCAAATGTAAGATTTTAAGATTAAGAGATATACCAGAAAAGCTAGAGCTTTAATTCAACTCTGAGGAGTTAGAAGACATGGAGGTAGGGGAAGGGTAGCTCCCCAGATGAATTTGCAGAATTCTGTGCCTCCTTCTAGTCCTGTATAATCTAATTCAAAAGAGGACAACTGGTATTAGGTATGTTCAGCAGGAGGCTCTACCAGGCACAGCTCTATAAGGGGTGACAAAGAAAAGTATCTGCTGATCAAGAAAGAGCAGGATGATTACAGCGTATCAAGAAGAAGCATGGAGAGACATTCTTTGATCACAGCATTAGTTTCTCCCTTCTCCTAATCCCAGAGGTTGCCATGGTACCTAACACTCAAGGGAAAAACTGCATCTGCGAGGTGGTAGGAAGCGCTGGCTGCTACCCTACTGCAACGAGAATTTGATGACATTTTCTGGTATCACAAAATTACAGAGAAAGCTGTAATAATACCATTAGAAGGTACTTACACTATTAGAAGACAAAGACAGATTACAAAATTTAGCTTCCACTTCTCTCCTCGTCAGCTTCTCTGTCTAACGTGGAAGAAAAAGGTAACAATGAGAGTCGCGAAATCTGGCACTGAACAAGACACAATTTCCAGGCGAATTCTAACAAGTATAGCCTTCATTTTGAACAAACTGCTCCTAATGGTACAGGATAGATTGAATTCTGTGATTAAAAAATTTTTTCTCCCAATTCACACAAAACCGTAATTAACTTATTTTAAAATCTGAAAAACCCTGACAAAAGAATTAAAAGGGGAAAGTTGTACTTGCTGAATGGTGAGGTGACCCAAATCTGGACAGGCTTAATGAGGGCATTTGTTTGGGCAGGGAGGGAGTCATTTTGCTCTGGGCTCCCCTAACAAAGGCCAGGCTCTGGGCATTTCATCCCACGCTGGCAGATGTGCCGTAGCCGCAGGACATGAATCAGTAAGAGCTGAAGCCCCTTGCACAATCCCTGGGGTTTCTGCCAGTGTCCGATTGACATCATATTGTATCTGTCACTGACAAACAGCAGCAGAGCTTTAGGGGGAGTAAAGAACCACTAAGAAACAAGCAGTAAAGTTTGGGCCATTGATGTGTACCTGCCAGATGAAAGAAAAGCTAGTTAATCCTTTTGGTGTATAAAAACAATAAGCCATTATGTGAGGACTTCCACTACTCTGTCTTAACCATAGACTTCTGGTGCTGTTAGTTCTTACATCTCCTGGATGCCTCTTATTCATTATGAAAACAAAACTTAACATGAAAAGATATTAGAAAACATAAGCATTCACTTCCATCTTAGCATCATAATATAACACTAATTCATTTTTTCAATGCGTCCCCTTCCAGTCTCTGTACCCGCACATATACTATAAAGTAATGAATACTATGATGTGACTAAATTAGGGAAGAGTAACTGGAGGTGCCATAGCCTCAGTCCCACAGGAAGGAGGTGGTAAATGAGGCCCCACCAGAGTTCGAAGCCATTCTGCCTTAATTCAATCAATGCAAATCTATACATGACTTTACTGATAAGCACAGGCAGACTGGAAGAATCAAGGGCAAGGCACACTGTTTATTCTCAACATGAACAGTTGCTCTCGGTCTCTAAAGGAAAGGTAATAGCAGCACTGGTGTGAGAATGAAGTGAGTTCATCCATCAGAGGAGCTCAGAACAATGCCTAGCTCACAGAGCGGGGCTCAGTCAATGTTAACTATCTTTGAAATTATTATTGGCAAGTATCAGGACCAATTACTTAGTGATTTGCCTTAATAAGTAGGTTGGTGAATAACTTTACTATCTGACAAATTAAATAATTTGATCTTTTAAAATTAGAAGTTAGCCTTTTAAAAAACACCCCGGAGGTTATTAGTAGTACAGGGCTGAGGATGGAACAAAAGCTCAACCAATACTTGTTAACTGTTGATATAATTAAAATCAATTGGTTCTTTCAATTTAGAGCAATGAAGGAAGGAGATAAGGCTCCCAATTCAGTTTCATGGCTGCATGGGTAAGAAAATCATCAGGAACTATTATTATTATCTTTCAACATCAAGGTATTATCTTTCAACATCATAAGTAATTAAATGCTTACCACAGCATCATACAGAATAATGTAGACTTGACTGAGTTTATCTTCTGGGATCCCACAGTGTAAGAGTATTGCTTTCAATAACATGGTATGGTTCAAATAAATACTGTAATTTCTTTCCTGGGATATGGAGAAAAATTACTATTTTCATTATAAAAGCAATTACTGGTACATGACCAAATCTGGAAACTTACCACCAATTTGTCATCCTAACACAATGGAAGGATTGAATTTAGCATATGGCTTCCTAGTTTATTTTTTTTTCATACATTCTTTTTGCACTGTTATAGTCAGAGTATACTCTAATTTAATACTATATTATATATATCCAAAGTACTCAGACTGGCTGGGGTGGTGGCTCATGCCTGTGTAATTCAAGCATTTTGGGAGGCCAAGGTTGGAGGATCCCTTGAGCTCAAGAGTTCAAGACCAGCCTGGGGAACATAGGGAAACCCCATCTCTACAAAAAAATAAAAAATTAGCTGGGGTCAGTGGCACATGCTTGTAGACCCAGCTATTCAAGCAGCAAGGCAGGAGGACTGCTTGAGCCTGGAAGGTAGGGGCTAGTGAGCTGTGATAGTATCACTGCACACCATCCTGGGAGACAGAGCGAGACACTGTCTCCAAAACAAAACAAAACAAAACAAAACAAAACAAAACAAAAACAACTCTGACTGGTCTTCAGCTATGTTAAAAAGCCCGAGAGAGTTGATTTCAAAGACAGAAGGATCTGGTCCAGTAGTAATCGACTCATAAGCACAGGCCAGTGGAATAGTTATTGTTAACTTTTGTCCACACAAATCGATTAATGAGTATTCACCGAGTGGTGAGCCATGTGCCGAGCTGGCTGCAATGGGGGTATATGGCAAAGCGGACTCGTAGGCTCTGCCCTAAAAACACATGTTCTGCTTGGAGAAAACAATGAACATAACTCAAGGTAGTACATGGGTGTCTCAGATCAAGACCTGTGAGAGTTGAGAAGAAAAGGTGGCCAACTAATTAATGAGGGTGCAGTGAGGCTTCCTGGGGAGAAAGGGCCCAAACCATGGCTGGGCAAAGACTTTCTAGACAAGGGAACATTTGACTGACGGTGGCAGGAATGACAGGGTGTGTGTGTGGGGTGGGGAGGGAAGCCTGAGAAGTGCTGGCAGCAGTCCCCACCAGCTAGGCAGCATGCAGACTTGGTGAAAAGGGAAGTTGGGGAGTGAAGAGATCGGGTGTAGGATAGAGCCACTGAGGGTTCCAAACAGGGTATGAACAGGCTAAGAGCATCTTAGGAATCTTAGCCTGATATCTTGCATTTTAGAAGAATGGGCAGAGAATACCCATCCCCCAAAACAAAACCAGTTCCTGTGAAGGTAAGAGCCTGAGCTGAACCTCAAAAGCAACACCAGCAAGCTCTTCTCAGTTACTTTAGTAAAGATGTGATTCATCTGCAGGACAGACTGAGAAGCAGGTCTGTAGCTGTGGTTTTCCCCACCACACTTGGTGAAGAAATATAGTGGGGAATCTTGGAATGTTAAAATATGGAAAGGAACCTGAAGTGCTGGAAACTCTTGGATGATTTCATAGATAGTGTAGATAATTTCAGCAGTGGGCAGAAAGCTGTTGGTGGTAGAAGTGACAATATCAAATGCACACTCCAGAAGTTCTTTGGGATGAAATCGATCTAACTTGCGCGGCCTGAACACACGTTCTATGCAGTATCTGGAGAGAGAAACCCAGATTTCTAAGGTCATTGCTTACTAGAAAGAAATATGTATAAGAAATTGTTGAACAAGATATAAGAAACAAATATGAAAAAAAATTAATCGGTGGTATGATCAAGAGGACTGAAAGACAAATTTGACCTGGAACAGCCTTGCCTTGTGATCTAGGTTCCAATTCCCAGTTTTGCCACTATTAAGCTATGGGGCTTAAGGTTTTTTAAATGTCTGAAATAGAGATGAAATTACACCAAAAAATTTTACCTTAGTGATTGCTTTCTACACAGGGATACCCACACCATAGGACTACGATTATTAATTATTCACTTGTAGCTAGAATAAAAGCATGTAAAGAGCTTTGCTTTCAGTTGAAGAAAGGAGCTTTAAAGTAGGGTGCCTCATTGACAACAATACTGCTCCAAATTATGAAGATCTCAGTGTTGGACCCCTGTGGTATTTGAATGTACAGAAAGCCTTTTTCCAGGGCTAAGTGCCTGGAGGTCCTCAGCGCTCAGCGTTCCTGCTGGGTTTACTCCACTTCTCTACAAGCAGCTTTTGTTCGGTTACCTGTGTAGGCAGTTTTCACATAGAGACCACTGGCCATTTGTCCCACCAATTAAGTTTTAAAAGGGGCCATCTGTGATCATGAACAGCCAGATGTTTTTATCAAGCAACCGTTTGTGAAAATAATTAGTAATGTTGCTTGGGGACATTTAGAAGGTACAGAATAGACTGTGGGAACATGACGGTACCTACCTGCTACATTCCTTCTAACAGTCCTAGTTACCTTACAGGAAGGGGTACTGTGGCTGGGCTTCTGGTTCATATTCTAAGCTCAATATTCTGAACCCAGAATTCTTAACTGTGTAAGGATCACAGGAAATAAAATATTCTTTCCTGGTTGACAAATTATTCAACTATTTTCCTATGTCTACCAAATGGAATCTCCTATTGTTTCTTACCGTTTTAAATTCAATATATTATTTCTTGCCACATATCTTGCAAAAGGGATCTGAAAAATAAACAAAATATGAAAGGTCAATGTCAAAATGTGCCTTTTGTTAATAGCGGCTTTATTGAAACATAACTCCTGTCCCATAAAGTTCACCCCTTTAAAGTATGTACTTCAGTGGCTTTTAGTGTATTCACTAAGTTATGCACTGCTCACCACTCACACTCCCTGAAATGTTCTTCAGTGTTTTGGTCAGTGGTGGACTCCGCTGCTAGACATACCATCAACCTTATTCACTGTGGCATTTCTTAGGTTTTTTTTAAAATTCACTTTTAGTTAAATATTCTCTGTGGAGCTTTTATTATGTCCAACTAAAATTAGTGCAAGTTATTTATTTATGAATTTAAAAAAAATGTCACTTTTATAGTAATGCAGTCAAAATGGGTATTATCTCTTATGGTGAATTTCCTGATTTTCCTATCAATCTCTTAGAATAAATTCTTAATAAACACCTTCAAATAGTAACCACAACTAGTAAAACCATTGTTAGATTGCCCCAACAGATCCAACATGGTATCATTACCACTGATGGGCCAAATTCTCAACATACATTCACTTTTTAATTTTTTGCATTTCAATATCAGCTTATAGAATGGGAGCTGATATTTAAAAATCTGCACTTTAGTCTCCTAATATTTAGAGAATAAGAAGCCAGCTTTAAGTATAGCTATGTAAATATTTGTACTTCTATTCTTTTTTTTTCAACAAAACGCAAATGTCTCATCTGATTTGCTGTTTATTTACCTCTACCTCAGAATAATCCCACATCACTTTACTCACTATAAAAGAAAAACAGAAGTGAGGAATGTGGAAGGAATTTCTTCTTAGACTATAAACACAAAACCTGTTTCACAATAAGCCATATGACATACATTTAAAAAAAGATTCCACTCCCCCCTCCAAAAAGTATGGTCAAAATGAGTGTATTCTTTGACACCTTACTCTTTGGTGATACAAACAACCTGATGTGCACGGTCATTCAGACACGTGAATGTGACAAGTTCAAGTTTTGCTTTTTGGAGCTTTGTGAATTTTTTTTTTTTTTCTGAGTATCTTCCATCCTCGGTTGGATCCATGGATACAGAAACCACCCAAGGATGTAGAGGGCCAAATATATATATCTACACATATATCAAGTGTATGCAGGCCGGGTGCGGTGGCTCACGCCTGTAATCCCAGCACTCTGGGAGGCCCAGGTGGGCGGATCACGAGGTCAGGAGATCAAGACCATCCTTGCTAATACAGTGAAACACTGTCTCTACTAAAAATACAAAAAATTAGCCGGGCATGGTAGCGGGCACCTACAGTCCCAGCTACTCGGGAGGGTGAGGCAGGAGAATGGCGTGAACCCGGGAGGCGGAGCTTGCAGTGAGCTGAAATCACGCCACTGCCCTCCAGCCTGAGAGACAGAGTGAGACTCCATCTCAAAAAAAAAAATAAAACAAAAAAGTACATGCAGACACACACAGTATACCTTATGTACAGTTTTTTGTTTTTTTGTTTTGTTGTTGTTGTTTTTCAGACAGGGTCTTGCTCTGTTGTCCAGGCTGGAGTGCAGTGGTGCAATCTCAGCTCACTGCAACCTCCGCCTCCCGGGTTCAAGTGATTCTCCTGCCTCAGCCTCCTGTACACACACAATTTTTTTAAAAAAACTTTTCTTTCTCTATAATAAAAATGGGATAATAGAGTTCCTTTGAAATTTACTTTTTAAAAAAAGCTAACAATGTGCCATGCACATTCCTACAAATCAAGTATAAATATGGCTATATCTAAATATGTATAGTTGTCCCTCAGAAATTGGTTCCGGGACTCCCCCAAGGATACCAAAATCAGTGGATGGTTAAGTTCCTGATATAAAATGACAGAGCATTTGCCTATAGCCTATGCGCATCCTCCTGTACACTTTAAATCATCTTTAGATTACTTATAATATCTACTACTATGCCTATACATCCCTTCTTTTGTGTGGATTCAATGCAGTGTTTAGCACATGGTAAATTCAAATTTTGCTTGTTGGAATTTTTTTTTCTGAGTATTTTCCATCCACAGTTGGCTGGATACGTGGATGTGGAATCCAAGGATATGTACGAAGAGCTGACTGTATTTTCATCTTATACATATATAAAAAATACATATTTGATCTATATAAAAATATAGATTGGCTGGGCATGGCGGCTCATGCCTGTAATTCCAGTATTTTGGGAGGCTGAGGCAGAAGGATCTGCTTGAGTCCAGCAGTTTGAGACCAGCCTGGGCAACACAGCGAGAGCCCGTTTCTACAAAAAAAAATTTTTAAATTTTCTTTTTGAGACAGAGTCTTGCCCTGTTTCCTAGGCTGGAGTGCAGTGGCAGAATCATGGCTCACTGAAGCCTTGACTTCCTGGGCTCAACCAATCCTCCTGCCTTAACCTCCCAAGTAGCTGAGACCACAGGCACGAGCCACCACACTGGGCTAATTTTTAAATTTTTTGTAAAGATGGGGTCTTCCTATGTTGCCCAGGCTGGTCTTGAACTACTGGGCTCAAGCACTCCTCCTACCTAGCCTAGTTCTGGAATTACAGGCATGAGCCACTGTGCCTAGCTCAATGTTCTTTTCAATAGCTCCTTAATATTCCATAATATTGGTGACAAATTATTCAACCATTTTCCTACTGATAAACAGACAGACAGTTTTTGACTACCACAATAATATGGCAATTAACATCCTTTTAACATTCATACACTGATGTGTTTTTCTTTCTTTGAGTAAATTGCTCAAAGTGGGATTGCTGGTTCTAAGGATAAAGAATGTGCAACAAAATTTTTAAAGTTTTATTATAAACTTTTAGATTACTTTTCTAAAGGTTTAGCAGTCCACATTCCCATCAGCAACATATGAAAATACCTACTTTCCTACACTCCTGTCATCTCTGGATAACATTAATTTAAAAATGTTTCCTGTCTGATGGGTGAAGTTGAGACAGCTTTGCACTTCTTTATTATTGGTGAGGCAGTACAGCTTTTCAGAAGTTTATCAGCCATGCACATATTCTCTTCTGAGAGCTGCCTGGTTATATCCTTTGCTCATGTCTCCACTTGTCAGTGCTTTCTGTATGTGAGAGGTATTAAACCTTGTCTGTCACATGCATTGCATGTTTTCCTTGCTCTATCATACAGCACCACAGATAGCTTGTTAGTAGCCAACACTGTGTGAGTGAAAGACTAGTTAAGACTGCTGCTGTCGACAGGATCCCTGGGGGTCGGAAGAAAGCAGGCACGGGCAAAACTCAGCATACCCAATTAGGAGAGACACTTGCTGTTAGAAGAATTTAACTGTTCTAGGCATTAACATGTTAGGATGTTTACTGAAGATCTAGCCAGGAAGTTAAAAAGACAAACAAACTACATTTATTTGTCTAAGTGGGTGGGGTTAACCTGCTGTGGTCACTCAACACTGGGGGGTGCACATGTGGCACCTGCAATGCAGGGTTCCTCCAGTTCCTAGAGCCATAAACACCTGAGCTATTAGGAAGGTGGAGGCATTCAGGACCAAACATTTCCTCCACCCCAGTAACACTCTCACTCTGACAACTTCCTCAAGAATACATTTCCCAAAGGTGACATTTATAATATAAGCCTGGGGGAAAAATCCTTTAACAGAGATGCCATCCCTGTGACTAGATACAGCATTCTGATTGTCAGCAGTGTGTTCCCAGCCTCACCCGCAGGTCAAAAGGAAGCATCACCAGCATCCCGCTGTGGTCCATGAATAGGGCAGCTTCGTTGTGCTCATATATTTGTCTGTTTCGGGGAAGCAGTAGTGGAGTACACAACTGAACAGCTCCTACACCAAATGAGAAAAAATAGCTCATCATCAGGTTCACATTCTCCTTAGAAGGCAACCTAAAATTAACACAAACCTGACAGTTAAGTAATTGCTACTGGGACCATTGAAGTCATATCAATTTTTCTTGAGTTCTCTAAATTTATAAATAGAGAGCTCATCTAGAGTTAAGTTTGACAGTTTGGTCATATTTCTGACTCCACAAACCAATTGCATTTTAGTATTAATAGTAAGGCTGTAATATTCAAATCAGTTTCAAAAATAAGCTTAAATTCCATATGATGTCAATTATTTATAACTGAATTTGAAAGTAAAATATGATATGCCCGAACACTAACAGTACTTTCTAATGATGAAAAAAGTCTTATGAGAAGAAATATCATTTTTAAAAAGGGCGTACATACCATGTCTTTTAAAGATGCGGATGATGGTTTCACACACATGCTGCTGCATCTTGGCTGTACGGATTGAGAAGTTGCCCTAAAACAGGACCGATTAAAACATCATCATTGAAGCCTTATCAAAGGGATCCTTTAAAATATTAATCTGTGGCTTGCAGTAGGCACTACACTGCTTATTTCCAGGTTCAAAAAACAAGTCTTGACAAGTCCATCCCTCTTTGAACACATCAGGGAAGAGGACACATATCTTTCATGGCCTGCTTTGGAAAGCAAGAGCTAACCTTTCAACCAATGGGAAGGATGCCTGGGTTCAAAGTCCAAATTCTTGGCCACATTGATATTTGCCTTTCAGAGGGAGATAATCAAATAAACACATTCTCTCTGACTCTCAGGGATACTGTGGCGCGATGACCACCTAACAGCATCAGGCCCCTCCCACATACCAAGGTGATTCATGGCAGGCCTGTTGAAAGCTACATGGCATTTACATATTTTGCCAATAGCTTTCTTTTTCATTTGTTTTTGTATTATAAAAGTAGTACCATTTCACTATAGAAAATTTAGAAACAACACATATGAAAAAAGACATCTATAAAAAAGTCACCTATAATCCTGCAAATATCTTTCTATAATAATATTGCCAGCCAGTAAAAATTGTGTTTGGTCTCTAAAATCTATACTGATCTTTCATAAATTTTACTATGACTTCCTCCACTACTCTATCTTTTTAAATTATATCATATATATTAAGCAAACAGAAACATAATAGAGAATATAACAAATACCTGTTACCTACTCACCCAACTTTAACACATTTTAACATTTCACTAATATGCTTCAGATTTTTTTTCTTTTTAAAAGAAATTAAATGTTAAAGTCTTCCCAAACTGGCAACCTGGCTACACTTCAGAAACTGCTTGGGAGCTTTTAATGAGATTCTGAAATGCCTCACACCTGGAGATTCTGAGCCACTAGATGGGCTACGGGACCTGGGCATCTGCATTGTCAGAGAGTTTCTGAGATGAAGTAGATGTGCAACCAGCACTGGGAACTACTTTATACTTCATCTAGATATGAGCTGGTTGATGCTTATGGCTCTGGGCGTTTGGGCTAGGGATCAGTCTCTAAATGCACTGTTTCTTTTTTTTTTTTTTTTTTGAGTTGGGGTCTTGCTCTGTCTCCCAGGCTGGAGTGCAGTGGCACGATCTCGGCTCTCTGCAACCTCCGCCTGCCTCCCAGGCTCAAGCGATTCTCCTGCCTCAGCCTCCCGGGTAGCTGGGATTACAGGTGCATGCCACCACGCACGGCTAATTTTTGTAGGCACTGCTTCTTAATCTCTTGGGTGGGTAGGGAGGAGGAAAGGTCAAGGACTCCTTCAAGTAGGTGACTGAAAGTATGGGTCCTCTTCCCTGAATGCATATACACACATTTTGCATGTACTTTTAGGGGCTTCCAATACCTCACATAAGAACTTATGTTAGAGGCATTAAAAGAATCTGTGAGAAACTGGCTTGATCCTTTTGTGGACAAGGTGAAGCTCCCTTTGTGCAGCGTGGCTTAAGCCCACCTTCAGTATGTCGCTGTCATAGGTGTAATCGATGGCAGGGGAGATGCGCTGCGAGAAGATCTGGGCCATCATGGTGCGGTAGGCCTTCCCATCCACGTTGGTCAGCGTGTGGTGCAGCACTTCATGCAGCTCTGACTCCTCCATCTGGGGTGGGGGCAGCAGCTCACTCTTGAGCAGTTCTGTGGCTGTGGGCCGTTTTGCTGGATCGTGGTTCAACAGCCAGGAGATGACTGATTTCTACAATAAAACCCAGGCACACTGCTAATGGGATGCAATGGATAATGCTCAGCTATTCTCCGGACAAGTCAGTAGTCAGTTCAGGTCAAAGAAAAGGTGCCACTATTCTTGCACTTAACTGACATTCTGAAATTTCTGAATAGGTCATTATTTTTTCTGCTTTATTATGACCACAGAGTTGTGCAACAATGTAGTATGAACATTTCTTAAAAGGAGGCCCCTTGTTTTTATACCTTATTGTCACAACCAAAAAAAATCAAATCAACAACTACATAGAAGCAGAAATTAGGCCTTATAAACACAGAAAATATCGTATAAAAAGATGTAAAAAGATAAAACAAATAGCTTTACATGCCTAATTTTAGTAGAAATTGTAATGCATAATAACTGCTGGAATCCTAAAAGCAATGTAAAACATCTTGTTTTAATGGTTTCTTCTCCATTTATGTTATTTGCATTGATACCATTCCCTTGAATTCTCTTGATTTATGTTACTGATTTGTTATATCTTCACAGCCACCTCATTAAAGCAGTGAACCATATGAAGGCAATCTAAACCTTTGAGAGGTTCCTTAATGATGTTTAATCCTCTTGTTTATAATAAAGATTTATAAGGAGTTAGAGAAATATTTGAGATAAGAAAACCTCAATTATTAGATGGACTTTATTAAGCATTTTCTAGTTATAAATCTTTAAAATATGCCCCCCTACCACTCTCCTTCCAGTATTAGGGTAAAATAAAAACACAGGCAATTAGTTTGTATGGGATATAGGAGTATTATATAGAAAGAAAATGACATGATACAACTTTTATGAAAGGTATATTAAACTGACAAAAACAAGAATACCCTATTGAGCATAATAGACCCTGCTGTACTGGTAAATGTGCATGGCAAAAAATTATGCTATGCTCATTCTATAAGCATCTTCTAAGTTTCCTCCTTTCAGCTAAAAAGCAATGACTATGACATGGGAGGTGGTTGTGGTTTTGTTGTTTTTGTTTTGGTGCCAATTTGTACAGCCCAGACTCAAATGCTCAAGGGTATCTAATATATATCTGATGGTAGGAGTGCAGTCCTCATGGTGAAAAATGGTTTGTATAGTTCCTGGGCCATCTTAGCTGTCAACAAGGGGAAACACCAAATAAGACTGACCTTGTCATAAGGAAAGGCTATGAAATGAATGTTTACTTATGACACCCAGAAACAATAATAGCTACCAAAAGAAGCAGAAACATGACTCAATGTATTTCTAATGGCCTTCACTAATTAAACAGATGAGGCAGAATAGGTCCCTACAGCCATAAATAACCATCATGTTAAACTTACCAAATGACACAATGTTAGTGCTAATATAAATAAAGAGTACTTAATCTTTTTATTTTATAGGTGAGGGAAATTAAAGTCTAGAAAAGTGGCATGTCCATTCAGATACATAACCAGCAAGCAAGAAGGACCAAATTAATACAATATTCCATCTATGCTTTTGTTCTCAACATTAATGATTTAAATAAGGAGTTTGCCTTGATTATAATTGTCAGTAAGTCAGTTTGAGAAACTTCCATATGACAAGAGTATTAACCACTGTACCAAGACAAACAACTGGCACTCAGAAGAAAGGCATACCAGAAGCCCAATACACACATTCACCAATAATATTTTTTTTAATATTTGCTGGATGCCAATATTAGCCTATGTCATGAGTCACACACACATATACTCAGATATTTATGGTATATAGGAGAATTTATTTTGCTTTAAAATACTGTGACAATAGACTGTCCAGAAAATGCAACCCTTCCCCCATAATCTGAGCTACTGCAACCACAAAACAGAACAAAATTACAGTTTTAAATTATATTTTTTTCTTAAAGCCCCAAGCTTTATCAAAAACAATGAGTTGTAAAAGGATTCTTTTTTTTTTTCAACAGCTAAGCCAAGGGTCCAAATAGCACTTCAAAAGCACAACGAATTGCACAAAAGAACCCTGCAGTTTGTTAATTTTCTGTGCCAGCCCTTGGCATTTTTATGGTGTAGTTCAAGTCTAATGACATTTTAAGTGCTTCATCTTTTCATATTTTTTCCCCACGTTGTTCCCAGGACACAAGAGAATGAGTGGCAGAAGATTACTAATTGAAAAAGAAGAAAAATAATAATTAAAATGCAAGACTGAAGACATAGTAATTGACGCATCAGAAAATTACCTGCTTTGCATGCTCTCCATCGTCAAAGTCTTCTGGAAACTTAGGCGAAGTGGGCTAAAAAAATATATTCAAATCAGCAAGGTTTTGGCAGACTGCCACAGTGAAAGCATTTATTCACCATAAGTAAGAAAATCAAATACAGAAATAAAAATTTGCTAGCAAGAAAAGATAGGTGATACCTTCTTGAAACCTGACGCTTATTCTTCCAATTACATACATATTATTTTAATATAAACTTTACCCAAATGACAGCCTCACCCAAACCTCACTCTTCACTTTCGTCCTAATGCTGTCTGCACCTTTGACCTCACATACTATAACATTGGTCCCTTTTAGCTCAGGCAGTAACAGAGGCAAGGACTAACCCCAAAAACATAAATGGAAATTTCACTGAGAAAAAAATTTCAAGGGGCAGAAAGCACATCTGGGTACAAAGTAAAAACCTAATGGCTTCAGAGAACAACAAAGTAGTTTAATTAAACATGCAGATGAAAAAAGGCAAAAAAAAACAAAACAAAAAAAAAAAACCACACCCATATACCAACACAGATAGAGTAAGAGAAAAAAAATCTCTACTTCCCCAAAAGTTCTCACCTTTCTGGTAAATAAACATGAATTTTAGACTAAAGAAAGGCACTTCATTAAGGACATAATCATCTAAGAGCATTGCAGTCAAGGCGAGGCAATAGAAATCACTTCACTTAGTCCTATACTTTACGAACACAGCTGTCCACACTGTACTCACAGTAAAATAATTTGTTTTCAAAATTATCCAGAGAAGTGTTCTTATAGTGGAATACAGGAGTATTCTTACTGCATTCTAGTTATCGTGTTTATGAATTAACTTAATAAATATTCCTGCTTCACTCTGCTCAGTAAGAAAGAAGGTGGCTCTCCAGATGTCTCGCTCATAAATATGTGAATTTAAATCACTCTCACCCAAACCTCACTCTTCACTTTCATCTTAATGCGGTTTGCTCATGGGCATCTCTGACCTCGCACATGTAACACTGGTCCCTTTTTAGCTCAGGCAGTAAATGAGGCAAGGATTAATCCCAAGAACACAAATGGAAATTTCATTGGGAAAAACATTTCAAGGGGCAGATATTTTTTTCGGACCCGTTTTAACTTCTGGTCTTGGTAGTTTTCTTTAGACGTTACTACAACTGGCCCATTCAACAGGCATCTTTAACTTCTAGAACTAAATACCCATTTCTTTACAATCTACTCCCTTGTTATAACCATATTCATATCAAGCCCAATTTTGTGGCTTCTTCCTTTGCTTTAAAATCAAGAGTAAATCTCAGAATAATTTTTTAAAAAGCAACTATAACCTAGCAATTTCTCCAGGTAAGATTTCCAAAAACAAACAAAACTGGGGCAAGTTTCCCATCATCAGAGGTAGGGTTCCATTTACCTCACTGTGGAAACATAGTGGAGAGACCAGTAAGATCCCTCCTACATGCTGATGATCTTTGGCTCCCAAAACTGCTATTTTAAGAATTTAACTGAGGTGACTTCCTTTGCTCAGAAAAATGTTTCACTAAAAATGGGAAAACTGGTTAGTCTTGCATATCTGAATAAATGAGTCATTAAAATTACAGTAGGGCAGCCTCTTCTATATTATAAATACCAGAAAAATATCCTGCTTTGAATTCTGATCTCTGTGCTAAGATTCCGGTTACTGAAAATGTAGGCACTAAAACACCTGATACATACATCTCTGAGTTGGTTGAGAACAAAGATCCTTTCTGAAGCCGTGACCATGGGGTGATAGGACATCTCAAAGAAGATAATTCCCAGGCTGAAGAGATCCACTTTCTGAGGGGGAAGAATAATTGCATTTAGAGAGCCTTGATATGAAAGTATAATTTACCAGGGAATTATAGGATAAGCATTGTTAGCTGAAATAAAGTTTGTAGGAGTACAAAACAGGTCACACTGGAAAAATGCGAAGATTTGTTCTTAAAAATTATGGTTATAAAGGCTAAATGATATATTTTGTATTCAGATGATGATAAAATATTTGGCATGATGTCTTTAAACATTTTCCTAGAAATTTTTTTTCTTTTTTGAGGCAGAGTCTCACTCTGTCACCCAGGCTGAAGTGCAGTGGTGCAGTCTCGGCTCACTGCAACCTCTGCCTCCTGGGCTCAAGCAATCCTTCCACCTCAGCCTCCCAAGTAGCTGGGACTACAGGTGTGCACCACCATGCCCAGCTAATTTTTTTGTGTGTATTTTTTGTACAGAGTGGGTTTTGCCATGTTGCCCAGGCTGGTCTCCAACTCCTGGACTCAAGTGATTCACCCACCTTGGCCTCCTAAAGTGCTGGGATTACAGGCATGAGCCAACACGCCTGGCCTTCCTAGAAAATTAATGGTAACTGGTTTAGTTGTATCCACAGACATAGAAAACCACTGGCTGAAAACTGGAAATAATGGCTGAAGAGCAAGGACAACTGAGATTGATCATAAGAATTTGCTTTGTTTCACATCTTAGCTAACCATCTTAAAAGTGAAACACAGACCAAAATCTGCGGCTGATAGAAAAGGCCAGCTCCTGACTACAGGGTCATATGGCCTTCAAAAAGAAGAGAATCTTGCCATTTGTGACAACATAGATGAACCTGCAGGACATTATGTTAGGTGAAATAAGCTAGACACAGAAAGGCAAATACTACATGATCTCACTGGTATGTAGAATCTAAATAAAAGTCAAACCCACAGTAACAGAGAACAGAATGATGGCTACCAGGGGCTGGGGACTGGGGGTCAAGGGGAGGTGCTGGTCAAAGGGCACGCATTTTCAGTTATAAAATGAATACATTCTGGAGATCTAAAGCACGGCATGGTGACTATAATTAATAATAACGCATTGTATTCTTGAGGTTTGCTAAGAAAGTAGCTCTCAAGCGTTCTTACCATACACAAAAAATGGAAACCAGGTGAGGTGATGGGTATGTCGGTCAGCTTCGCTGTGGTAATCATTTCACAATGTAAACATATATCAAAACATCACATTGTACACCCTAAATATAGACAAGTTTCATCAATCATACCTCCATAAGCTAGGAAAAAAATAAAAAATAAATAAAAATAAAAAGCTACAGAAAAAAACACTAAAGTCAAAAAACTAGAAGGATATAAATAATCAAGATAACTATTAAATAATTGACAAAAACAAAAAAAGTATCTACAATAAAAAGAAAAAAGAAGCAAAAAGGCAAGTCAGTGCAGAGAAAATCTAAGTAGGGTGCCACGAAGGAGAAGATGGCGTTGGGAAGGGAGTGCATCTGAGGAAACCGAGCATGACACAGCTGCCGAGGAAAAGACTGCACATGGTCAGGGGCACAGAGGTGCAGGGTGTAGAGCCGCTTTCAGGACAATGGAAAACATTTTCAAGCAATACTCTTGAATACATTTGGACTCAAAGAGGGGGCGGCGAGACTCTTGGATTGTCACTGGTGACCTCCGACATCTTAAAAACATTCACTGTGGCATTTCCTATACGTGTTGGCTATAGAAAACATAGAACAAAAGCACCAAGAATAAAATAGCAATCTCATGATCCCACCACTCAGGGATATTTATTACTGATGTCTAAGATGCCCCCACTTTGGTTTTTTAAAAAAATATGTATATACGGCCAGGTGCAGTGGCTCATGCCTGTAATCCCAGCACTTTGGGAGGCTGAGGCAAGTGGATCATCTGAGGTCAGGAGTTTGAGACCAGCCTGGCCAACATGGTGAAACCCTGTCTCTACTAAAAATACAAAAATTAGCCAGGCATGGTGGCAGGCGTCTGTAATCCCAGCTACTCGGGAGTCTGAGGCAGGAGAATTGCTTGAACCTGGGAGGCGGAGGTTGCAGTGAGCTGATGGCCCACCGCTGTGCTCCAGCCTGGGCGAAAAGAGCAAGACTCCATCTCAAAATAATAATAATAATAATAATGACACTAAAGGTGTCTGCCCACACTCACAGTGTGTGCAGTCCATCTCCTGATACCCTAACCCTCACCCTCACCAGGTACTTAGATGTCTGTTTCAACTTTATGTTGTTGTCCAATGCTCCCTGTCAGAACCAAAACCCAGGCTTGAATCTCCACTGCAAGCCTGAGCATTTGCTTTGATGCAAATTGCTTTCCTAATGTATTTTATTTTACACATATATAATTGATTCAGACAGGGTCTTGCTCCGTTGCCCAGGCTGGAGTGCACTGGCATGATCACAGCTCACTGCAGCCCCAATCTCCTGGCCTCAAGCAGTCCTCCCACCTCAGCCTCCTGAGGAGCTGGGACTACAGACGTGTGCCACCAGGACTGGCTAATTTTTTTGATGTTTAGTAGGGATGAGGTCTCGCTATGTTACCCAGGCTGGTTTTGAACTCCTGAGCTCAGGCAATCCTCCTGCTTCAGCCTCCCAAAGTCCTGGGATTATAGGCATGAACCACCATGCCTGGCACCTAATGTGTTTTTAAAGTTTAGCTTTACACTCTTGCCCTAAGTGATCTCATCCAGTCTCATAGCTTTAAATCCTATCTGTGTGCTGATTTCAAATTTATCCTTCTGATTCTCACCTTTCCTCTGAACTCAAGTGTTGGGTCTCTAACAATCTACTCGAAATCTCTAATTGGATTTCTCATCAGATATTTCAAACTAACATGCCTCAAACTGAATTTTTCTGTCATCTTCTCCTCCTTCCTCTTATGTCTGTCCTTAGGTTTCCTCACTTCAGTCAAATACTCTTCACCCAGGTGTTCCAGAAAGAAACCTGAGCCCTGGACTCTTTCCCTTCCTCATTCTCATCCAACATTCCTTCCGTTGGGAAAATCTCTCAAATCCCTTCCTAATTCTCATCCAACATCCCTTCCATTGGGAAAATCTCTCAATTCCCTTCCTAATTCAGCACACTTCTCTCCATTTCTACTGCTTGCAGTCCAGTTCCAGCTGCCAACCGCCTTACCAGGACTTCCTGCAGAGCCTCCTCGCAGCAGCCAGAGTGAACTCTCTTGCTCAAGATTCTTCACTGGCTCCCTGTGTACTTCAAATTAAATGCACACTCCTTATCCAGGCCAACCTGGCTCTGTGTGATCTTTCCCTGCCTTCTTTTCCAGCTTAACTTCATGCCTCTGTCCCCTGTTGCTTGCCACACTGTGGCCACACTAGCCTTCCTTTTGGCTGTCTTAAATGTGCCAAGCTGTCTCTCTCACTCAGGGCTTTCTCTTTATGTGTGCAGTTTCCTCTGCTCCTTACCATCTCCCTCCCTGGCATGTGTCAGCCCCCAAATCTGTGTGGCTTGTCCTTTCTCATCCTTTATCCTAAATGCCATCCTCTCAAGAGATCTTCCCTGGTCAATCTGTTCTCTTTGTCACTCAGTTCCATTTCTTTTCTTCCTAGCCCTCACCACAATTTGTGGCTATATCTTTTATTTTTTACTTATTTGTTGTCTGTTTCATCCACCAGTGGACAAGCTCCCTGAGGGCTGGAGCCACATCTGTTCCTGGCACCTTGCCCAAGATAGGGGTTGGTTTGCACATTCTTTGGATGGATGGATGGATGGATGGCTGGATGGATGGATGGATGGACGGACGGACGGATGGACGAGTGGATGGATGGGTGGATGGACGGGTGGATGGACAGGTGGATGGATGGGTGGGTGGATGGATGGGTGGATGGGTGGGTGGATGGATGGATGGATGGATGGATGGATGAATGGATGGATGGATGGATGGATGGATGGATGGATGGATGGATGGACTGTAAGCTCCTGGCAGCAGCAGTGCCAGTTTCAGTCACTATCCTTAGGACCATGAGTCCTTCCTGGAGTGTGAATGAGTGGATGTCTTGACTATTTTAGCCGGGACTAAATCCCAAATGCTGTGATCTAGATGTCCTATTACCTTAATTTTGAGATTCCTTTTCCCCACAAAACCTCTTACCTGGTTGTATGCAGATTTGGTGCTTCCTTGGACCTCTGGGCTTACATAGAGAGCAGTGCCAACCATCCCAGTTAAGTGACCTGTGTGGAGGAAAACAGAGGGAAAACGTCCCAATAATAGCACTTACAGAAGACACAAACTAAAAACAAAAAAAGGTTTCTTAAAAGTGAGGCATGATCTGTTAACTGTCTATGCCACTCACAGGAAGCAGAGCATGCATTGTACCAAATGAATAACCATAAGTCACGTATGGCCACACATTCGGTTCTACACAAGGATGTCTTTGCTATTGAAGAGGAGGGACAGTGCCAGATAAGACCCCAGATGGATCAGGTCATGAGGTAACCTCACATTACCAATGGAGGTTAGACAAAATAAAACTGTCTACCCCTGGGAGCCAATTATTCTACTCACTGAAGCTCTAATTTCTTAAAGTTCAAAGAATAATTCATAAATTGAAAAGGAAAAAAAGATTAAAACGTTTCCATAATTTTGTTAACTTAAGGAGCAATTAAAATCTGCCGTAGAATAAAACCTTTACAAGTAAAAAACAGGTTTCAGGTTAAGAAATTCTGGGGTCTTTAACACATGGATGAAATATATAGTCTTCTGGGTTTACCTGAAGGGTCTGACTTAATCAAGTCTCCTGTCTGATCGTCTTGTTTGCTGTCAGCCTAAAAATATAAGTAAGCCAAATATCCAATTAAAACATGATATTATTCCATGAGAATGGCTTGTCTGTTTCTAAATGAAGACTGAGGAAATATTACATGGAAATCAAAATAATATAATAACGCTTTGAGTTTTAATTTTTTTTCTAGTTTAGTTAACCCACTAATGCAAGGCTCTCAGAAAACCCAATGAAATCAAGAGGGAGGGGGGCAATCACTGTACAACTCTTTCTTTAGGACAGAAATATGCAAACACTTAGAGAAACCAATTTATTTTCATGTTGCAAATGCCAAAAACAGAATCTGTTTTCTAAGAAGAGTAAGATTATATTAAAAACAACAAATTCATCTTTCAACTTACCCACTGCTGTTACTTTCTCTGCATCAATTTTTATTCTTCTTTCCTAGAGGCTGCTCAGCAAATATGTTCCACCCTCGCTCATGGCTAATGCCCCCCAGGTAGCCTCACCTTGCTCCACTATGTGCAACAGTGTTGTCAATACCCTAAGTCACTATTGTTATGTCTGCACTTGTAATAGGTGCTTCCCATTACAAGCATCACCATCAGTAACACCGGCTTCAACATTCTTAGTGCTGGGCACTGTTCTAGGTGCTTTACCTGCATTCTTATTTATCTTCCTGATAACTTTTTCAGCTAGGCACTAGTATTAGGCACACTTTACAAATGAGGTATTGAGAAGTTAATTAATTGTCCAATATCATGCTACAAAGCAGTGGCAGAGATAGGATTCTAGTCCAGGTCAGTGAGATTCCAGAGCCTGAGCTCTTATCTATCTCACTATGCTACAGCCTTCCAGATATCAAGTTAAATTCTTTAGTTTGGGGATCAAGATCCCCACCATCTGGCCCGTCCTTGGTCTCAGCACTCTCCCATATACTCCATGGGGAGCATGATCGGGACCCTGTCCGTACTGTCTGCCTTCCCTCTCCTCCCTTTCCACTCCTAGTCTCACCTTCTAACTTGGCCCCAGTGGTTATTCTCACCATTAACTCAAATCCTATTTTCCTTTCCTGATCACCCTTGGAATTAACTGCATTTCCCACAGATCTTGGTGCTTAATAACTTGGGTTTATAATGTGAAGCAAAATTCCTCCTCTGGCATTCAAAGCCTACCACCTACAAGACTGCCCAACCTTCCAGTGACTCCTCAACTGCCCCGCATCCTCTTACTCTCCCCTGCACCTCACAGTTTCGACCAGTCAGACAGTATGCTGGTCTTCCGACAGCCAAGTCTGCTTACCCCGGGGCCTCTGCTTATGCTGTGCTCTCTCTGGAATTCCCACCCTGGGGCCACCAGGCCCTGCCCTCAACCTCCACCTGTTGGACTCCCAACCACCATTTAAGGACATCTGAAATGCCACTGTCGTTATCCAGCCTTTCTTGAGCCTTACAACTGTATGGTCTCCTGGTGTTTTACGTTTTTGAGCCTCATTTCCCCAAACCAACAAAAGCCTCTGAGGTATAAAGCATCTAGCCCAGTGCCAGGCATGGTAGACCAAAATACCAAATGATTTCATAAAGTACTGTACACCTTTGACCACAATATTGTTCCCAAGCCAATAATTTTGTGTCCCTCAAGTGGAATGCACTCAAAAAAATATACTCACAATTGCAAAGCCTACAAGATCATTTGCAGCATACCCCTTCAGGTTTGTATAATCTCCTGAGGATTAGACGGCATAGTTCTGTGAACGCACTATTCTATCCGCTAACACTTCCAGGATTATCAAGACATCTGAGTCTGTTTTTAGGTACAGTCTAATTTTTAAAATACTTACAGAAAAGGCTAGATGGTCTGTCGCCAAACCAAAATCACCTATTTTCACATGGTCATCAGAATCCAAAAAAATGTTGACAGGCTTCAAATCCCGGTGAATCATTCCCTGTTGAAAGAGAGTGAAGAAACAAACAATGGTTTTCCATGCATAAAGTTATACCTACTTCCTAATTTAAAAGGCCAACCTAGCGATGAAAATCGTATGAGGTCTTCTCCCACAGACCACCCTGGTCCAGGCTGTCTGGCCTCTGCAATATGTCCTGACTGTCCTATGACCTCTTTACTGTTTCCTAGTTCTACCTGGTGGTATCCTGACCAGGTGAATTCTAAATAGTTCCCTGTGGCATCCAAGGCCCCTTCCACTGGGTTCACCAAGTTACCCTTACCTCTGCTGCATTACAAAACCTCTCCTCTGGTCAGGGAGACACACCATTTTTATTCCTTCTTCTATTCCTTTCTTTGTACCCTCTCCCCTTCGTAGGATACTCGCTTTTTTCCATGCATTTGCACTATACCAACATTTGCAATTGCCAACTCATTCATGAGCCTTCCACAGTAATTCTAACAGTTCAACTTGGCATCCCCAGCACACACAGTAGGTGTGCAACAATTACTTGTTACATGAGACTGCTTTCTCATTTTCCTAATGGCTCATAATCTGTATTGTTTCATGCATTATAATAGAGAAAATAATGATCTCTTTTACCATTACATGAAGGTAAATTCTGGGTCCCTCTAAGAGCAAGAAGTCCCTCTCAAGCACGGGACACACACTTGTGCCTCCTTGTATTTCCAGGTATGGCACAGTGTTAGATGCCAGCAAATGGTTAGCCAATACTGAGCAAATTGGATGGAGTGGAATAGAGCACAGGGGGCATTGTTCTAGCATCCCAGGATAAAATCACAGTAATACAGCTTAAATGGCCCTCATTAGAATTCATTTTCATTTCTAACCTTGCAAATTCTGCTTCTACCAAATCATTTACAAACTACACATGTGTAAATTACAGCCCTTGCTTCTCAGTATAAATACGGTACAGTACAAACATTTTAAGGTTAAAGAAATTTGAGGCAAAGGAAAAAAATAATGAATTTATATTGGTTAATGCATTAGACAATCTCATTTTAAAAATGTAAGCAGTGTTTCATCCTGAAGCTAGGCCCATTAGCATTTATATTATAATGGCAATTTCTAGCTTTAAAATGACATTTTAGACATGCGACAAGCTAAGTTACTCAGAAAGTCTCATTTCTCTTCTTGCTAGATGACCTTCTGGTTTCCCCGTGTTCCTAGGAAGGGTGGCACTAATTCAGTTAGAATCAAGTAACTTGGCAGGTATTAATCACATCCTTGCTTAATTCTTTTTTTCTCTTTTTTCAGATGAAGTCTCTTACTGTCACCTAGGCTGGAGCGCAGTGGTACAATCTCAGCTCACTGCAACCTCCACCTCCCAGGTTCAAGTGATTCTCCTGCCTCAGCCTCCCAAGTAGCTGGGATTACAAGTGTGCACCACGACACTCAGCTAATGTTTGTATTTTTAGTAGAGATGGGGTTTCACCATGTTGACCAGTCTGGTCTTGAACTCCTGACCTCAAGTGATCCGCCCATCTTGACCTCCCAAAGTGCTGGGATTACAGGCATGAGCCACCGCACCTGGCCCTAATTCTAAAGCACTCAAGGAATCATCCTCATATTCCCTACATGTTCAAATACTTTCTCCTCTCCCAGAGGTTAACAAATTTTTTCTGTAAAGGGCCAGAGAGTGAATACTTTAGGCTTTACAGTCCCTGTTGCAACTACTCAAATCTGCTGGTATGGAAAAAAAACAGCCATAGGCAATATGTAAACCAATGAGCATAGCTATGTTCCAATAACCTTGGGAGCACTGACATTTGAATTTCATGTAATTTTTATGTGTCACGAAATGTTCTTCTAATTTTTTACAACCATTTAAAAATATAGGAGTCATTATTAGCTCACAGGCCATACAAGAACAGGCAGTGGGTTAGATTTGACCTGTGGGCCACAGTTTGCTGATCCCTGTCCTAACCTTTAAAGTTTTCTTAACATTTTTTAATGTTATACTCTGATACTTTGTAATACTTTATTGTCTTTGACACTTTGTTCTATTTCCTACAAAAATAGATTATGTCAATATACCCATAGCTTTCCCTCTATTTCAGTTTTTCTCCAATCTTACATTTGATATTTTTATGCAGTCATAAATTTATGTAAACATAAGTCTTCAGATATGAAATGTTGTAAAGTTTACTTTCTCATGGATATAAGCTAATCCATCCAGAATCTCTCGAAAAAGCCTCCAGAGTCTGACGGTGTCTCGATACAGTCCCTGGTCAATGGTGTCTCGTAAAGTGCTCTTCTCACAGTACTCCATCTATATACAGACAAACCAGGAGAATTTGATTACACAACAGTTTTAAGTGAAGGAGTATAACTGCAATTTACATAATCCTCCATTTTAAAACGTGTACCATGGGTTTTAAACGGTTAGGGGAAAGACTTGGTTTTCTACACGAAAAAGAAACCAACAGTATTAAAAAATACCTTGGGGGTAAATATGCATACTCTTGGCACTCCAACATAACCATTTTTAATTTTTTATATTATTGCTCATTTAAAAATATGACTTGTTTAAAATACTTATCACAATTAACATAAAAAACTGAGAATGTTGTAAAATTTTATTTATTGTTTTACAAGATCGCTTCCAAACCCAAATTTACAAGGAGGGTTAGTTAACCTAATTATATCATTAGCTTTTCTTACATTAAACACAAATGACCTTCAAGTTTAGAGAAAAATATTATAAATATTAAAACATTCAAGTCTTCTTGGGACAGTGACACAGGGGCTCTGTCTCACCCCTTCTTGAGTGTATTCACATATCAGAAAACAGTGCAACATGACTTAAATCTTAAATCAACATGCACCATTTGATTTATGAAACTAGCCTATATGCTTCAACTAGTGCCAGAGTTGAGATTTCTCACGAAGAAAGGTTTTATTGTTTTTAAAGAGAGGAAGACCAGACTTTGTTCTATCACCTTCGGAATAATTGTCAGTAAACTCTGGTTCACCCTCCGGGCCTCACAAGGCCCCCTCTGATGCCCACACCGTGATCCTGATGCATGTCGGATGCACCTCCTTTGTGTACTTCTATCTCATTCTAATTGTGTAGAAGGTAATGGAATATAATAGAGGATAAACAGTGGTTTGGGGGACCAATGCTTTATTATCTGTGTAAGTGGTACCTCAAAGATATTTATGTTACGGAATACCTAAAACCAGCTCCAACTCCAGGAAAGCAAATACCTAATTCATCTCATTCAAAATGCTGTAACTTGTCGAGGGTTCCTTTTTCTGCCCAGTTCTGTATCTCACATTTAAAGATCTGCCTGCTTGCAGTTATGACTGAAATACTAACAGTGACCCACAGTCCTGTTCCCTTGGGGCAGAGGAAAGACTTCTTTGTTTTTGTTGTTGTTGTTGTTGTTTGTTTTTTAGATAGAGTTTCACTCTTGTTGCCCAAGCTGGAGTGCAATGATGCAATCTCGGCTCACTGCAACCTCCGCTTCCTGGGTTCAAGTGATTCTCCTGCCTCAGCCTCCTGAGTAGCTGGGATTACAGGAGCACACCACCATGCCTGGCTAATTTTTTGTATTTTTAGTAGTAACGGGGTTTCACTGTGTTAGCCAGACTGGTCTCAAACTCCTGACCTCAGGTGATCCACCCGCCTCGGCCTCCCAAAGTGCTGGGATTGCAGGCGTAAGCCACCGTGCCCGGCCAACTTGTTTTATGGCCACTCCTCTACTGGAAGAGCCCACTCACCCCTGTTTAGGATGTTGTTGCTCTGGCAGGTAGGCAGGCCAAAGCTCAGACTTCTCAGTCATGCCCCATTGGAACTGGCTTGCCTGTGCACTGGTCTCCAGAGGTTCCTGGTCAAGCCACTTTGCCTAAAGTCACCTTGGTGTTACTTTTGCATGTACAGGCATGTGTGCACATCATATCTTACTTGTCCAGATTCAGGTGGTTAGGCAAAGTAGAGTTTCTGTGCTCATGCAGTCTAGCACTTATGGAACTCAGATATGGTTCTAAGTACTTCACATGTTATTTATTCTTTACAAGTCTATAAGAACTACTATTATGTAATTTATAGATGGGGAAACTGAGGCACAAGATGCTGAAGAACCTTGCCCGAGTTCATGCAGTCCTAACAGGTGGATCCAGGATGTGAACTTACACAGCCTGAGCCCAGAGCTGCCCTGTGGCTGCTCCTGATATGTGGCAGGAAAGCATGAGTTCAAGGCTGGGGAAAAGGGCCTCCATATGGTAATCCTCTCGGCCAATTAATCTTTGGTAGTGGCAATAAGCCCTCCTCTGTCCATTATCTTGTTCTAATACCCTGAAACAGGCCCACCCGCCACTACTGGGTGTTGCTGTGTCACCTAACTACACACCACGACCTCACCTGGATGTATAGGTAGTGCACAGCCTCAGTCGTCACTGATGGCTCACTTTCATGGCAGCCATTCTTTTCATTGCAATCTTCATCCTAACCCAAGACGAACACACAATAACTCAAAATGGAGGCCAAAATTAAGCAAAATCATCACCATCATTAAGTATTTGTGCCCACCCCCAACACAGGGCCACCCAGTTGCCTTAGGGAGAAGTCAGTGAGCAGAACATAACCACTATCCTTAGAAGCTCACAGCATTTGGCTGTGAATCCTGGTCTTTTTTGGGTTGGTAGGCTATTAATTACTGCCTCAATTTCAGAACTTGTTATTGGTCTATTCAGGGATTCAACTTCTTCCTGGTTTAGTCTTGGGAGGGTATATGTGTCCAGGAATTTACACATTTCTTCTAGATTTTCTAGTTTATTTGTGTAGAGGTGTTTATGGTATTCTCTGATGGTAGTTAGAAAAGCTGGTACCATTCCTTTTAAAACTATTCCAAGCAATAGAAAAAGAGGGACTCCTCCCTTTTTTATGAGTCCAGCATCATCCTGATACCAAAACCTGTCAGAGACACAACAAAAAAAGAAAATTTCAGGCCAATGTCCCTGATGAACATCGATGCAAAAATCCTCAATAAAATACTGGCAAACTGAATCCAGCAGCACATTAAAAAGCTTATCCACCACGACCAAGTCAGCTTCATCCCTGGGATGCAAGGCTGGTTCAATATACAGAAATGAATAAACATAATCCATCACATAAACAGAACCAATGACAAAAACCATATGATTATCTCAATAGATGCAGAAAAGGCCTTTGATAAAATTCAACACCCCTTCATGCTAAAAACACTCAATAAACTAGGTATTGATGGAACGTATCTCAAAATAATAAGAGCTATTTATGACAAACCTACAGCCAGTATCATATGGAATGGGCAAAAGCTGGAAGCATTCCCTTTGAAAATCGGCACAAGACAAGGATGCCCTCTCTCACCACTCCTATTCAACATAGTGTTGGAAGTTCTGGCCAGGGCAATCAGGCAAGAGAAAGAAATAAAGGGTATTAAAATAGAAAGAGAGGAAGTCAAATTATCTCTGCTTGCAGATGACTTAATTGTATATTTAGAAAACCCCATTGTCTCAGCCCCAAACTCCTTAAGCTGATAAGCAACTTCAGCAAAGTCTCAGGATACAAAATCAATGTGCAAAAATCACAAACATTCCTATACACCAATAATAGACAAACAGAGAGCCAAATCATGAGTGAATTCCCATTCACAATTGCTGTAAAGAGAATAAAATATCTAGGAATACAACTTACAAGGGATGTGAAGGACCTCTTCAAGGAGAACTACAAACCACTGCTCAATGAAATAAAAGAGGACACAAACAAATGGAAAAACATTCCATGCTCATGGATAGGAAGAAACAATACTGTGAAAATGGCCACACTGCCCAAAGTAATTTATAGATTCAATGCTACTCCCATCAAACTACCATTGACTTTCTTCACAGAATTAGGAAAAGCTACTTTAAATTTTATATGGGACCAAAAAAGAGCCCGTATAGCCAAGACAATCCTAAGCAAAAAGAATAAAACTGGAGGCATCATGCTACCTGACTTCAAACTATACTACAAGGCTACAGTAACCAAAACAGCTTGGTACTGGTACTAAAACAGAAATATAGACCAATGGAACAGAACAGAGGCCTCAGAAATAATGCCACACATCTGCAACCATCTGATCTTTGACAAACCTGACAAAAACAAGCAATGGGGAAAGGATTCCCTATTTAATAAATGGTGTTGGGAAAACTGGCTAGCCATATGCAGAAAGCTGAAACCAAATCCCTTCCTTACACCTTATACAAAAATTAACTCAAGATGGATTAAAGACTTAAATGTAAGACCTAAAACCATGAAAATCCTAGAAGAAAACCTAGGCAATACCATTCAGGACACAGGCATGGGAAAAGACTTCATGACTAAAACACCAAAAGCAATGGCAATAAAAGCCAAAATTGACAAATGGGATCTAATTAAACTAAAGAGCCTCTGCACAGCAAAAGAAACTATCATTAGAGTGAACAGGCAACCTACAGAATGGGAGAAAATTTTTGCAATCTGTCCATCTGACAAAGGGCTAATATCCAGGCCGGGCGCGGTGGCTCATGCCTGTAATCCCAGCAATGTGGAAGGCCGAGGCAGTCGGTTCACCTGAGGTCGGGCGTATGAGACGAGCCTGACCAACAAGGAGAAACCCCTTCTCTACCAAAAATACAAAATTAGCTGGGCATGGTGGCGCATGCCTGTGATCCCAGCTACTTGGGAGGCTGAGGCAGGAGAATCACTTGAACCCAGGAGGTGCAGGTTGTGGTGAGCTGAGATCGTGCTATTGCACTCTACCCTGGGCAACAAGAGCAAAACTCAGTCTCAAAAAAAAAAAAGGCTAATATCCAGAATCTATAAGGAACTTAAACAAATTTACAAGAAAAAAACAACTCCATCAAAAAGTGGGCAAAAGATATGAACAGACACTTTTCAAAAGAAGACATTTATGCAGCCAACAAACACATGAAAAAAAGCTCATCGTCACTGGTCTTCATTAGAGAAATGCAAATCAAAACCACAATGAGATACTATCTCACTCCAGTTAGAATGGTGATCATTAAAAAGTCAGGAAACAACAGATGCTGGGGAGGATGTGGAGAAATAGGAATGCTTTCACACTACTGGTGGGAGTGTAAATTAGTTCAACCATTGTGGAAGACAGTGTGGCAATTCCTCAAGGATCTAGAACTAGAAATACCATTTGACCCAGCCATCCCATTACTGGGTATATACCCAAAGGATTATAAATCATTCTGCTATAAAGACACATGCACACGTATGTTTATTGCGGCACTATTCACAATAGTGAAGACTTGGAATCAACCCAAATGTCCATCAATGATAGACTGGATAAAGAAAATGTGGCACATATACACTATAGAATACTATGCAGCCATAAAAAAAGAACAAGTTCATGTCCTTTGCAGGGACATGGATGAAGCTAGAAACTATTATTCTCACTAACACAGGAACAGAAAACCAAACACTGCATGTTTTCACTTGTAAGTGGGAGTTGAACAATGAGAACATATGGGCACAAGGAGGGGAACATCACACATTGGGGCTTGCCTGTTAGGGGGTGGGGAGCTAGGGGAGGGATAGCTTTAGGAGAAATACCTAATGTAGATGACAAGTTAATGGGTGCAGCAACCACCATGGCACATGTGTACTATGTAACAAAACTGCATGTTCTGCACATGTATCCCAGAACTTAAGTGTAATTAAAAAAAGAAAAGAAAAGAAAAAGGAAAAAAAAGAAGCTCACAGAATTATTGAAAATGTGCTATTTCCAGTATCCTCTGTGTGGTTTACAGGTCTGTTGCTACACAGAACAATGATACAGTAAACAGAAAATAGGCAGGTATTAAACAGAAAAACTCCTTGTCAAGTCAATTCTTTCTTACCGCTGATAACCATCTATGGCTAAGAAGGTCAGAATGCATACAGGCTAATATTTGAAGGGTTCAGTTTTACTGGAATTCCATATTTTTTGGTGGTAGGCTTAGTTCAGAAACAGAAGACTAGAAATCCACCTTTAGGTAAAACAATTTAAAAGTGATGGCTGGGCACGATGGCTCACGCCTGTAATCCCAGCACTTTGGGAGGCCGAGGCGGGCGGATCACGAGGTCAGGAGATCGAGACCATCCTGGCTAACACGGTGAAACCCTGTCTCTACTAAAAATACAAAAAATTAGCCGGGCATGGTGGTGGGCACCTGTAGTCCCAGCTACTCGGGAGGCTGAGGCAGGAGAATGGCGTGAACCCAGGAGGCGGAGCTTGCAGTGAGCCGAGATCGTGCCACTGCACTCCAGCCTGGGCGATGAGTGAGACTCTGTCTCAAAAAAAAAAAAAAAAAAAGTGACCACATTATCAAAGGGCACACTGCCCTCAGAGGTACATGCTTGAAGAACATGCCCTCAGCTGCCACTTACAGTGAATGACCCTCTAGGACACTTCCCATACCATTACTCTGTTTGTCCCCAACAGCTAATTTTCTTTCTCATACATGATACTTTTCTTAAAAAAGTCTTTTTCCCTCAATAGATGTATTTGAATACTTATAACACCAAGTGCAGAAAAAGTATTAGTTAGTATTTGACCATTTCTGATTTATAATTTTTTTCTGAGGAAGAATTTTTTTGAACTTTTTCCTTTATCAAAGAAAAAAAAAAAAGCTCTGCTCTGGTAACAATCAGGTTCTACTCCTGAATCATTTATGGATGCTGGGGATTATCTGTATTACACTGTTAATCTCTTGGAGGTTTCTACCCATCAATTAGGATGCCCATGGATGCTGCCCTTAACTGAGCAAAACCAGGATTTGGTGCCCCTGTAATAATTATGTGCATAACAAATGCTAACACCAAACATTAACTTTGGCTTTAGCAGTAGTTCAGACTTTTTTTTTTTTTGAGACAGAGTTTCGCTCTTGTCACCCAGGCTGGAGTGCAATGACGTGATCTGGGCTCACTGTAACCTCTGCCTCCTGAGTTCAAGCAATTCTCCTGCCTCAGCCTCCTGAGTAGCTGGGATTACAGGTGCCCGCCACCATGCCTGGCTAATTTTTGTATTTTTAGTAGAGATGGGGTTTCACCATGTTGGCCAGGCTGGTCTCACTCTTGACCTCAGGTGATCCACCTGCCTTGGCATCCCAAAGTGCTGGGATTACAGGTGTGAGCCACTGCAGCCAACATAGTTTATTTATGCTATTATTCCTGGTTTAAATTTATAACTAATAAATGTTTATTAGTAGTGATTTCATTGACAAGGAAAGTACTTATAGAAAAACACACTGGCTAATACTCAGATCTCCTTCAAATACATTGAACTGCTTATTTAAGAGTCTACACTTAGACTTTTCTTTACTATGAATGAACCCTTGTAACTGCTGGTAATTATATTTTTATTCCTGGTAATAAAGTCATTGCAGGCTAGGCATGGTGGCTCACACCTATAATGGCAGCACTTTGGGAGGCTGAGGCAGGAGGATCATTTGAGCCCAGGAGTTCTAGGCTGCAGTGAGCTAGGATTGCACCACTGCACTCCAGCATGGGTGACAGATGGAGACCCTGCCTCTTAAAATAATAATAGTAATAAAGTTGTTGCATTCAGTCCCCAATAGTAGAATAATTCCCCACAGCCACAACTGACTGCCCTAGTAGTTTTTGGTGACCTCCCTTACTGGGCTAATTAGCACTTGATCAGAAGTCCAGGTTAGTATGTGAGGCCAGGAGTCCTATTATTGTGTTAGCAACAGTTGCATTAACTATTTCAAAAATTACTGCCTTTAATAAAAACAACCTCAAGCTCTATTTGTATTCACAATTGACATCTGGATTGGGTTTATGTTTGATGCATTGTTTGGAAAATTTGCAATACAAACTGGCATAAGAATTATTTATTCTGATGATGTACTTTTATGTACTTTTTATTAGAAAGTAGAACTAATTATAGATTTTCAGCTTGATGGATTTTCAGTTTTTTCTGAAGAATTTTCTTTACCATTAGTCTTCAAATTGGATACCATTGTGCACTGTTATACTTCAGAGAAAGGGTAAGCGTACGTCTATTTCAGTTCCTATGAGGTAGCTGCAACCCTTAAAAATGAAATGTCAACTCTAGGGTACATTGACGTTGAAAGAATAGTTAGGAAATAACTTCGTTTTGATGGGGTCATGATTAAGAAATGATATATCAGTTTTATTTATGGAATGTTTTATAGTGCATACAAATCAGCGACTAGCCAGCAAATATTTTTCTTTGAGCTTATGAAAGCTCTGTATTCTTTTGCCTTCAATCTGTTGTCTTCAAAACAAACAAAAAAGAGCTTCTTGCGCCTTCCCCTCCCCTCTTTTCTTCCTTTTTCTTTTTGCTTGTATGCACAAGATAGGACTTATTTCATAAGAAACAAAATGTCAGTATTTTCTTAAGCCGTGATGTGAAACCAACATGGTACAGAACACTAAATTTTGGTCCCGTGGCTGAAACTTGAGACTGACTAAAAGTAATGCCTGTGAAACTTGATATCTATCTGGGATGGCCATTTGATTTCTAAGAGGAATTTTGTATACTCCACAGAACTCCTGTCTATAGTAAAATTGATTTTCAGTTTTAAATGTGGGCAAAAAGACATTTTCTCCAAGATTTCAAAACTAATTCTTATTTTTAAATGGTTTACCAAAATTTGTCAGTACATTTTACATGTAGAAGCATTTTAAAAATAATTTCTAGCAAGCACTTGACAAGCTCCCCTCTTTGAATAAAATAATTTCTCATAATTAAGCAGCAGAAGATCTATCTTTACAAAGTATGAGGGATGCCAGATGTTGATAAACTTACTCTTTCTTAATCTGGACAAAGTAAACTTAACAGATTTTTCTGATGAGCATGTTTTATGAATCTTCCATTGTGCTCCATTCTATCACATGTGCATTTTTCATGTTAAACTGCAATTACTTAATCTCTTCCCCTATCCTTCTAAATTAATTTTCTGAAGTTGGAGTGTAGTCTTTTCCCCCTTAGGCTACGCATTAATCAAAGCTTTCTTTTCACCATGATTTTATAACGTCTAGTACATAATATTTCTACTTCCCACATCTTTGCTTTACACAGTCACCTTGCCCTTCCTCCCACCACCTAACAAAAAAGATGGTCATACTAACAGGTGAAGTGTATAAGGTGTCTGTGTGTTTTGTGTAGCTTCAGAGTTACATTGAAATTACCAGGCACAGACTTAGTCTTGTCATTTTGTTTACACATTGGGGAAAACAAATCAGTTTGTTAAACGTTTCATGTAACTGCACCGAAGTTTTGCCAACCTGGAAACTTGGATCTTTTCTGTGTAGTGACTTTTTAATTATAGTTTTCACAACCTGGAGATCAGACTGTTGCTTTCACATGATGTATGTAGTGTCTCACGACTGAAGTTTGCTTTGTTTTATAGTATCTGTACTCGTATTTTTCAAAAGCTATTTTGTCAACAGATGATGTATTTCTCCATTGAAAACACAACTAAAAAAACAGCACAATCTCAAAAAAAAATTATGAGATTTTTTGTGATTTTTTTGTTTGTTTAGCTTATCAGCTATCATTAGTGTTAGTATATTTTATGTGTGGCCCAAGACAATTCTTCTACCAGTGTAGCCAAGGGAAGACAAAAGCTTGGACACCCCTGCATTATAGGATCACGATACACAGTGTGAAAACACTGTTCTAGAGGATGGTCTATGAAAATAAGGAATCAAGATTAATTGACGTGGGACAGACCAAGGTAACTCCATGATGAGGTAACTCCATAAATGCAAATCTAGTTCATTAATTTGCATTCAATTCTTATCCCCAACCATATAAAGTTTCCCAAACCCTTAGAAAACTGTTTTCATCACATACAAAAATGCAGTGTCTCAACTGACTCCTCTCTTCTAAAAGGAGGTATGTTTTACTATGTGGATAAATAAAGAAGGTCTATAAATAAACACAGGTAGAATATATTTTAAATGAATAATCATCTTTTAAAATTTATGGTTTCTATATCTGAATATCAGATTAAAGCCTTAATACTTTACCTAAGGTTTATGACATCAGACGTCAATTATATCACGAATAAAATGATATAATTTCTATTCATATATATACCTGATTCTGACTTTTACTGTTCTCATCTTCATTGTCAAAGATAATATCACTTTCAGAATCTGAAGCAGGCCTGAAAAAGGGAAACAGAAATACTAAAGGAACAGAAATCCCTATTATCATTATAAACATGGACATTTTTAAATACTAGAAAGCACAAGAGGCTACAGACATCACACCATGAGCCCACAGGCATCAATGTATACTCTACACTGTGCTGATTTGTACTTGCTATTATGCAAAACACAGAACCCTTGATTTAATAAAAATTAGCCAGATTAAGTTTCCTCAAAAAATTTAATAGTGAAGAGTAATCATAAACTGTATCCACTTGGATAAAATAAAACAAAATCATGAAAGTAAACATCCAGGGTGGATTCTGAGAAGCATAAAATTTAGGATCATAATTATTGGTTTGGTACCTTTGGGGGCTGCAGTTGGCACTGTATCAAGACTCCAAATTAGTTCTTAAATGTTTCACAGGGTTGCAAGCCCTTATCCAAAGGAATGTCCTATGAGAAATTCTATTCAATGTATAAGATGAGGTATTGAATTTTCCTTTTTCCATGGCTTGGATTTTGGAGATCTTTTGAAAATAGCGGGAAAAAAAATCCTTTAGATTAGGGGTCCCAAACCTCCAGGCCATGGACAGGTACAGGTCCACTGCCTGTTAGGGCCGCACAGCCGGAGGTGAGCAAGCATTAAGGCCTGAGCTCCACCTCCTGTCAGATCAGCAGCCGCATTAGATTCTCATAGGAGCGCAAACACTATTGTGAACTGTGCACACGAGGGATCCAGGTTGTGCGCTTTTTCAGCAGTCATTATGAGACTCTAATGCCTGATGATGTAAGGTGGAACAGTTTCATCCCGAAACTATTTCCCTAACACCCGTCTGTGGAAAAATTGTCTTCTATGAAACCAGTCCCTGGTGCCTAAAAACGCTGGGGACCGCTCCTTTAGATTGCATTTGGTTACTCTCTAAAAGTGGTGGTTTTGTTTTGTTTTTGTTTTTGTTTTTAAACATGGTCAACACGTCTGGATTTCTAAATGAATCCCCTTTTCCCTGGCTTGGACTTGGTGGGGATTAATGTTGGGGGGCATTCGCTGGCCCGGGAGGCGGATGTTGCAGCCAAGGACGCGCCACTGACCTCCAGCCTGGGTGACAGAGCAAGACCCTATCTCAAAAAAGGAAAGAAAGAAAAGAAGGAAAGAAGGAAGGAAGGAAATGAAAGGAAAAAGGAAAAAAAAATAAAGAAAGGAAACTAGGGGGCGCATCAGAGGCAGCTGGTCCGCGCCGTGCGCTTACAGGAAGGACTGGGAGAAGACGCCACCGTGCTCGTCCTCGTCGTCGTCCTCGTCATCGCTGGAGCCCGGGCCGGTGGCGGGGAAACGGGCACTGGCCGAGCGCTCGCCCGAAGTGCTCCACTCCACCGAGCTGCTGAGGATGGGTGGCGGCGCGGCGGCCTCTACGCTGTCCAGGCCGTCTGTGTCGCTCGCCGGCTGCCCGCGTGCAGCTCGGTCATCCTTGGCCAGGGGCCCGGAGTCCGGGGGCGGCGTCCCCGGTCCCGCCGGCCGCTCGTGCCGCTCGATCCAGGCGTTGTAGTAGCGCACAATGTTCTCATGGTGCAGCCGTGACAGCAGTGTCACTTCGCCCTTGATCCTGCGGAACTGCCGGCTGGCCGGGTTGATGGGGATGCGCTTCACTGCGTAGCAGCAGCCGTCCAACTTGTTCTGCACCTGCGGCACAGCCAGGGGAAGGTCAGCCGCTCGGAGCCTTGCACAAACAGGCATTTGCACCGCACCCCATCCCCTCCCAAGGAAAGCGTGAAGTTCTAAATGAGTCCCACAGCTACAGTCAAGAACCACATGCCTGAAATTCTTAAACTGAAGAAAGCTTTGACTGCCACAAAATTCAGAAAACAGCCCACCCGACTCTAGATATATTTAGCTTGCTGGGAGACCCTGGGGAAAACATAATCTCCATTTTAATAATTAATTTTACTGACAGTTACCTCCCTGCTTTTCCAATGTATCTGCTATCTAAATTTCTAAGTGTCTTGATTTTAAGATTAAAAATTATTTTCTAAAGTCAGTGTAAAGTTTCAGATGATTTTAGTTTCTCTCTGATTTTTTTTTACACTTAAAGTCACTAAAAACAAATTAAACACCAAAAATATTAACAGACCTGAACACAAAGGTTAATTCCTTGATTTCTAAAGCCGTGTGAACTTGGGAAAATTACTTAATTTCCTTGAGACTCAATTTTCTTATCTTTAAAATGGCATTTATACCATTTCCACTACCCCAAATGGTGACTGTAAAGCACTTGTATCAAGGCCTCACAGAGAAAGGTGCTTAGCTTAGTCAATAACAGCAATTGCTATTAACACAATCACTGCCCATTGATTTTGTTATATACCTAAGATGATGTATACTGAAACCAGAACAATACAATTAACAACACAGTAAAATAATAAGAAAGCAAGAAAACGTTGCAAAGGCAAGTCCTCCCATCCTACATAGAGGCATCCTTATGCCAGGCAGTTTCACTATGTAATTGGGGTGACTGAAGTAACTTTTACAGAGTCTTATTCACTGAAACCTTGTAGTCACATCCGTGCAGGTCAACTGAGGTGATGATATACTCTAGAAAAGCAAATGCCATGTGGCCATGGGTGGCAGGAGAAATTAGTTGATTACAAAACACAAAACAGAATATCATTCTCTTGTTTGGCTCACAAGTTTCAATTAAACTAATAAAAGTCTAAGTGAAGTCCTGGGAATAAGAAGGAAGTACTACAAAATTGAGTTTCAGATTATCTTTTTTTGTATGGAAATAGTGACAAGAACACACACTTTGTAGTACAACAGAGGTGGGTCTGAATGCTGGTTTTATCTCCCTTATCTCAGGCAAAGGACATAACCTTCTCTGAGCTTCAGTTCCCTCATCTAGGGAATGAGGATCATACCCATCTCGTAAGAATGTCCTGAGATTTAAAGACAAGGTTTGTAAATCACCTGGCACACAATCTGAAATATGGCAGGTGCTCCAAAAAATGATAGCCCTGTGTTCTTTTACTGCCACATTAATAGGGAAGAGGACAGTGTAGGGCGGGAGGTGGGGATCTTGGCATTGCCTTTCGATCTCCTGTCTCAGTACACATCATATACGAACTGGGTTGGGAGTAAAGCTTGCTATACTGGAAACCCCTAGGAATTCATTTACTGAAGTGAAAAGGTGCAGAAACAGTAATGGGTCCAACTGCTAATGAATGCCAGATCACTGGGCAGGCTGCCCTACTCTGACACAGAAGCACAGAGGTAGGAGGTGAGGGCTGTGGATTCTCACAGGGAGAAACTACTGGAAACCGTGGGGGCTTAAGTTACTCAGATGTTTTTGTTATATGAGCTTGCCTATCATTATTAAGTACTTGTAAAGAGATGAAATTTGTTACTATTCTACGTTCAAGAATTTAAAATAGAATGAAGTTAAAGGATTTGATCAAAATGATATTGTGTTAAAGGGACAGTATACGCTTCAATCATCCCCTCCTCTTAGACATAATTATGATCTTTCTGATCAGGACATCTGTCTTGCTTGTCTGTCTTTTACCACAGGAAAACTAATTTAATTCCTTTTTTAGTGTAAAAGTTTTTCTACAGTAACAGTAATGCTTCCTAATGATACTCTCAGAATCCTTAACAGACAATATACTCAGTTGATGGTGGGTTACCTTCATATGTGAAAGATGACATGTACTGTATATGGACTTAATACAATAATCTGGGTCTCCTAATTTACAAAGAAATACTTCTATTATATAAAAACAGCTGAAACCTCTTTCTACAAGGGGCAGATAATAATAAAAGTCACCCAAATAGACTAGAACGAAGAAAGGAAGACCCAACAACAGTGTACCTTAATAATACATCGCTACTTTCCTGTCCCAATAATAGCTGGAAAATAAAAGCCATCGAGACCTGCTGGGGCCATCTCCCAGTTTGAAGTCCATCTCTCTTCTAACCTTAGAACCTTTTTATCTACAGCAACTCTAACAGCAAACAGGAGAAAAAAAGAACAATGTTCTTTCTGAACCAAAGCACACAAAAATGTTCTTTCTGTGGAGGTCTTGATTCCACTTGAAGTGCTGTTATAACCATGTGTGTTTCATGTTAATGCTCCACATGAAGCAAGGAAAGAGGAGTGGGACAATTCTCAACTGTGTCCAGCGTAACTTAAATAAAACCTTTAACTCCAGGAAGGTGAGGATGAGCATAGTATCCAACAGCCATATTCACTTCCCTCCCCACTCCCAAAATAAAAGTAAAGTCCATGAGTCTTTGTGGAAATGGAACAGAGAAGGAGCTCTAAAGGGGACTGGGAATGACTCTGTACCACACCTTGATGACAGCTCCAAAAGCTCCTTTACCAAGAAGTTGTAATTCTTCAAACTCAATGAAGTATCGGGAAAACTGTCTCTGTGTCTCACTAAAGAAGGCAGCACTGGGTAGCCGGTTGCTAGGAATAACAGTCTCAACATAATCTTGTCCTTCAGAATCTGAGATAAAACAGGGAGTAAGAGGCACATGAGGCATTGGAAATTTAGGAAGAGCTACATAGCCAACAATGATGGAAGCCCTGGAAGAAGAGCTCCAACCAGTAGTTTGAAAAATTACCTCTTACCTGAGTGGCCTTTTAAAACTTTTCCTCACCTTGCCCTCCTTAAAGTAGGCAGAAATATATAATTAGCCCAAGTTTACAGGTGGGGGATTATATAGAATAAGTGACTTAACTATAGAGCTAGAACCAAAACTCAGGTCTCATGATCCATCCCAATCTCTACCGAGGTTCCTTAATCTCAGGTGCAGCAGGAAAAATCTAGTTACATGGCACTATGGGTGACTAAACACTACAAGAGACTACAGCAATGGACATTCATTCCATCAATAGAGACTAGAAAAATCAGGGTGGCAAAACAGTCCCATGCACATGGCACACATCAAACTAATGGATTTAGTTCAGAATAAAAGACATAAAATAACACATGCAGCCCCTTCCAGTTTTTGGTTTATGTATACTTTCAAAATAATTTAATGTCAAACAGGTTACCAAATAAAGAAAGGTAACAGACTCACCTTCAGGACTTTGTTCCACTAGAGGCATTTTTGGCTGGGGATTTATAAAGCTGTGTTTCAACAACTGCTGGGGACTCCATCTTTCCTTGTCATCCAAGCACACACATCTCGGTGAGAGGGAAGGAAGAATCTTAGCATCACAAACAATCAGTGCTAAACTAGTTAATCCAAGGCATTAACTATGGGTTTATTTTTTAAAGATACACATTATAGAATTCATGTTACTCAAAGACCAGAATGTACTCTCATAGGTGAATTTAAATTAATAAACATTCCTGCAGGATTTACATGCTATGCGACAGGCTGGGTACAAGAGGCGAATCAAAAAAAGGCATCTCTAGATGAGAAGACTTACCCTCATGGAACAATTTTTTAAAAGTCTAAGGTAGCACAAGTAGGCTATAAATTTTCACCTCGATGAACAGTTTAATGCCTTGTCATGCCAAACTAAGCCTTTGCAGGAACCGGTTATAAATAAAGCTTTCGAAAGACAAAGCAAATCAGAGAGTTGGTGCAGCAGAGTGGCTCAGTATGACGAGCTTTAGATGAAGCCTGCTCATTACAGGATGAAGCAAGTTGGAAACATTTAGGGAAGGCTTTTTTAAAGTCCCATATTCTATTGCATACTTTTTTTAAAAATTGGTTTATGCTTTTTTTTTTTTTTTGAAATAGGGTCTTGCCGTATCGCCCAGGCTGCAGTGCAGTGGTGTGATCTCAGCTCATTCCAACTTCTGCCTCCCGGGCTCAAGCAATCCTCCCATCTCAGTAGCTGGGACTACAGGCAGGCACCACCAGGCCTGGCTAATTTTTATATTTTTTGTAGAGATAGGGTTTCACCACACTGCCCAGGCTGGTCTCCAACTCCTGAGCTCAAACAATCTGCCTGTCTCGGCCTCCCAAAGTGCTGGGATTACAGGCGTGAGCCACCGTGCCCGGCCTCATATACTTTCTTTTAATCTTCATTCCTTGAACCCATTAACTTACTGTTTAATGGTGTAATAGACAATTCTTGTTTTGTTTTTTAATGAAGAAAAACAAGCCATACCTTTAACCCAGGGCTTCTCAAAGTGGGGTCCCTGGCCAGTAGCATCAGTATCCCCTAAAAAATGTTAGAAATACAAATTCTACTATACCCCTGACCTAGTAAATCAGCATCTCTGGAGGTTTGGACAGTGATCTGTGCTTTAACAAGAGCTCCAAATGATTTCAATGCAAGCTAAAGTCTAAGTTAAAGTCTAAGTAGTTAAACTGTAACTGATTTAAGCTGGCCTTTTTTTTTAATTTTAATTTTTTTTTTTGAGATAAGGTTTTGCTCTGTCACCCAAGCTGGAAAGCAGTGTTGCGATCATCACTCATGGCAGCCTCGAACTCCTAGACTCAAAGCATCCTCTTGCCTCAGCCTCCTGAGTAACTGGGACTACAGGCGTGTACCACCATGCTGGAATGTTTTGTTTATTTATTTTCATTTTATTTTATTTTATTATGAGACGAAGTCTTGCTCTCTTGCCCAGGCTGGAGTGCAGTGGCACTATCTTGGCTCACTGCAACCTGCAACCTCTACCTCCCAGGTTCAAGCGATTCTCCTGCTTCAGGCTCTCAAGTAGCTGGGATTACAGGTGAGTGTCACCATGCATGGCTAATTTTTGTCTTTTTAGTAGATATGGGGTTTTGCCATGTTGGCCAGGCTGGTCTTGAACTCCTGACCTCAAGTGATCTGCCTGCCTCAGCCTCCCAAAGTGCTGGGATTACAGGTGTGAGGTATCACGCCCTGCTGTGCTGGAATACTTAAAAAAGTAGAGATGAGGTCTTACTATGTTGCCCAGGCAGGTCTTGAACTCCTGGACTCAAGAGATACTCTCACCTAGGCCTCCTGCAATGCTGGGATTACAGGCATGAACCACCATGCCAAGCTACTTTCATTACAACGGCCCAAGTAGTACGACTTGGTAGCACTTGACCTATAATTAAAACAATATACTTAAAAGAATCAACTGTCGTTGTGAGTTCTGGACTTAAAAATCTATACATACAAAGTGGTGACAGCAACTATCATAAATGGTAACTTTTTTTTATGTTGCAGCAGTAAAAAGCAAGGTACTCCTAATTTCATAGCTTGAACAGGCAAAAAAATTCTAATAAAACCATTTGTATAAGATACCGTATTTTCCTTTAAATTTAAAATTACTTTTTAATTATATCATTAAAACATATATACCTTCTCCTTGCAAATATTAAAACATTACTGATAATGATAAAGCCTTTGACCAACCTCCCCTTCCAATTCTTTCTTCCACTTAGGGTGTCTCATTGTAGAGATTTTTCTATGCATTTATACACATAAACATACAACCATCCAAACAAAATAGTATTGTTTTTTGATTTTTTTAAGCAATATCATCTTATATACATTATTCTTCAGCTTGCTTTTTTCATTCCACCATGTGTCTTGGAGCTCTTTCTAAGCCAGTACTTAAAGATTTTTTTTAAACTTCTGTATAGGCGTGGACCTACCAGAATTTATTTACACATTCTCCTACTGTTGAGATTATTTCCAATTTTTCACATTTTCACAAAATGCTGCAATGAGCATCCCTATATATGCCCTGTTGGGTTTCTGAATTGCGTTATCAACTGTAACTCAACTGTGACATAAATGTTATTGACTTGAAAGTAAATCTGGATCAGAAAAATGTTACAGCCTACCTAGAATGCACAGTATTTTTAAGAGATTTATAGCCACCAAGATCTCACTTTAAAAATGAACTTCTCTGAATCAATAATTTTGGCAACAGGGTAGCCGTATATAGAAAAGGTTCAGCTTTGAACAAAAAGGGATAAAATGCCTGGCAACACCCACATTTCTTCATAGTTCTCACTACTGAGGATGGTGATGAAAACCAGCACTGACTCAGTCTGGGCCAAGTGCCAGGCACTTTATGGCTGTTAACTAATTTAATCCTCACAACCACCTCATGAGGTAGGCAGTGCTATTATCCCAGTTTCACAGAGGAGGAAACGCAGGGCAGGGGGTTAATTCACTCAGCCAGTAGGACATAGAGGTGAGACCTGAACCCAGATGTTTTGACTCCAGAGTCTTACCCATCACAGAGGCTGATTTGAAACAAAATCTTGCTCCAAAGGGTGTTCACTAATATGTAAAAATATAACTACAAATGGAAGGTTGCTGTTTTCATTCTTTGTGAATGGCATTTTTCTTTTGTTAACCAGGGCTGGACAGCAAAGTTCATAAAAACAGTTCTTGGCAGCTCCTTAACCAAGCACAGTCTATCAAACCACTCCAGGGAGAGAAGTATACAAAATAGTCTAAAGAAAAATCTTGTTAAAAGAATAAGAAGGCCATGCGCTATGGCTCACGCCTGTAATCCCAGCACTTTGGGAGGCCGAGGTGGGCGGATCACGAGGTCAGGAGATTGAGACCATCCTGGCTAACATGGTGAAACCCTGTCTCTACTAAAAATACAAAACATTAGCCGGGTGTAGTAGCGGGCGCCTGTAGACCCAGCTACTCAGGAGGCTGAGGCAGGAGAATGGCGTGAACCTGGGAGGCGGAGCTTGCAGGAAGCTGAGATCGTACCACTGCACTCCAGCCTGGGCGACACAGCCAGACTCCATCTCAAAAAAAAAAAAAAAAAAAAAAGAATAAGAAATTGTGCTGATCTCAAGTTTAAAACTGACAGAGCATACAGCTATTTAAGAAGAGAACTAGGAAAGTTTTACCTACCGAGCCCATTCATTTTGCTACTAAACGGGAAAGGAAAGGTACTTCTACTTAAACCTCCCAGTACTGTTTTTAACAACACATGATGCTATTGCTAACCTTGACTAAATTACTCTTCATCAATGAAGAAGGCAGAACACTAAAGGTGACATTTTGAAGATGGAAATGAAACTTTCCATCTGTGATTCTATCATCATATTTGTCATTTTGGCCAACCTCATTGTTAGGGTGCATTTAAATAAATATGTTTAAAGCTCCATTGCATTAAAAAGATACCATAAAAGATTTCTTTAGAAATCTTAATATTTTCATATACTTCAAGGCGAGAAACCAACATAAAGAATCAAACTTGGCCCCTTTCCACAACTGTATGTATGTGTGTGTATATATATATATATATATCATATTCACTTTACACAAAAACAATCTCAAACACAGGTGCAGCTACTTTCACATCTGTAATGGTAAGACCATCAGTGACAGAGCATAACAATGTAAACCAGGCCAACTGGCTACTGCGATAGGTGGAATAGGGAAAGAAATGTGAAGGGTAAAAGAAATGTTGCAAATGGAAGAAGTGAATAAAAGCAAATGATTGGGAAAAAGAAGGTAAAAAACAAAGAGTGTCAGAAAGGGAAGAAACCAGCCCAGGTCAACTCCTGCAGGATAGCTGGACCAGAGGAGCATCTGGAAAAATCCAGACTGAAGGGATCTTATCTCCCATTTAACAGAAACTGACAGAACTTAGCTCTGGCTTGGACTGAAAACAGAGGCAGGACGAAATTAGAAAACACTTAAGTGAAGGACCTGGACAAACATCTTAGGCCTGAGGAAACATCTCAAGAAGGGTTCTCCCAAATTGGATAAAACTTGGCTTTGTAATTAAACATGCACCTGTGATTTACAGGTATTGAAACTCCTCTGGCTAGACTAAGGAAGTTATTTGCATTCTACAACTTAAATGAATGAGACAGCCAATGAAGAATGGTTAAGAAGCACAAGGGGCAGAATCTCACTCCCAAAGCTGTTTTTGAATAAGGAGCCTCGTCTTTGACCCTTTAGGAACCAGAGCAAAGGTCAGTATTTGGAATACCTAGGGCATTTCTCACCATAACCATCTCTATTGACTTCCAAGAGTATCCCATCAGTCCCCCAAAAGGAGTTTGAAAATCAAGTGTGAATTCCAAGTGAATTTCAGAGAATGTGGTAGTTAAGAGAATCACCAACCTACATGAGAAAACAGAACATATGAGACTAGGACAGGATTGGGAGAGCAAAGAATGAAGTCCTGTTCCTCACTTCTCAGCTTCCACATCACTTAGATGTCTGGCACACTCCAGCACAATCAAAAGTACAGGAGTAAAGTGCTATTAGAGAGAATCTCAGTGATACTCACTTCTTTAGAAAATCTTGAAAGTCAGCTGGTAAGTCACTAGGGATGGTCACAGGGTACTCTCCACATTCCTGTCCTTGGCTGAGGGACAGCAGCAGAAGGCCAAGACGCCAAACATCTCCTTTCTTCCCCGTTTTATAAGGCAGAGCATTGTCACTAAAACGAACTCGGGTTTGCTCAAACACATCCTCCTTGCAAATGTCTGCGAGGCGCTTAGAAATGCTATAGTCCGTAATCTTGACGGTGCCTTCTGCATCCACCAAGACATTAGATGCACTCAGGACCTTATGCACCACAGAATTGCTGTGCAGATAATCAAGGCCTGACAGGAGCTGAGCTGTGTACCTGCGAAGCTGATGCACAGGGATGGGGCCTGAGTGGCTCAGGTGTGCAGCAAGAGAGACCCCACTAATGTGCTCCACTAAAATGTCCACCACGATGGAGTCGTCTTGCTCTTTGAGATTCATTGCAAGGTAGCGTACTACATTTGGATGGCTCAATTTTACCAGTGAGTTGAATTCTGTTTCTGTTCCTTGAATCTGATAAGTTAAAAAAAAAAAAAAAGAATATTGGGCCAGTCAACATTAACTTGGGTTTCATTTCAAAAGTGAAGTATTTGATCATACAAGATGGGGGCATAAAAAAACAAAACCAAAACCAAAAGTGAAGTATTTGATAGAAAATATACTTTCAAATGAGAGGAGAACAAATATGCCCTAAACTGAATCCTCCCCAAACCATATGGTCAATCTAATAGTTCATAAAGATGGAAAAAATTTAGCTAATTCTCAACTTCTCTAATCTCAAAACCTACTATGCATATACTACAAAATTAGTGAACAGTTTTTAAAATAAAATTCTTTTGAGGTATAGCCACTAGAAAAAACAAACTTTAATTTAAAAATAACCTTTTCTGATTAGCTTTGTATTTGGGTTTTTAAAAATATAGTATATGATTTGAGCAGCAGAATAATGGCCACATCCTAATCCTCAGAACCTCACATGGCAAAGAGGAGTTAAGGTTGAAGACAGAAAAAAAAAATCTTTTCTGATTTAATAAAGATCATTGTCAACATTTAAAAAATTAGTTTGATAGAAAATACCCACATGTTATCTATGTGGTCACCACCCAGTGATAACTCAAGATTTTGGCACATTTACTTTCAGTTTTCTTTCTATACTTAAATACACACACATTTCTGAACACCATGCTTTATCTACGTTTTTGTAAACCTTGTTATTATGTAACACTGCAATATGCAATACTGAATGTTCTCCTTATGCTTGGTTATAAATCATAATTTATAAATTAACTTAAAAATCCTCCGGTCCCCCAAAATTCAGTTTTGAAGCAGTATTTTTCTTTTCTTTTTTTTTTTTTGGAGACAGGGTCTTGCTCTATCACCCAGGTTGCAGTTCAGTGGCATGAACACAGCTCACTGCAGCCTCAACCTCCTGGGCTCAAGCAATTATCCCACCTCAGCCTCCCGGGCTCAAGCAATTATCCCACCTCAGCCTCCCAAGCAGCTGGGACCACAAGTATGTGCCACCATGCCCACAGATTTTTAAATTTTTTGTAGAGACAGGGTTTCACCATGTTGCCCAGACTGGTCTCAACCTCCTGGGCTCAAGTAGTCCTCCTACCTTGGCCTCCCAAAGTGCTGGGATTACAGGTATGAGTCACTACACCCAGCCCTGAAGCAATATTTCAAGAGTAGGGAAAAGAAGAATTGCAAAAAAACCCAATTATGAACTAGTATTTAGTCCCAGTTGGAAAGATGACTGTTAATGCCATACTAAGGGCTAAGAAAGGAGGTTAAGAAGGCAGCTGGAAGTGCTTTGATCATGTTGTGAAAGTTCTGAAACCAGAGGCAAGGGGCAAAGAGGTACTGGTCCTTCACTGTCCTCCCTGGTCAAACAGTTCTCATACTGCTCTGGACCATCTCTGCAGGGCAAACAAATGCAGGGCTATTTTGTTCTGTCATCTCCTAAAGCCTGAGATTAGGCCTTTTGCTCAGTCAGCCACCTTGGATGCTTACCTGCTTTTTGCACTTATCAATCTTCTCTTTTTCTTGACTGGTAAGGAATGGACCCATTTTTTTCTGCCACTGAAGGACCCACTCATACAACAAGACAAAGCCACCAGTGGCTGTTTCCAAAGCATTGTAGACTAATTTTCCAAGTTGTTCATCACTGCCTGCACATTAAACAGAAAGTGTAATTAAATCCCACTGGTATGTTTTCTCTTGGGGGAAGGAAGGGAGGGGGTAATACACATTCTTTAGTTCAACAATGGATACCATGCGCTAACTATGGAAAATAGGACTTTATGTAATAATGTCCTTTTGTAAACAATTTTTGATATTTAGCAATATACCTGAGTCCTAAAATAATTTTTTATAAGGGGCAAGAATCTACAATGAGATCTTAGTATCAGGCAAATAAAGAGACCAATGTTTGGCCAGGCGTGGTGGCTCACGCCTGTAATCCCAGCATTTTGGAAGGCCAAGGCAGATGGATCACCTGAGGTCAGGAGTTCGAGACCAGCCTGGACAACATGGTGAAACCCCGTCGCTACTAAAAATACAAAAAAATTAGCCAGGTTTGGTGGCGGGCACTTGGAGTCTCAGCTACTTGGGAGGCTGAGGCAGGAGAATCGCTTGAACCTGGGAGGCGGAGGTTGCAGTGAGCCTACAACGCACCATTGCACTCCAGCCTGGGCGACAAGAGCAAGACTCTGTCTCAAAAAACAAAAGAGGCCAGTGTTTTATGCTACTAGCCATTATGCACAATGTTATTTTCATAACGAGTCTACCTTTGCTGACTGTGTCTACTGGTGTACACTCATACAGCTAAATACCAACTAAAATGACAGAAAGAATATGAAAATAGAGAACAAGCCATCGAGATCATTATAGATTAGTGTGCACAGTAAAACAGTAATTTGAAAATCTGAATACATCAATGACTTTCTAAGTGCAAAATTTGAATATGCTCAGTAAATACAAACTGGTCAATGCTTTGGAAGGAAAGAACAAGAGATGACAGTTTAGATTTGAAGCTAGAAAATGAGACACATTTATTTAGTGATAGTCATATGGTTCTCACTTACACAGGGAGAGCTAAATTTCTGTAACACCAAAAATTTTCTTATAAAAATCTCTATTTTCATTAAAACCATAATAGAAAATTCTAAAAAATTGGAAAAGGAGAAAAAAATCACCACTTGTTTTATTTTTCTTTTAGTTCCCTCTATTCTCCTTTACCCCATAATTTACCATATCATAGCATATATATAACACCTTGACACTATGACATTTTGGACCAGGTAATCTTTGTTGTAGGCAGCTGTTTTGTGCACTGTAGGATTTTAGCAGCAATCCTGGTATCTACCCACTAGATGCCAATAGCACCCCGACCCCAATGTTAGCCATCAAAAATGTGTGCAGACATCATCAAATGTCCTGCAGGCTACAAAATGGCCCCCAGCTGATAACCCCGATATATAGTAATCTGCCTTTTTCTCTTATATAAATAATAGTTTTCCATGATGCTATACTATCTTCATAATGAAAACAAATTTTTAAAGAGACATTGCTAATTATCTTTTCTATTTGAATAATCAAAGGTGAAGTAACCTGCATATACATGATAAAGATGTCTCAGCAAAAATACTTTGGAAAAATATGGCTGAACTAGCTCACTTTGACTTTTTATCTGACAAGCAGTTTTTATTTCATGGGAATGCTGATAATTTAGAGATTTTAATTAAAATGATCTGTTAGTCATAAATAACTCCTGACAGTCTTTGCCTAAGGGGAAAAAATCCTGCTGTTTAAAAATTTGTCAACCAAACGAAGCAACCTGAGAAATGTGGGATCTAAGCAGTCTACTAGAAACACATGGCATTAAATGTTTATGGGATGGAGTAAGACGTTATTTACATAAAGCCTAATTAAATTTGTGTGTTATGCAGTACAGTGTTTTGCAATATTTGTTTCCCTAATTGGGACTAGGCAGGCATTTCATAGTTGCTGGGGTTTAAAAAATTATAATTTTAGTATTGCCAGACTCTTCTTGTCAGTTTTTCATGATGGGAATAATAAAAGGGACAAAAGAATATACTGAGACGAGGCTAAGAGAAAATACATTATCAAAAGAACTCTAACTGAAACCCTATATGCCCACAATGATCATTTATGCAGACAGTCTCTATAGTGCTATAGTCATATCTATAAGTAAGTTCTCTCCTCTGTCTAGTTCTAACAACTTTAAAATGAAAAACAAATATTGTTTTTTATAAAAATACTTCATTGAAAATAAAAAAATTAGTAGTTAATCTTTTATAAAAACATTTCATAGACAATTAGGGCATATTTTAAAAAATCAGACCCACTGTGAGAAAACAAAATGAATAATTTACTTGGTAATTTTATTAAAAATTCTCCAACTGAAAATGTGCCTCCTAATAAGGGTATTAACTATGGTGAATCTGTCTAATGAGTACCAGTGAGAATAAGAGACTAAGTTAAGGTAATAAGAATTGAATTAATTTGCCTTCTTGATTTCCCCAGGTTATTAGAAGTAGTTTTATGTTGTCACTTCATGAATCTGAAATGTCTGAGTCAAGGACAGTCTCAGGTCTAAAGCCAACCACCACTACCAATGTCTTGAACCTGCCCAATGATTCCTTTGTCTAAATATGGCAGCTCTGTCTATGTGCAGGATCCTTTACTGTCCAGGCTGCTGTGTGTCTGCCAAGGTTAAGTATTTAGCTCATAGATTATTGAGAAGTTTGGTTTCTTCTCCCTCCACCTGCTGGCTGCTTCCTGGCAACTCTTTTGCTTATTTGTATCTCCTTAAAGAGGAAGGGGAAAAGATCCCAAAAGAAAGCAAACTCATTTCACATAATTTGGCTACCTGTTACTTCTGGCAAAAATATGCATGGGATTGAAAATGAAAGTTAATTGCCAAATTCACTATGTACAAATGGTTTCTATACCAATTACTGGTTTTATCTGTAAGGCTGGGTAAAGATGACATACATTTAGGGTAAAGGAAGAAATACCAAAAACTTGACTTTAGTATGAGCAATTCAAATTCTGATTTGCTGAACCAGCTTCACGCCAAACAGCCACGAGTAGACAAAACTTCTAAATAAGGCATATAGAAAATAAGGTGGTCTTCTTGGTCAGGTATAATATGTCAAGCAGGAAAATGCCAAATGGATGGATATCCACTTAAGAAAATGAGATCTGGTCAATAAAGACCACAGACATTACTGTAGTCCTAGCTATTCAGGAGGCTGAGGGGAGAATATTGAGTGAGCCCAGGAGTTTGAGGTTACAGTGAGCTATGATTGTGCCACTGTACCACTCCAGCCTAGTGATGGAGCAACACCCTGTCTCAACAACAAAAAAGATCATAGGCATTAGAATTCACTTTGTTACATACATTTGATCAGCATTAGCTGTATATGATGTAAAATTCTACTGACTGATAATATTTTAATCATTTTTTTGTTTCAATAAGCTTGGATAATTATAATGATGACAGATTTAAAATGATCGTTATGTTAATAATATTCCAAGAGCACAGGTTTTTAAATTTTATTTTATTTTATTGAGACAGGGTCTCATTCTGTCACTCACACTGGAGTGCAGTGGCATGATCACAGCTCACTGCAGCTTTGAACTCCTGGACTCAAGCAATCCTTCCACCTCGGCCCCCCAAAGTATTGGGATTATAGGCATAGCCACGGTGCCCAGACAAAAACACAGGTTTTTATTTCCATCTTACATTAGAGGAAACCTGAGTGATTTCTCATTCCAGTCATTAAGGATGGGAGCCAGAATGACTACCAGCTTGATGGTCTTCCTTGGACTGCACTGGTCTGAATGACACAGTGTCTAATCCATCCCATTCCTTTGTGATTAACTTTTGCCATTACAATAATATGAATAGATTTTGCTAGTTTACTCACCAATACATTTCCCTTTGTGCACCATGAGCTGATCAGGACTCCCCATATTGAAATACAGAATTTCACAAGAGCCAGGAGAATCTTCACTATTACATACAGAATACTGACGTTCTCGCCTTAAAAATAAATTTGAACAATACATTTGAACAATCATTTTTCATTTTTTTCTTTAAGATTAACATAGGAATGTTATAGATTAACATAGGCAAGAATGCCCCTCCATTTTCTCCCGTTTATTACTGTTTATTAGCCCACTCGCAGTCTAACATCTGTTTCTACTGGGAATTGAGTAGGCGGTGCTAATGGGAAAGCCATTCACTTCCCCCACTTCCCATTGTCATCTTCTCCACATGAAAACCACAAACCCCTAACTCGAGGTCTGTGCTGCCCAATGCTGTGGCTATTAAAATAAAACTGAAAATTCAGCTCATGTGCAGTAGCCACATTTAAGTACTCAATAGCCATACATGGCTAGTGGCTACTATATTGGACAGCACAGATACAGATCATTTCCATTATCATAAAAAGTTCTACTGGTCAGCAGTGATTTAGATCAATTCCACAGGTATCCCATATTGCTTCATTCCCACGCACATGCACATCTGGAGAAAGCTGCAAAACAGAGGGGGTTGGAGCTGCCACAAATTCCTGGTTTCCAACTGGGCCTCCAGCCATTGAGTGCACATTCCTTCTCTTGCTTGTCTTTGGTAGATATTCCCATCATTCCCTTCCATGACTTCTCCAAAACACTTAAAACCCAGCCTCTCCTCTCTTTCTTTTTTTCTACTTTTTTTCTGGTGGGAGCAAGAGCTAAGAAACTAGATCATAATGCAAAAACAATAAATTAGGGGAGAGGGTTGCAGGGAAGAGGCAAGGGAGAGAGCTCTTGATGGTCAGGATTGAACACTTATCAGAAACACTTCGATGACGTGCATGGACAGATCTCTAGAGAGATCACCCTCTCATTCTCAGCATGATTTTGACTTTTACTTTCACTGAGAACACGAGGCAAGAGGAATACAGTCCACAATTTCTATTGTTCCTCCTATAAAGTTACTTGGCATTGGCACTATTCTTTCTTTGTGGGTGACTTTGAGGAAGGATGGCTACCCCTGTCCTCAGTCCCATCCCCTACAAAGGTCTCCTCTGGGATCTTAGTCTATTAGTTAGTCCCTTTCTCCCAGATGTTCAGTCAGCCCCTCTCTCTGGGTTCCCTCCCACCAGCCTATAAATCTCTCTGATCCATACATTCCCCTCCCTCAACCCTGCACCACCCGCCCCATCCTGTTCCTCATAGTCACATTACTGCACTTCCTGTCTCCACTTCTGCACTATTTATCCCTCACACCATTGCAACGTCAATAAAACTGCCACTCCCTCCACTCGCTCTAAACCTGATTTTTCCCCTTGACTCTTTAATTTTGGTTAGGGGCATAGTCATCCATTCTGTCTCACAGGTGAGAAACCTGTGAGTCTCCTTGGGCTCCTACATCTGCATCTAATTGGTCTTCAAGTACCACCTTCTCCTCTCTATCTCCCCTGCCCTGTTTAGTTCATCTCCAACTTTCTCCTGGACATATGCAATACTCTGTTATTATCTGGTCTTTCTGCTTCCAATCCTACACATCCTCTCTTTCCTCAAACCCCTCCTACACTGGTGACAAGATTATGTATTATGATACTCATATCTTACACCACACATATGTCCACATATTCTTTTTTTTTTTTTTTTTTTTGAGATGGAGTCTCGCTCTGTCGCCCAGGCTGGAGTGCAGTGGCGCGATCTTGGCTCACTGCAAGCTCCGCCTCCCGGGTTCACACCATTCTCCTGCCTCAGCCTCCTGAGTAGCTGGGACTATAGGCCCCCGCCACCATGCCTAGCTAATTTTTTTGTATTTTTAGTAGAGACAGGGTTTCACCGTGTTAGCCAGGCTGGTCTCGATCTCCTGACCTCGTGATCTGCCCGCCTTGGCCTCCCAAAGTGCTGGGATTACAGGCATGAGCCACCACACCTGGCCCATGTCCACATATTCTAAACATCAGAAAACAGCAAATACATTGTAGTTCTGTTCAAATTTCTACTTCTAAAGTTATGTGTGCAACTAGGGACACACTGAGATTTATGGAGAAAAGGATAAAAGCAAAGATTTAAAATTACATGCTAGACTTAGTAACATAAACTATGCAGAAGCATCTCTACATCAGCTCTGGCCTCCTCAGCAGATGGTGCTAATGGTCATTTTAGTCTAGGCCATCTTTCTGTTCTTAAGTTTACAATGTGTAAATGCTTGGTTTTAAGGAGTTTTAGAATGTGAATCACCCTATTATGACTGATAAGTACAAACACAATGAGTGTTGATGGCTGTAAGATTAAGGAATAACTAGGATTGAAAGAAAAGTAGAGATAAAAGTGAAAGTAAGAAAACGACAAATGTGGTACATGCTGCATGGCACAGGTTGTAGCAGAAACAATTCTGAAGGATAAAAAGTAAATCACAGAGTTTGAAAAGAAGGAATAAAGAGACAAATGCAATGTCATCCATATCTATTGTTTTCGCCAAAAAGATTCATATATATTGGATGCTTATACTGTCTACCTGGGACCCATCAAGAACTGGGCTTGGAACAACCTTTTGGATTTGAATCCATTCATAAGTAAAACGACTTCTGTACTCCAGCAGAAACAGTGCAAACAAATGGTGTTCAGAAGCTATGACTCTGGTCTCATCATCATGATCTATTCTAGAGTATGGATGTTCATGAGGTTTGCAATATTATCATAATATTAAAAATATCACCCATGTTATCAGTTTTGCCAAGTATCTGTGGCAGTTCCCAACCTATATGAAGGGTGTTTCAAATAAAATTACCAAATAGTATTAATCTAGGTCTTTAAAAAGAACAGAGAAACATAATACAATTTTAGATGACTAAATTAGGCAGCTAGGAGCTTGATACCTGAAAAAAGAAAAAAGGATAATCTTTTTTTTTTTAAAAAGCCAAGTGGCAAGAAGAGAGATGACAATTTTTCAAGTGGGGACTAGAGAATTGGGCTACCATCCAAAAGATTGCTCTACCATTATGATCAATGTGTAGATGTTGGGGCAGGAGGGAGAAAGAGGATCTTATCTGAGACACAGGGGCAGGGATAGTCTCACCTTCCTGTCTAACTCACCAAGATGCCACAGAAAATGCTAGTTCTAGGTCCCTTAATTTGAAACACAGAGCCACTTTGTAGAGACAACATTAGTAAGAATTCCTGATATTGTTTAATTTGAGGTAAACCAGTCTATGCCTCCATGGAACCAACCACAGAAACTGAACAACAGAGGACCATGTCTGGAGAGACGTATCAAGGATCCTCTCTCCCCTACACCTTTATACTTTAATGGTTCCCCAAGTTTTTTGAGGAGAGCAGAGAGAATCCCATGTCTTATACCCTTAATGATCTCTTCTCTGTAAGGGTGAGGAGCCAGCAGTTACCATACCTGGCTTTAGAATAGGGAAAACAAACTAGATAACCTAATCTTGTTGATGGTAGATATAAATAGGTGATATATTCTAGATTCTGGGCTACACTACGGTAATCTGCAAAGACAGCAAGTCTGAATATGTGAAGGTAATTTTCTACCATGAGCTATTTTATAGAGGTTTTTTGGTTTTTTAGTTTTGCTTCTTCTACAAAATTCATATTGCCCACTTATGAGGAGCAACATCCCAGAAACAAGGCAGTGGGTTGGGGGGACTATGTCTGCACTTCACAAATACAGCCTCACGCTGAACTGTACACATTAAAATAGCTAATTTTATGTTTTTTGATTTTTACCTTAATATTCTAAAAAGTGAATCCTTCAAGGTGGGAAAAGAAGACTTGAAGCACAGAAAATAAAGTTCTTCAACAAAAGCCAAGACTCATCAGTGAAAAGCCTTTGAGTATCAGGCCTTTACGTTCTTTCCACTAGAATAGTGAGTGGTTCTCTTTTCTCTCTTTCTCTTCTTTTCAGCGTGAACATCTTTTGTTAAATAAAACCTCACTGGTTTTTTACATACCCCACAGATCAAGAGAAGCAAAACTGCCCTGGTTAAAGAGGCTGTAGACCCTACAAACACCAGAAACACAGTGTCCCACTTTCCCTGTGTCATCTTCCCTCCCTGGCTCCCTCCCTGCATCAGATGTTGACCAGGCACCTACCATGTGTCTTCCAGGCACGATTTCAGGCTTTGAGGAAAACACAGATGAGGGCTTTGCTCTCACAGACCTCACATTCCAAAGTAAACAAGTGAATAACAATTTCAGCTAGTGCTAAGTGTTATGTAAAAAATAAAGCAGAGAATTGGAGAGCAAGGGACAAAGCAGGGAAATAGGGTAGAGGGGGGCTCAGGAAGGCATCCCTGAGAAGGTTGCATTTGAGGGGAGAACTGAATGAGAAGGAGGGGCTCAGCAAGCAAAATGCCAGAGGTTGAGTAGTCCAGGCAGAGGGGTCGGCAGAGGCTCTGAGATGGGAAGGAGTTTGTTGCCCAGGCTGGTCTTGAACTCCTGGGCTCAAGTGATCCTTCAGCCTTGGCATCCCAAAGTGTTGGGGTCACACACATGAGCCACCGTGCCCAGCGTGCTATCTCTGATCTCAAAAACAAGCCTAACCTTGGATTCACTGTTTATAGTTAGCCACAAAAATAGAAATGTTTAAACTTAAAACAATCATCTTCCATATATCTGAAAAGACTTATTTATATCATTGATTTAATTCAAAGGTTCTAATACAACAAAAATTTGTTAGATATTTCCTAGTGAAATTCTCTGACAACTTCAAACTCTGTTGCTTATTAGAAGCCCAGATTCAAAAATAATTTAAATTGGGAAGGAGTTATAATCTTAAAAAGGAATGGTTACCAGAAACAGTATTTTTTTAAAAATTTAGTTAAACCTAATAGTAGGTAAACATTAGTGTCAAAATGATTTCTGAACTGTTTTTTTAGTAGTAGATAATTAGGGAAAGAACTAAAATGGCTCCTTCTAATAAACAAACTATACAGAAGTTTATATAAATCTTCAGTTTGGTGCCTAAAATGTTTCTTTTCATGGAAGCAAAGTGGTGGTTTTAAGTTGTGCTTAGAGTCTCACAAGAGATAATTTAAACATACAATGAAGGTTGAAGTCCCTACACTATTTAATAACCCACCCCACTCATAAATGGTTTCTTCACCAAAATTCCTTTCTGGTGTACAGGGGGCCACAGCAAATAGAGAGCAAAGTTGGAATTCTTCAGTGAAAAAGATATAGAAGAACAAGTAGTATCTTTTAAGTGACCAGTGGTGACAGGGAACAGCCCAGGAGCCCACCTCAGTATTAGGGAGGGGACCCCTGGCAGCCAACTGGGGTTCCTACTCTCATGTAACAGATGTCTCACCTGTGCTCATTTTCAGGCACTCCTTACAACTGTGGTGGGACCTAAGGCATTGTAGACTGAAACACTGGATGATGATGATTCAAATGGAAGAAAAATTTTAAAATCACTTACTGAATTTAAGTTTATAAATGTTAAATCGTACTAAGGCAAGTTTGTGATGTGTTATAGGCTGTTATAAAGGGGAATGAGGCTGGGTGTGGTGGCTCATGCCTGTAATCCCAGCATTTTGGGAGGCCGAGGCGGGTGGATCACGAGGTCAGGAGTTCGAGACCAGCCTGGCCAACACAGTGAAACCCCAACTCTACTAAACATACAAAAATTAGCCAGGTGTGGTGGCACATGCCTGTAGTCCCAGCTACTTGGGAGGCTGAGGCAGGAGAATCGCTTGAACCCAGAAGGCAGAGGTTGCAGTGAGCTGAGCCCGTGCCATTGCACTGCAGCCTGGGTGACAGAGCGAGACACCGTCTCAAAAAAAAAAAAAAAAAAAGGGAATGAGCAACAAAACTAGATTCATGATAGATACTTGGAAAGTGTTAAACGCAATTTAGTTTCATATTGCTAAAAATACACCTAATATATTGCTAATATATTAAGATATATAAGGTTTGAAAAAAGTTATTAAGACTATCGCCTGAAATTTCCATCAAATTTCACTACATCTTCAATGTAGTAAAATCCTTCTACATCTGTCATTCTCCCAGATCAGAAATCCCAGGGACTTACCTAGACCTTCCTGAGGAGTTTGCCCGATGTTTACCATTTCCTACAAAGTCAGGAGAGCCTCCATGTAGAATGGCAGCCGTTCTGTGTCCTCCTGGGTCCTTCTTAGAGGTATGATCTTGGTTTGACAAACTAGCAATTTCCAAACGTTCCTAGAACAAGAAAAGTAAAACTTACTTTAGATGTAAGTCATACATGGAAGAAAATCATGGTACATAATTATTAATTCAGTATAGAATGCAAATTTTAAGCTGAATGTTTACAAGTGAAATAAAATTGAACTTAACTTTTAATCGTTTAAAATAGCTAGAAGGAGGATATTGAATGTTTCCAACACAAAGAAATGCTAAATATTTGCAGTGACGGATGTGCTAATTACCCTGATCCGATCACTATACATTATATGTATCAAAACTTCACTATATACTCCATGAATATATACAACTATTATTGGTCAATTAAAAAATAAAATTAAAAAAATGTTAATGCCTAAATATGTACTGGCTCAAGAACTGAAGTCCAGGTTATGGTTTCAAGAAAATGTAAATTTTATAAATGAAAATGCTTAGAATCTTGCAATAGTGTAAAAAGTTAGGGAGAAGAGTAACAGGAGATGAACAGAAGAAGGGAGAATCAAAGAGAGGGCAGAGAGTGGCTGACAGGAAGGCAGGTCAGGAGCAAGACAGGAGCACTGGTGGAAACAGGGATCTCATCTTACATTTTTACGCAGGTTTAGTTTCACATAGGGCAGTACACTTATCTGTGGAGGTAATTATACAAGACAGAAAGAAAGGCATTATCAGTCCCATTTTAAGGGACAAGTAAAGAGAGTCACAGAGAATGTCACCTTGCCAAGGTCACAAAGTGAGGCAGCAGGAAAGCTGAAGCTTTAAACCAGGAGAAGCTTGCTTGTGCTTCAGTGCCTCTTCCTGCTACCACATCATGTCCCTTAAGTTTAATGCTCTAATTTATGTAAAAGAGAATGAGTAAAATTTTCTCTGAATTTCTCCAAACACGTCTGACTGGTTTTTTGCTTGAGCTAGACTCAGGAAAAATAAAGGAAAAAGCACTCTATCCTTTTTCACCACTGCCTTTTAAATCTGCTCTGTTGAATTACTCTTTTTCATCACTGGATGAAATTTCAGGCAGATCCATATGGTTTCTATTCCCTCTTCAGTATCAACAAATCATTTTATTTTCCAAGTATTAAGAATTCTAGGCCAGGTGCAGTGGCTCACGCCTGTAATCCCAACACTTTGGGAGGCCAAGGTGGGTGGATCACTTGAGGCCAGAAGTTGAGGACCAGCCTGGCCAACATGGCAAAACCCCATCTCTACTAAAAAATACAAAAATTAGCCAGGCGTAGTGGCATACGCCTGTAATCCCAGATACTCGGGAGGCTGAGGCATGAGAATTGCTTGAACCTGGGAGGTGGAGGTTACAGTGGGCTGAGATCATACCACTGCACTCCAGCCTGGGCGACAGAATGAGACTCTGTCTCAAAAAAAAGAACAATTTTAGTCCAGGTTAATTATTAAAGACGCAATCTCTTCCCTCCCTCATTTGATAAATTACAGTAATTATGTAAGTCTAAATCATCTACTGACAACATAAAACTCTAAATTTTGCCACCTATTTAGGGAGTCTGAAATACACAGTGAATATTTATTTATTTTTAGTGCTTTATTTTAAGCTGTATTACTGATAGTAACACAGATGTCATCAGTGGAAATAAAAACACTTTGTTTTGCAAAATGTAAATTATTATGGTGGAGTTGATAGGGTACCTGCTTAGCCATTTCTTTCCTTTTTTTCTCTTCTTTTATCTCTTCTTTCCTTCTCTGAATCTCATGCAGGATTTCACGTTGCTGAAATAAATCAAACCATCATCAAATGCCAATCTCTGAAACCCATACAACATATAAATTATGGAACTACAGAAAAATCTTTTAACTTTCAATAATTCAAACCCTCTCTTCCTAAGAGATCTGAAAACACAGCATCTTAGTACAAACTGCAGTTCTATCAGTTTTATCAGAGTTCTTACGCAATAGGCATTCCCATTTAAACAGGTTTGAGCGTGTGTGGGGAGGGGCATTTACTCCCCATTCTTCATGTTTCTATGTGCAGGAGATTTCCACTACAGCAACACTGTTGGCTTCTCACTTCTTCCGACACTTGTCTTAGCTCCTCCTGTTTGATATCTGCCTATCTGCAGAGAACAAGCACTTGTGCCTGCTCTCTGCCATGGGGGTCCCGGTCAGCTTGGTGAAGGTGGGCTGAGCAAGCCTCAGTGCCTGCACCTGAGGTAGCCATGGCCCAAGTACCATACCTACCTGCCATTCTTCAATCACCTGTATTTTCTAATCAGCTTTCTCAATGTTAAAAGTGGTATTTTGATCTCTATTTTGCATTATTCCTCTAAAATTCCAGATTATAATTATCAAAACTATTAAGAGATTCACCAAAAACCATAACAGCAATAATACAATGTGTAAAAACACACCCCAAACTTATAGGTAGCTATAGCAGTATGTCAAAACAAAATTGTTAGCTAAATAGTCACTATCTTCTAATAAAAATTAGCCTTCCTAACAACAAGGACAATAATAAACTACAGACTCCCGGCAGGGTGCGGTAGCTCATGCCTGTAATCCCAGCACTTTGGGAGGCCAAGGTGGATGGATCACAAGGTCAGGAGTTTGAGACCAGCCTGGCCAATGTGGCAAAAGCCCGTCTCTACTAAAAGTCCAAAAATTAGCCAGGCATGGTGGTGGGTGCCTGTAATCCCAGCTACTCGGGAGGCTGAGGCAGGAGAATTGCTTGAACCTGAGAAATGGAGGTTGTAGTAAGCCAGTATCATACCACTGTACTCCAGTCTGGGCAACAGAGCAAGACTCTGTCTCAAGAAATTAAAATAAAATAAAAATAATAAAAAAGAACTACAAACTCCCAACAATAACTAGGCTACACACTTAAATAGAAAATAAGTAACAAAATCAATGGCACCTACAAAAAGACAGTGTTAATGTAAGCACAGGATAAACAAAATGAAGCAGAAACAAAATAAAATGAAAAAAGAGACAAGCATAAGAACCTAAGAACAAAACACTAAAAGTAACTTTAAGAAATAGTAATATCTGTAGGAAGAAAATTAGAAAGCCTCAACAAAAAATAAAAATAGATATACAAATGGTGCTGGGCACGGTGGCTCATGCCTGTAATCCTAACACTTTGAGAGGTTGAGGCCAGAGGATTGGTTGAGCCCAGGAGTTGAAGACCAGCCTGGCAACATAGGGAGATCTTGTCTCTACAAAAAAATTTTAAAATTAGGCAGGTGCAGTGGTGTACGGCTATAGTCCCAGCTACTCAGGCAGCTTAGGCGGGAGGATCCCTTGAGCTGCGGTGAGCTAAGATTGCGCCACTGCACTCCAGCCTGGGCGACAGAGCACGATGCTGTCTCAAAAAAAAAAAAAAGAAAAAAAATCCAAAAAACAGAAAACAAAAACAAACAGCCCTGGATGGAAAAAGAAACAATCCTGAATGGGAAGTCTAAATACTGTGAAGATATCAATTCTTCCTAAATAAATATGTAAGATTTTTTAAAATCAATAAAAATCCCAGGATGTTTGTTTTGTTTTGACTATGGGAAAGTAATTCTGTACATCTTCTGTAAGAATAAATGGGTGAGAATGGCTGAGAAACAAAAACAATGGAAGATGAAGGGATGGGGAGGGGTAGGATTGACTTGTCAGATATTAAAGCATTATAAAGATACAATAATTCAAAGAGTGTGGTAGAGATTCAAGAAAAAACAGATGAGTTGAACAGATCATTGACAAATAGAACGTAGTATAGGTAAGCAGTTAAGATGCACTTGAGAATTGCGTTTGCAGCCGCCGCTGCACCACCTATAACTCCAGCAGAAGGAGAAGGGGGTAAGTAAGGAGGTCTCTATACCATGGCTTGTATAATACAAAGGAGACTGCCCACAAATCCACAGGTGGTAAAGCTCTTGGCTCACTGCAACCTCTGCCTCCTGGGTTGAAGCCACTGGCTACAGAAAGCCGCTTGCAAGACTGCACCTTCTACTGGAGGAGTGAAGAAACCGATCATTTCAGGCCTGGTACTGTGGCATTCTGTGAAATTAGACGTTACCACAAGTCCACTGAACTGATTTGCAAACTCCCCTCCAGCATCTGGTGAGAGAAATTGCTCAGGATTTTAAAACAGATCTGTGCTTCCAGAGTGCAGCTATTGGTGCTTTGCAGAAGGCAAGTGAGGCCTATCTGGTTGGCCTTTTTGAAAACACCAACCTGTATGCTATCTATCCATGCCAAACATGTAACAATTGTGCTGAAAGATATCCAGCTAGCATGACACATACATGGAGAGCGTGCTTAAGAATCCACTGTGGGTCGGGCGTGGTGGCTCAAGCCTGTAATCCCAGCTACTTGGGAGGCTGAGACAGGAGAATCAATTGAACCCGGGAGGCAGAGGTTGCAGTGAGCTGAGGTCACATCATTGCACTCCAGCCTGGGGCAACAACAGCGAAAGTCTGTCTCAAAAACAAACAAACAAACAAAGAAACAAAAAGAATCCACTATGATGGGAAATTTCACTCCCCCCGCAAAAAATTCTCTTATTATTCCTGATACTTCTGAATGTTAAATATTTTTTTCCTATGGGGTCAAAAGGTACCTACATATATGACTGTGAGTGGAAAAAGAGGGGACAGAAATCACGTATTGGCCGTTTTTCTATTTTCATTCATGTGTGAATTTTTAATATAAATGGGGGGGATGTAAAGCATTAATGCAAATCAAAATGTTTCAGTGAACAAGTTTCGGCAGTTTAACTTTCTAATAATTATAGATAAACCTGTTACATTTTTCTGGATAATGCCAGTATTTGGATTTTTTTAAAAACAAGTAAATTCTTCTCTTTCTTTCTTCTGCTTTCATGTCAGATGGGTAATGTGCTGATGTCCTAACAAGGTTCACAGGTGGCGTATCTCACATGTGTGTGAACACCGATCATCAAGCTTATGAACTATATAGAAGGATCAAAATAAGTACATTTTTTATTGATGGCAACTAAACGGTTTGTAGCATTCTTATCATACAGTAGATTACACCCATTCACTATATTTTTCTTTTCTTTTCTTTTTTTTTTTTTTTTTGAAGACAGAGTCTAGTTGTCGCCCAGGCTGGAGTGCAATGGCACGATCTTGGCTCACTGCAACCTCCTCCTCCCGGGTTCGAGCAATTCTCGTGCCTCAGACTCCTGAGTGGCTGGGATTACAGGTGCCTGCCACCACACCCGGCTAATTTTTGTATTTTTAGTAGACAGAGTTTCGCCATGTTGGCCAGGCTGGTCTCGAACTCCTGGCCTCAAGTGATCCACCTGCCTCATCCCAAAGTCCTGGGATTGCAGGCACAAGACACCACAACTGGCCTCAGTATACTTTTCTAACTGAGTTGTCCTACATGCAAGTACATGTTTTTAATGTTATCTGTCTTCTGTGCACTTCTTGCACGTTTGCTGTTAATATTAAAATACATTAAACTATTTTTAAACATATAGTTTAAAGAAAGTATTATGAATCACTTCAAGAATTATTATTTAATAAATGTGTTAGGAAAATGTCTAAGAAAAATATACTTAGGCTTTTTTTATAACCTGAATCAAAGTAAGTTCTAGATAAGTTGATTAAAGTGCTAAATAGAAAAAACAAATAAAAAATTTAAAACTTTAGAAAAATAAATTAAAATAAAAAAGGGAATTTAGTTGCATATATTATCTTTGATTTAAAAGATTTTAAAAATAAGACAAGAGTTTATATCTTTATGCAAACAGATTAAAGAAAAATACAAATGGTAACTATTTGTATTTAAACAAACTTGAATTTAAACAAATCTTTAGAATCTCAGCATAGGATATAAACAGGAGTTTATAAAATACAAATGGTAACCATTTAGATGCATATATTATCTTTGATTTAAATACAAATGGTATTTAATCTTTGTATTTTTTCTTTAATCTGTTTGCGTAGATATTAACTGTCTTATTTTTAAAATCCTTTAAATCAAAGATAATATATACATCTAAATGTTTGAATAAAAAAATTATTCTCTGGCTTTTGCTACTCATTTGGGCATGAGATACTAGTCTTGCACAGGGAAGAAGAAAATAGCTTCTAAAATGCAGTGAACTCCTGTACACCCTAACAAGCTCCAAAAGACCACAGGTGGTTTGGTTAAACAGCTTCTTTTCTCTTCTATTTCTTTAAGACCTGGACTGAGGGCTCTAAGGGACAGTACTGATATGTGTCAGGAGGGAATCACTCATATTTTTCATACTCTCACATGTGTCTACCTTTCTTGAATCAAAGGCTGAGCAAAACTTAAAGATAAGTTTGTAGGCAGAGACAGATAAAACCTACAGTAGTTTGCAATCCTCCAGGCTGGCCATGCACACAGACATCGACAAGGGCATCTCACCTCCTGCTCTTCTTTCCGCTTGGCCTCCAACAGCCTCTGCTGCTCCTCCTGAGCCCGCCTTTCCAGCATTTCTTCATGAAAAGACTTGGGAGGGGGCTTGTTATGCTCGCTGAGAAATGACTGCACGTGGTAAGCCAGTTCAAAGATCATCACCTAAACATGTAAACAAAAATCAACCACAAATGATCAAATAATGGGAAGGCCCAAACAGGAGAGGCTACAGAACAGGAAAGCAAACTGGCGGTCAGAGGCCCACTTAGAATGCCATTATTCATTTTGATATGACATACTCTGAATTCGGTATATGATATAATCACAGCAGGAAAAAGCTTTTAAAGGGCCCATTGCATTGTGTTATTATCAAGACAGATCATTACCTAGGTAAATAAAAAGCTTCACTTTTCTTTTATAGACCTATTCAACTTATTGGCATTTTCTCTATAGTAAATCCAATAAAATATATTTCTTTAGAAATAAATCTGACAAAACATTTAAGACTGCATGAAAGTAAAAGCTATCTTCCCAACTAGAAAACCTGTCCACATAATGAGAGTTGGGCAGAGAATACTCATTGCTAAGATCAGAGCTTTTTCTGTCTACCCAGCATACTGAAAATATTGTTGGGAGTACAGAGGCAAATATTTAAAGGCCTTATTATCTCCTTGTTAGTAACTGGTCAATAAAAAGCTGATAAATACTTAGAAAGTATTTTATTTCCACTTAGAGAAGCAGTCACAGATAGAATGTGGAAGAAAAAGGTCTCCCTTTCACACATTCTTTATGTGAACACAGGAAGCCCCTTTCCCTTACCCGCAGGAGACATAAATCATACTTAGGTTGATAAATCAATAGAACAAAGATTTCTGAGACCCTCCCTGACTGGTTACCCAACCCCAAAGAGGTAAAGAGTGCTGATCCTTTGGTGGATGAGGAACATAACATTGAGATTTTTTTTCTCAGTTACAGTGAAGCAATTTTAAAATTCTTATTTTCATTATATGTTTGAAACCGTTTCTAAAGGGACTTAACAGGGTGGTAAATAATAATAGAAGTCATTGTACCCAAAAATATAAAGTTAGTTCATTTGGTATCCTGCCTTTCTCTCAGGGAGCAAATGCAAAGAAAGCACAGCTCTTGCTGGGTGATGTTAATGCATTTTTTCTTACACCAGAAGCTGTGGCATTTACTGGATATATTTCACTTTACAGTCAGAAACACTAGTCTACAGTCTAAGAGGCAGGTTATTCTAAGAAAAGCTCTTCTAATGAAAGCTGGGGAAAGTAGGCAATTTCTATCATGTCAAAGAGAAACCACTTCTAAACCAAAAAGGAGGCAGGAGCCAAGCTGTGGAGGGTTTTTCTTTTGCTGTTCTATTTACTTTACTAGAGTTTTCTGTACAAATCAACCTGATAAACCTTCTAAGACTGGATGAAAAGAACTACTTTCCAAACTGACTCTTGCCTCCTACTCCCCTGGTGCTACAGGGCTCACTGGCCTCCCTCAGACCTCTGCTTAAGTCTTGGAGGCCTCTCCTGAATGCCTTGTAAAGAACAGCCACTCCACTGTCACACTCTCTAGACCGCTCACCCTGATTTTCTTCATGGCACTTATAACTGCCTGATTGGTTGTGCAGTTATTTGATTGCTTTCTGTCTGTTCCCTTCCCAGTGTAGCCCATGGTGTGGTTTGCTCACTGTGGTTTTCCCAGTGCTGGAATAGCACTTGACACATGGTACACAGACAATAAATATCTGTTGAGTAAATTAATAAAAAAATAAACTTTGGCTTTACAAATTTGAAAAAATAGAGTATACTTAAGTTTATTTTTACATGACAAAGAGCTGTGTATAGATTAAAAATCATTCATAAGCAATTGGAAGTGCTTAAGAACAAGCTGTTTTTGAGTACTTATTTCCATTCAAATAATTAAATGACTCCTAGTTTTAAAAGGCAAGTATCAGTGAATGCCATACCAAGATGAATCCCTATGCCATGCTTTAGTACCTAATTATACTCTATTTTACTTGAAAATAAAAAAATTTCTTTAGAATTATGTCTATTTTAGACTTTCCAGTACTCCAGACTTAATGGAAATGAATTTTAGATAAACAAGAAGAGTGATTTGCACAGTGCCTTCCCATGTTTAACACCCATTCAAATCTCATTATATGACGATGACTCAGATGAATGCTAGCACAGGCGGCCCTCTGAGACATGGCAGGTTCAGTTCCAGACCACTTCAGTAAAGCAAATGTCACAATAAAGCGAGTCACACAAAGTTTTTGGTTTCCCAGTGCATATAAAAGTTATGTTTACACTATATGGTAGTCTATTAAGTGTGAAATAGCATTATGTCTGTAGAAATCAATGTATATACCTTAATTTTAAAATACTTTATTGCTAAAAAATGCTAATGATCATCTGAACCTTCAGGACGTCATAATCTTTTTGCAGACAGAGGGTTTTGTCTTGATGATGGCTGCTGACTGATCAAGGTGGTGGCTGGTGAAGGCTGGGGTGGTTGCGGCAATTTCTTAAAAGAAGACAACAATGAAGTTGCTGCATCGATTGACTCTTCCTTTCATGGAAGATTTCTCTGTAGCATTCAATGCTGTTTGATAGCCTTTGAGTCACACTTGAACTTCTTTCAAAGTTGGGGTCAATCCTCTCCAACCCTGCTGCTGCTTCAAAACAAAGTTTATGAAATATCCTAAATGCTCGATTGTCATTTCAACAATGTTCACAGCATCTTCAGGAACCACTCAAGAAACCACTTTCTCTCCTAATCTATAAGAGGCAACTAATCATCTGTTAAAGTTTTATCATGAGGTTGCAGCAATTCAGTCACATCTTCAAGCTCCACTTCTAATTCTAGTAATAGACTTCTTGATATTTCCATCACTTCTGCAGTTACTTCTTCCAGTGAAGTCTTGAACCCCTCAAAGTCATCCATGAGGGTCAGAATCATATTCCAAACTCCTGTTCATGTTGATGTTTTGACCCCCTTCCATGAATCATGTATTTAATGGCATCTGGAATGGTGAATCCTTTCCAGAAGGTTTTCCATTTACTTTGCTAAGACACATCAGATCAAATGAATCACTATCTATGGCAGCAATAAGCTTGTAAAATGTATTTCTTAAATAATAACACTTGAAAGTCAAAATTACTCCTTCATCCATGGGCTACAGAATGGATGTTGTGTTAAGAGGCATGAAAACAACATTAATCTCCTTGTACATCTCCTTCAGAATTCTTGGGTGACTAGGTGCGCTGTCAATGAGCAATAATATTTTAAAGGGAATCTTTTTTTTCAGAGCAGCAGGTCTCAACAATGATCTTAAAATACTCAGTAAACCCTGCTGTAACAGATGTGCCATCATACAGGATTTGCCTTTCCATTTATAGAGCACAGGCAAAGGAGATTTAGCATAATTCTTAACGGTCCTGGAACTTTGGGCATGGTAAGTGAACACTGGCCTCAACTTTTGAAAAGTCAGCAGCTGTATTAGCTCCTAACAAGCGAGTCAGTCTGTCCTTTCATAAGGCTTTGAAGCCACACACTGACTTCTCCTCTCTAGCTGTGAAAATTCTAGATGGCACCTTCTTCCATATAAGACTGTTTCATCTACACTGAAAATCTGTAGCTACCTTCATCAATTATCTTAGGTTTTTCCGGGTAACTTGCTGAAGCTTCCTCATGAGCACATGCTGCTTCACCTTGCACTTTTATGTTATGAAGATGGCTTCTTTCCTTAAACCTCATGAACCAATCTCTGCTACCTTTTAACTTTTCTTCTGCAGCTCCCTCATCTCTTCTCAGCATTCACAGAATTGAAGAGAGTTAGGGCCTTGATCCAGATTATGCTTTGGCGTAAAGGAATGTGGTGGCTAATTTGATCTTCTTTCCAGCAAACTGTTACTGTCGGGGCAAACTGGGTAAGAGGTATATATAAATATATAATTATCTCAAAATAAAAATTTAAATCAGGCTGGGTGTGGTGGCTCGGGCCTGTAATCCTAGCACTTTGGGAGGCTGAGGAAGGAAGATTGCTTGAGCCAGGAGTTTGGGACCAGCCTGGGCAAGATGGTGAGACTTCGTCTCTCAAAAAGAAAAAAAAAAAAAATTTAAATCACAAATCAAAAATCCAAGAAACCAGAGGTTTCTCTGGAGCTGAATTTTCCAAATAACTTCACATTACTTTTCAGTTAGACACTGGAATCCCCTTGTACTAGAAAGAACTTTGGAATCATTTCCAAGGCCTAGTTTTTTATCCAGGCCGTTCTACACTCACTTTCTAAATCTCATCAATCACTGAAGTTCTTGGAAGCAGCAACTTAAATGGACACAATTTTTACAACTAAAAGGCATTCCATGGACTGTACTATGACTCATTGTGTTATGAAAAGCAAGTAAAAATCTGTCCAGTTACTTTCCATGAGATGAATGGTTATCTTTGGTTATGTCTAATAAAAGTCTGAAACAGACATGGAAGCCGAGGGCACCTCTTCTTAGTTTTCACATAAAGAGATCGTTGGCCGGGTGCGGTGGCTCACGCCTGTAATCCCAGCACTTTGGGAGGCCGAGGCGGGTGGACCACGAGGTCAGGAGATTGAGACCATCCTGGCTAACACGGTGAAACCCCGTCTCTACTAAAAATACAAAAAAAATTAGCCGGGCATGGTGGTGGGTGCCTGTAGTCCCAGCTACTCGGGAGGCTGAGGCAGGAGAATGGCGCGAACCCGGGAGGCGGAGCTTGCAGTGAGCCGAGATTGCGCCATTGCACTCTAGCCTGGGTGACAGAGCAAGACTCCGCCTCAAAAAAAAAAAAAAAAAGAGATCGTTAAACATAAGCTGCCAGGCAAAAACACTGAGTGATTTTACACAAAAGTGGGGCAAAGAAGCGTTATACTTCGAGGGAATTGGTCTGGCCTAAGGAAAGCACAGTCATACTCTGCCTCCAGAAGACACTTAGTCTTGCCTTCCACAGAGAGTTGTGCCACCCAGGAGAGAACTCATATGTAGATCCTAATGTTCAGAAGATTAAAAAAGAATGAGTACTGCACTCAGTGTAAATGCTCAGGTATATGACAGACACTGAAGGAGTAGAGTGTGTCACTAATTATTGAGAAAGAAAACAACAAATTCCTCTGATATGCAAAGGGGAGAGGTGGTCCGAAATTGTTTGTCTGCCCACATTTTCCAACAAAAAGGTTCAAGTCATGATGCAAGATCCAAAGTATACAAAAAGTATGGCTGGGTTCACATCAACTGTTTTCAGAAAAATTCTTCTTCTTTTTTTCTTTTTTTTTAAGAGAGAGGGTCTTGCTCTATGGCCCAGGCTGGAGTGAAGGGGTGTGATCATAGCTCACTGTAACCTCAAACTCCTGGGCTCACGCAATTCTCCCACCTCAGCCTCCTGAGCAGCTTGCACTATAGGCATACACCACCACACCCAGTTAATTTTTTTAGAGATAGGTGCTCGCCATTTTGCTCAGGCTGGTCTCAAACTTCTGGGCTCAAGTGATCCTCCCACCTCAGCCTCCCCAAGTGCTGGAATTACAAGTGTGAGCCACCATGCCTAGCAATTTTCAGAAACATTCTTCAGCATCAATAGTACCATCTATAGACTACAAATTTCATTAATCCTATTAAATAAATAAAAATCACAATGTTCCCTTTTGTAGAACCAATAAAACACAAAACATGCTACTCAAAATTGGATTTG